>NC_000015.10:28125358-28428389 GCF_000001405.40 Homo sapiens | reverse complement strand
TTCAGACTTGCATGGAACCTGTAGCCCCTTTGTTTTGACCAATGTCTCCCATTTGGAACAGGTGTAAATACACTGGGGGTACCCAATGCCTGTACCCCCATTGTATGTAGGAAGTAACTAACTTGCTTTTAGTTTTACAGGCTCATAGGTGGAAGGGACTTGTCTCAGATGAGACCTTGGACTGTGGACTTTTCAGTTAATGTTGAAACGAGTTAAAACTTTGGGGGACTGTTGGGAAGGCATGATTGATTTTGAAATGTGAGAACATGAGATTCAGGAGGCGCCAGGGGAAGAATGATATGGTTTGGCTATGTCCCTACCCAAATCTCATCTTGAATTGTAGCTCCCATAATCCCCATATGTCATGAAAGGGACCCAGTGGGAGGTAACTGAATCATGGGGATGGGTTTCTCCCTGTGTTGTTCTTGTGAAACCGAATAAGTCTCACAAGATCTGATGGTTTTATAAAGGGGAGTTCCCCTGCACATGCTCTCTCTCTTGCCTGCCACCATGTAAGACATGTCTTTGCTCCTCCTTTGCCTTCTGCCATGATTGTGAGGCTTCCCCAGCCACGTGGAACTGAGTCCATTAAACCTTTTTTTCTTTATAAATTACCCAGTCTCAGGTATTTCTTCATAGCAGTATGAAAGTGGACTAACACAGTATCAAACCCTGGTTTGGGGTAATAATCACTACCTTCTAGGTAACCAGAATGGAAAAAAATAACAGAAAAAAAATCCTAAAAATCATCCTGCGTACAAGAAAAATGAAACTGTATGCTGAATTCTCAGGGGGAGAAAACGTATTTAAAAATATATGACTTTCAAACCACAAGAAACTATAGAACATTGCTTTAAACTATTTGTCTATGAACAGTATGTAGAAACACATGGAATTTAGGAAATAGGAGATGAAGGCTACAATAACAAAAGAGGCTCATATCACAAAATGGGAGATAGCTGAGATGAGGCTTCTATGAAAACTAAAGTGCAAGGGCAGATTTTCCATCCACAGGGAAATCCGTGGAGAAAGAAACTGACACACTGAAAAGTTCAAGCAGCAATTGAATCAGAGCTCTGGAGGGCAAAAGAAGAGATGAACTAATGACAGAGAAGAAGGCGGATGGGTATGCCAGAGACCACAGGTTCCACCTCGAGAATAGTTTGTGTACTAGGGAAAGACACAAGGGCAAGGAGATCTGAAACAATAATCAAAGCTATCACTGAAGTACGAATAATAAAAGCACCAACCAGTTTCTAGGCAGGGAGGGGGAAGAAACAAGGAAGAGTTCTCCATATTTAAATAACAACTAGCCAAACTCCTGAATTTTACAAATAAAGAAAAAAACTTCCTTAAAAATAAAAAGTCAGGCTTAGATAAGACTTTTTTTCTTCTCTGTTAACATTATTAGAAGACATAAAGATTTTAAGAGAATAAAAATATGATCAAGAGGATCATAAATATCAGGTTGTCTTTACCTGAGTACGAAGCAATGGCATCTGTATATCCAGCACTGATTTGTCCTTCCAATAAAAATTTACTCAAAGACATATGGGTACATATTAGAAAAATAATCAAAATTAATATTTCAAGGATTAGGAAGTTGTGAAGCCAAAATCCTGCAAGGGGACAATTGATTCAGTTAATGGAAAGATTTATTTTTCATATTTTATGATTATTTACCAAAATAATATTTTTAAAGTATAATTATAAAATAAAAATAAAATATTTAACAATACTATAATTATAATCATGTTCCAAGTTATAAAACAAGATAGTGAGAATTGTCAGTAAGATAGTAAGAATTCTAATACTATCTCAAAATAAAGGATACAGAAGGTTTCAGGGCAAGAGAAAGGGAAAACCTTCTATATCCTTTAGTTTGAGATAGTATTAAAGCTTTCTGTAGGCTCACTCAAAATGTCCGGATTCTGACCACATTTGAATATGAGCACTCCCAACCTGACGATTCCTAGTCTAAGCCACACATATTTCCTCTTATGGTTATTGCAAAAGCTCCCTAACTGGTCTCCCAGCTTCTGCCGTTGATTCCTTTCAGCTATTTTTTACACAAGTGCCAGAGAAATCTCAGAAATGCAATTCAGATGATATCACTTCTTTGCTTATATCTTTCAATGTTGTTCCCCTCTACGTGTTCATGTATTCTCCCCTTTGACTCTCGCTTCTAAGTGGGAACATTTGGTTTTCTGTTCCTGCATTAGTTGGCTAAGGATAATGGCTTCCAGCTCCATCCATGTTCCTACAAAGGGCGTGATCTCATCTTTTATGGTGGCATAATATGCCATGGTGTATATATACCACATTTTCTTTATCCAGTCTACCATTGATGGGCATTTATGTTGATTCCATGCCTTTGCTACTGTGAATAGCGCTGCAATAAACATATGCATGCATGTGTCTTTATGACAGAACAATTTATATTCCTTTGGGTGTATACCCAGTAATAGGATTGCCGGGTCGAATGGTAGTTCTTTTAGGTGTTTGAGGAATCACCACACTGTCTTCCACAATGGCTGAACTAATTTACACTCCCACCAACAGTGTAGAAATGTTGCCTTTTCTCCACAATATTGCCAACATGTTATTTTTTGGCTTTTTAATAATAACCATTCTGAATGGTGTGAGATAGTATCTCATTGTACTTCTGATGTGCATTTCTTTAATGACCAGTGATGCTGAGCTTTTTTTCTATGTTTGTTGGCTGCATGTATGTCTTATTTTGAAAAGGAGGGTGAAAGCTGGGAGGAGGGAGAGGATCAGGAAAAACAACTAGTGGGTAGCAGGTTTACCATGTGGGTAACAGAATAATCCGTACAACAAACCCCCATGACACAAGTTTACCTACATAACAAACCTGCACGTGTACCACTGAACTTAAAAGTTAAATTTAAAAAATAAAAAATAAAAAAATCTTTCAATGGTCCCATGTCAGTTTGAGGAACAGCCAAAGTCCTTAAAATGACTTACAAGGTGCTCGTTCCATCATCCGTCTTCTCATGTTTATTTCTCTGCCACCATCTACTAATACTCTTCCCCCTTCTCATTCTACTCCAGCTATAATGGCTTCCTCGATGCTGTTCTAAGAATAAGTCCACATGATTCCAACTCAGGGCTTTTGCCCAAGCTGTGGTCTCTCTTTGGAATGCTCTTCTTTCAGCAGAGCACGATTCCTCCTCATTTCCTTCAAGTCTGTCCCCAAATGCCTTCTACCTGGTGTGTAATTGTCATGTGTGGCAGTTTTAAACATAGTCCAAAAACAGGTTGATATTCTTCTCATCAAAAAATAGGTCTATGTCTCCCTTCCCTAAATCTGGACGTGCTTGTGACTGCTACAATCAATAGAGTATGACAAATAATTCTACCTGACCTTTAAAGTGAGATAAAAAGAGACCAGGCATTTTCCACCTGGTTCCCTTGGAGTGTTTGATCTGCGGAAAGCCAGCAGCCATATAAGAAGTTTACCCTGTGCAGGCCGGGCGCGGTGGCTCAGGCCTGTAATCCCAGCACTTTGGGAGGCCAAGGCGGGTGGATCACGAGGTCAGGAGATCGAGACCATCCTGGCTAACACGGTGAAACCCAGTCTCTACTAAAAATACAAAAAATTAGCCGGGCCTGGTGGTGGGCGCCCGTAGTCCCAGCTACTCGGGAGGCTGAGGCAGGAGAATGGCGTGAACCCGGGAGGCGGAGTTTGCAGTTAGCCGAGATCGGGTCACACCACTCCAGCCTGGGGGACAGTGAGACTCCGTCTCAAAAAAAAAAAAAAAAGTTTACTCTGTGCAGGCACTATAACTAAGAGTCCTTCCCATCTGAGCCTTGCCTTCCAGACAACTCCATCAATTTATAAGACAGAAAAAAAGCACCTTGCACCTTCCAGACTGACTTGTTTGCCAGCCGACTAGCACTGAGTCACCCTAGTTAATGATGTGAGAGAGGAAGAATCACTCAGATGAATCCTGCTGGAATTTCTCACCTATAGGATCCATGAGATATAATGAAGTGGTCGTTGTTTTACCTTATTAAATTT
This sequence comes from Homo sapiens, assembly GCF_000001405.40. Classification (NCBI taxonomy): domain Eukaryota; kingdom Metazoa; phylum Chordata; class Mammalia; order Primates; family Hominidae; genus Homo; species Homo sapiens. The sequence continues at coordinate 28,424,344 of NC_000015.10, read as the reverse complement.
AGGGTAGTTTCTTTTTTCTTTTTTTAAATTTTTTTTTTTTTGAGACGGAGTCTCCCTCTGTCGCCCAGGCTGGACTGCAGTGGCGCGATCTCGGCTCACAGCAAGCTCCGCCTCCCGGGTTCACGCCATTCTCCTGCCTCAGCCTCCCGAGTAGCTGGGACTTAAGGCGCCCACCACCACCAGGCCAGGCTAACTTTTGTATTTTTAGTAGAGACAGAGTTTCACCGTATTAGGCAGGATGGTCTCGATCTCCTGAACTCATGATCCGCCCGTCTCAGCCTCCCAAACTGCTGGGATTACAGGCGTGAGCCACGGCGCCCAGGCCATTTGGGTTAGTTTCTTAAGCAGCAATAGTAACTGTAACACTGACTCACTTCTACTGCCACCAATCACTATCCACTTTTCCTGATTCACTTCTTCCTATGTACCGTCTTTTAAAAAACAAATAATTAGGCCGGGCTAAGTGGCTCACGCCTGTAATCCCAGCACTTTGGGAGGCTGAGGCGGGCGGATCACGAGGTCAGGAAATCGAGACCATCCTGGCTAACACGGTGAAACTCTGTCTCCACTAAAAATACAAAAAAGTAGCTGGGCGTGGTGGTGGGTGCCTGCAGTCCCAGCTACTCGGGAGGCTGAGGCAGGAGAATGGCGTGAACCCAGGAGGCGGAGCTTGCAGTGAGCCCAGATGGCGCCACTGCACTCCAGCCTGGGCGACAGAGCGAGACTCCGTCTCAAAAAAAAATAAAAATAAAAAATAAATAAAAAAAGATTTTTAATATATATATACGAGAATATGTGAAACAGTATGTTTTCAAGTTTCCATTGAATATTTTAAAAATAGATTATATAAAACCTCAACATATTTTTTAAAATAAAAACCACACAGGTCACATTACCTACTCAAAATTTAATTACATTAGAAATTAAGACAAAGTTAAAACAGGACAACCAGCACCCCTAGTATCACCCTCCTCAGAGTATTTAAAAATAGATTCCTTTAAATTATCTCTTGTTTTACAAGAATAAAATCTAATCAATTATTAGAAAGATAATCTCAAACTGAACTCAAAAGAAGAAGCAAAGCATCTTCAAAGTCAATAAGGGTGCTATAAATGCTTCTTGGACTCTGAAACTCTCTGACTTCCCATTCTACTCTCAGTTGTAGAAAACTCCCTGATTGTGAAGTTTTGGTGTGATTAGGTTAGGTTTACCCAGATACTCCCCCCGTCTTAAGGCTGACGGATTATTAGCCTTAGTGACATGTGCAAGACTCCTTTGCCGTGTGAGGTATCAACAGGGTAACATGAGGAAATGAAGGTCATAGGGGCTATCTTAGACTTCTTCCTGCTACAACCTCTATTCACTTATTTTGAAACCTCAGAGTTTGATGAGCTCCTACTATGTTCTAGGTCCTTGCAATAGGAGTACAGCAGTGAACAAGACAAACATGGTTCTGGTCCTTGGAGTACAAAGTAAATGCTGAAAATTTAATAAATGGGTCAGTAGATAGATAGATGTATAAAGGTCTAAATGCACATTCAGAAAATAGCAGGAGAACACTGAGACTCAGTATTATTGAATATGCTTTAAAGGCCCATGTGTCGTCTTGAATGAAAATGTTGCTCAATTTCTGATGAGGAGACTAATTCATCAATATCTGTTATCATTGACTGATGACCTCACATAATAAAAGATCTTGACTTGAGTGTACGTTAATAATCAACATAATGGGTAATGTATCAAAAGAGTATATGGAAGATAATAAAAAGATATAAATTGAAATCTTAAACAGTTTTGTGCTAAAATATGTTTAGAATTGCTTGAACCCAGGAGGCGGAGGTTGCAGTGAGCTGAGATTATGCCACTACACTCCAGCCTGGGCAACAAGATCCAACCTCCGTCTCAAACAAACAAACAAACAAACAAACAGAAACAACCCAAACAAACACAAAAAGTTACTATAATTGTATCTCTTTTGACTATAGCCTGGAAGAAATCACTTTCTCCCCAACTTAAGGAAGGGGAGACTTATCTCTAGCCAAGCTTTGAGTATAAACATATAAAAAGTAATTTTCATTTTCTTGAAACTGACTGCATGAAAAGGCATATGGTGTTCCCAAAAAATGTCTGATGAGTGAGAATATTAAAATGACTAAACTGATGGGACATATTTAATTTAATATTTAAACTTGATAAAAAATAGTTAAGCATTTAACTCAAGAATTTCAAAATGGTACGGCAAAGCATACAAGCAAAATTAAAAGGAATGCTAATTACATATTAAGTTAGAAGGCAATAAATTATAAACAAAAACAGTAACAATTTATAAACATACACAAGTTCATTCTTTAACAAATAACCCATGATACAGAAAAATATAGCAAATGTGATAAAACAAAAACTGAGAAAACATAAAATTTAAAGTGAAAAAAAACAAAACATGCAGAAATTGTTTTAAAGACAAAAAATACTATCTTAGAAAATTAAATACGTGTTTCACTAAAATAAACATGTACTGCTTAAATGAATCTTAATTTAATTTTAAAAACAGTAAATAGGTTGCAGGCATCAATTTTTGCAAGAAATGTAAAACATTATTTTAAAAATTTTTATTAAAGTCCCTATAACCAGTGTTTTTAATAAGCATCTGTTTAAAACATCTTGTAAAATGGACCCCAAACTAGGAAATATGGATAAAGTTATAAAAAGTGGCTTCCTTTCAGTTCATTTTACAAAGCAAATATAACTATTACTAACTCTTGATGAAGTGAATACAAAAAGAATAAAATTACTAAACAGTATCCCTTATAAACATAGTTAAAATATTCTTAACTGAAAGAAAAAGGAACTGAATTCTACACTTACTAAGAAATCACCCACCCCAGTGATTTGGCATACAAAGATTTAATACTAGAAAATATATATTAATATAATGCAACACAACAATAAAGCTATTTACTTTATATTGTACATTTACTGCTACAGACTAAATGTTTACATCCCTCTCAAATTCATATGTTGAAATGCTAACCGCCAATGTGAGGGTTTTTGAAGGTGGGGCTTTTGGGAACTAATTAAGTCATGAGAGAGCAGCCCTCATTAATGGGTTTAGCACCCTTCTAAAGCAGCCCCCTGAATTCCCTTGCTCCTTCCCCAACTGAGGTTATAGAGAAAGGGCAGCCTTCTTTGAACTAGAACAAAAGTTTTTCCCAGACACCAGATTGGCTAGTACCTTGGTCTTAGATTTCCCAGCCCCCAGAACTGTGAGAAATTCCTTTCTGTTGTTTATAAGCCACCAAGTCTATGGTATTCTGGTACAGCAGCCCATTTTTGATATTTATTTAATGATATTTAACATGCATGACTGATGAAATTTAACAAAGTAGTTATAGATATGTCCTTACCATGATTAAAAATAACTCTTAAATTGATGCATACTTTTATTATCTAGTTCTAGCCAAAGCCATAAGATGAAAGCACAAATAAGAAACCACCTATATGGCACATGTATACCTATATAACAAACCTGCATGTTCCTTGCATGTATCCCAGAACTGAAAATCATATTTTAAAAAAATTTATTTATATAGAAAAAAAGAGAGCAAATGATAATATTTTTCAAAAACTGATAATTTAATTATGGTAAGTTCTGTGTGATATGTGCCTGATGTGTGTGATATGTGTCTGATGTGATATGTGTGAGATGAAAAACACTAAGGGAGTATGTGATTTTGAGCATTCACGTGCCCATAAATCCTTGTTAGAATTAAAATATCACATTAAACCTCTCTCTTTCTTTTAATGTCCATGGTTTCTTTATATGTTTTAGTAAGTGACACAGAGGAAAATACTGAGCGGACACCGTTTCTAAATTGGTAAACTGCCCTGAACTGCCACTTTACTCTTTTCTACAGCAAGTGTGGAAGATTAGAGTTCAGGCAAACATGTCATGTAAGTGGTGAAGATTCCCTTTTTCCACTGGGACAGCAGTAGAACTGAAGGGAAATCAGACAACAGCTACCTCAGCAGGAGAGCCTCAATGATGACACTTTTGCCTCAACAGTGGAAGCTGGTAGTTTCCAAAAATAGAGCTAAAAAGTGAATCAAGTTTTAAATCACATTGAAAGTCACACGTAAAATTCATTATTACAGAAAAGCTATAAACCAATCACAGTAAATGAGTGAATTTAGAAATTAAATTTTAATATGAAAGGTTCATGTTGTCAAAACTGACTATGTTAGTCCATCTCAATGTTATAAAGGAATACCAGAGACTGGGTAATTTATAAAGAAAAGAGGAGTATTTGGGCTGATGGTCTGCAGGCTGTACAAACAGGCCACCAGTATCTGCTCAGCTTCTGCTGAGGCCCGGGAAGCTGACAATCATGGCTTAAGGCAAAGGGGGAGCTGGCATATTACATGGGGAGAGAGGGAGCAAGGGAGATGCCAGGCTCTTTTAAACAACAAGATCTCTCGTGAATTCATAGAGCAAGAACTCACTCATTACCAGGAGGACAGCACAAAACCATTCATGGGGATCCACCCTTGGGAAACAAACACCTATTACTAGGCCCACCTCCAACACTGGAGGTCGCATTTCAACATGAGATTTGGAGGGGACAAAACATCCAAACCGTATCACTAACGGAAAGTTATTGTTTAAATTTCTGTATTCAGTCCCTTGGCCTTTTTGAGAAATGCCATTCATTTCAGCCATCAAGCAAATTATTATTTGAGACATTTATACCTCTTCATCCTTTAAAAGTTTCAGAAGCATGAATTTAAAAAGTATTCATTGTAAATTTGAGGCTAGTCAAATTGATGTGGCATCTAAGTAGCACGGTGATGGGATGAGGAGACAAAGTCACGAGGGGAGGTAGGAAGAAGCAGAGAGAAAAAGAGAAATAGGAAGAGAGAAAAAGAAATGAGGAGAGAGTATAAGAAAAATAAAGAAGAAAGAGGAAAAGAAAAATGGTTTAAATGAGAGGCAAATGTCATCTGATGTTTTACCATGGGGCCATAGGGTATTTGAAGTTTCAGAAAATTCATAAGTTATTAAAAAATGTGACTCTAGGGTAGTGAGGTTATAACTTGTAAGAAAACAAGAAGTGATTCCTTTTAAGAGAGCCTTCTTGGCCGGGAGCTGTGGCTCACGCCTGTAATCCCAGCACTTTGGGAGGCCGAGGCGGGTGGATCACGAGGTCAGGAGATCGAGACCATCCTGGCTAACACGGTGAAACCCCGTCTCTACTAAAAATACAAAAAAAATAGCTGGGCCTGGTGGTGGGCGCCTGTAGTCCCAGCTACTCGGGAGGCTGAGGCAGGAGAATGGCGTGAACCCGGGAGGCGGAGCTTGCAGTTAGCCGAGATCGGGCCACACCACTCCAGCCTGGGGGACAGTGAGACTCCGTCTCAAAAAAAAAAGAAAAAAAAAAAGTTTACCCTGTGCAGGCACTATAACTAAGAGTCCTTCCCATCTGAGCCTTGCCTTCCAGACAACTCCACCAATTTATAAGACAGAAAAAAAGCACCTTGCACCTTCCAGACTGACTTGTTTGCCAGCCGACTAGCACTGAGTCACCCTAGTTAATGATGTGAGAGAGGAAGAATCACTCAGATGAATCCTGCTGGAATTTCTCACCTATAGGATCCATGAGATATAATGAAGTGGTCGTTGTTTTACCTTATTAAATTTAGGGTAGTTTCTTTTTTCTTTTTCTTTTTTTAAATTTTTTTTTTTTTGAGACGGAGTCTCCCTCTGTGGCCCAAGCTGGACTGCAGTGGCGCGATCTCGGCTCACAGCAAGCTCCGCCTCCCGGGTTCACGCCATTCTCCTGCCTCAGCCTCCCGAGTAGCTGGGACTTAAGGCGCCCACCACCACCAGGCCAGGCTAACTTTTGTATTTTTAGTAGAGACAGAGTTTCACCGTATTAGGCAGGATGGTCTCGATCTCCTGAACTCATGATCCGCCCGTCTCAGCCTCCCAAACTGCTGGGATTACAGGCGTGAGCCACGGCGCCCAGGCCATTTGGGTTAGTTTCTTAAGCAGCAATAGTAACTGTAACACTGACTCACTTCTACTGCCACCAATCACTATCCACTTTTCCTGATTCACTTCTTCCTATGTACCGTCTTTTAAAAAACAAATAATTAGGCCGGGCTAAGTGGCTCACGCCTGTAATCCCAGCACTTTGGGAGGCTGAGGCGGGCGGATCACGAGGTCAGGAAATCGAGACCATCCTGGCTAACACGGTGAAACTCTGTCTCCACTAAAAATACAAAAAAGTAGCTGGGCGTGGTGGTGGGTGCCTGCAGTCCCAGCTACTCGGGAGGCTGAGGCAGGAGAATGGCGTGAACCCAGGAGGCGGAGCTTGCAGTGAGCCCAGATGGCGCCACTGCACTCCAGCCTGGGCGACAGAGCGAGACTCCGTCTCAAAAAAAAATAAAAATAAAAAATAAATAAAAAAAGATTTTTAATATATATATACGAGAATATGTGAAACAGTATGTTTTCAAGTTTCCATTGAATATTTTAAAAATAGATTATATAAAACCTCAATATATTTTTTAAAATAAAAACCACACAGGTCACATTACCTACTCAAAATTTAATTACATTAGAAATTAAGACAAAGTTAAAACAGGACAACCAGCACCCCTAGTATCACCCTCCTCAGAGTATTTAAAAATAGATTCCTTTAAATTATCTCTTGTTTTACAAGAATAAAATCTAATCAATTATTAGAAAGATAATCTCAAACTGAACTCAAAAGAAGAAGCAAAGCATCTTCAAAGTCAATAAGGGTGCTATAAATGCTTCTTGGACTCTGAAACTCTCTGACTTCCCATTCTACTCTCAGTTGTAGAAAACTCCCTGATTGTGAAGTTTTGGTGTGATTAGGTTAGGTTTACCCAGATACTCCCCCCGTCTTAAGGCTGACGGATTATTAGCCTTAGTGACATGTGCAAGACTCCTTTGCCGTGTGAGGTATCAACAGGGTAACATGAGGAAATGAAGGTCATAGGGGCTATCTTAGACTTCTTCCTGCTACAACCTCTATTCACTTATTTTGAAACCTCAGAGTTTAATGAGCTCCTACTATGTTCTAGGTCCTTGCAATAGGAGTACAGCAGTGAACAAGACAAACATGGTTCTGGTCCTTGGAGTACAAAGTAAATGCTGAAAATTTAATAAATGGGTCAGTAGATAGATAGATGTATAAAGGTCTAAATGCACATTCAGAAAATAGCAGGAGGACACTGAGACTCAGTATTATTGAATATGCTTTAAAGGCCCATGTGTCGTCTTGAATGAAAATGTTGCTCAATTTCTGATGAGGAGACTAATTCATCAATATCTGTTATCATTGACTGATGACCTCACATAATAAAAGATCTTGACTTGAGTGTACGTTAATAATCAACATAATGGGTAATGTATCAAAAGAGTATATGGAAGATAATAAAAAGATATAAATTGAAATCTTAAACAGTTTTGTGCTAAAATATGTTTAGAATTGCTTGAACCCAGGAGGCGGAGGTTGCAGTGAGCTGAGATTATGCCACTACACTCCAGCCTGGGCAACAAGATCCAACCTCCGTCTCAAACAAACAAACAAACAAACAAACAGAAACAACCCAAACAAACACAAAAAGTTACTATAATTGTATCTCTTTTGACTATAGCCTGGAAGAAATCACTCTCTCCCCAACTTAAGGAAGGGGAGACTTATCTCTAGCCAAGCTTTGAGTATAAACATATAAAAAGTAATTTTCATTTTCTTGAAACTGACTGCATGAAAAGGCATATGGTGTTCCCAAAAAATGTCTGATGAGTGAGAATATTAAAATAACTAAACTGATGGGACATATTTAATTTAATATTTAAACTTGATAAAAAATAGTTAAGCATTTAACTCAAGAATTTCAAAATGGTACAGCAAAGCATACAAGCAAAATTAAAAGGAATGCTAATTACATATTAAGTTAGAAGGCAATAAATTATAAACAAAAACAGTAACAATTTATAAACATACACAAGTTCATTCTTTAACAAATAACCCATGATACAGAAAAATATAGCAAATGTGATAAAACAAAAACTGAGAAAACATAAAATTTAAAGTGAAAAAAAAACAAAACATGCAGAAATTGTTTTAAAGACAAAAAATACTATCTTAGAAAATTAAATACGTGTTTCACTAAAATAAACATGTACTGCTTAAATGAATCTTAATTTAATTTTAAAAACAGTAAATAGGTTGCAGGCATCAATTTTTGCAAGAAATGTAAAACATTATTTTAAAAATTTTTATTAAAGTCCCTATAACCGGTGTTTTTAATAAGCATCTGTTTAAAACATCTTGTAAAATGGACCCCAAACTAGGAAATATGGATAAAGTTATAAAAAGTGGCTTCCTTTCAGTTCATTTTACAAAGCAAATATAACTATTACTAACTCTTGATGAAGTGAATACAAAAAGAATAAAATTACTAAACAGTATCCCTTATAAACATAGTTAAAATATTCTTAACTGAAAGAAAAAGGAACTGAATTCTACACTTACTAAGAAATCACCCACCCCAGTGATTTGGCATACAAAGATTTAATACTAGAAAATATATATTAATATAATGCAACACAACAATAAAGCTATTTACTTTATATTGTACATTTACTGCTACAGACTAAATGTTTACATCCCTCTCAAATTCATATGTTGAAATGCTAACCGCCAATGTGAGGGTTTTTGAAGGTGGGGCTTTTGGGAACTAATTAAGTCATGAGAGAGCAGCCCTCATTAATGGGTTTAGCACCCTTCTAAAGCAGCCCCCTGAACTCCCTTGCTCCTTCCCCAACTGAGGTTATAGAGAAAGGGCAGCCTTCTTTGAACTAGAACAAAAGTTTTTCCCAGACACCAGATTGGCTAGTACCTTGGTCTTAGATTTCCCAGCCCCCAGAACTGTGAGAAATTCCTTTCTGTTGTTTATAAGCCACCAAGTCTATGGTATTCTGGTACAGCAGCCCATTTTTGATATTTATTTAATGATATTTAACATGCATGACTGATGAAATTTAACAAAGTAGTTATAGATATGTCCTTACCATGATTAAAAATAACTCTTAAATTGATGCATACTTTTATTATCTAGTTCTAGCCAAAGCCATAAGATGAAAACACAAATAAGAAACCACCTATATGGCACATGTATACCTATATAACAAACCTGCATGTTCCGTGCATGTATCCCAGAACTGAAAATCATATTTTAAAAAAATTTATTTATATAGAAAAAAAGAGAGCAAATGATAATATTTTTCAAAAACTGATAATTTAATTACGGTAAGTTCTGTGTGATATGTGCCTGAACTGTGTGATATGTATCTGATGTGATATGTGTGAGATGAAAAACACTAAGGGGGTATGTGATTTTGAGCATTCATGTGCCCATAAATCCTTGTTAGAATTAAAATATCACATTAAACCTCTCTCTTTCTTTTAATGTCCATGGTTTCTTTTATATGTTTTAGTAAGTGACACAGAGGAAAATACTGAGCGGACACCATTTCTAAATTGGTAAACTGCCCTGAACTGCCACTTTACTCTTTTCTACAGCAAGTGTGGAAGATTAGAGTTCAGGCAAACATGTCATGTAAGTGGTGAAGATTCCCTTTTTCCACTGGGACAGCAGTAGAACTGAAGGGAAATCAGACAACAGCTACCTCAGCAGGAGAGCCTCAATGATGACACTTTTGCCTCAACAGTGGAAGCTGGTAGTTTCCAAAAATAGAGCTAAAAAGTGAATCAAGTTTTAAAGCACATTGAAAGTCACACGTAAAATTCATTATTACAGAAAAGCTATAAACCAATCACAGTAAATGAGTGAATTTAGAAATTAAATTTTAATATGAAAGGTTCATGTTGTCAAAACTGACTATGTTAGTCCATCTCAGTGCTATAAAGGAATACCTGAGACTGGGTAATTTATAAAGAAAAGTGGAGTATTTGGCTGATGGTCTGCAGGCTGTACAATCAGGCCACCAGTATCTGCTCAGCTTCTGCTGAGGCCCGGGAAGCTGACAATCATGGCTTAAGGCAAAGGGGGAGCTGGCATATTACATGGGGAGAGAGGGAGCAAGGGAGATGCCAGGCTCTTTTAAACAACAAGATCTCTCGTGAATTCATAGAGCAAGAACTCACTCATTACCAGGAGGACAGCACAAAACCATTCATGGGGATCCACCCTTGGGAAACAAACACCTATTACTAGGCCCACCTCCAACACTGGAGGTCACATTTCAACATGAGATTTGGAGGGGACAAAACATCCAAACCGTATCACTAACGGAAAGTTATTGTTTAAATTTCTGTATTCAGTACCTTGGCCTTTTTGAGAAATGCCATTCATTTCAGCCATCAAACAAATTATTATTTGAGACATTTATACCTCTTCATCCTTTAAAAGTTTCAGAAGCATGAATTTAAAAAGTATTCATTGTAAATTTGAGGCTAGTCAAATTGATGTGGCATCTAAGTAGCACGGTGATGGGATGAGGAGACAAAGTCACGAGGGGAGGTAGGAAGAAGCAGAGAGAAAAAGAGAAATAGGAAGAGAGAAAAAGAAATGAGGAGAGAGTATAAGAAAAATAAAGAAGAAAGAGGAAAAGAAAAATGGTTTAAATGAGAGGCAAATGTCATCTGATGTTTTACCATGGGGCCATAGGGTATTTGAAGTTTCAGAAAATTCATAAGTTATTAAAAAATGTGACTCTAGGGTAGTGAGGTTATAACTTGTAAGAAAACAAGAAGTGATTCCTTTTAAGAGAACCTTCTTGGCCGGGTGCGGTGGCTCACGCCTGTAATCCCAGCACTTTGGGAGGCCGAGGCGGGTGGATCACGAGGTCAGGAGATCGAGACCATCCTGGTTAACACAGTGAAACCCCGTCTCTACTAAAGATACAAAAAATTAGCTGGGCGCCGTAGCGGGCACTTGTAGTCCCAGCTGCACGGGAGGCTGAGGCAGGAGAATGGCGTGAACCCGGGAGGCGGAGTTTGCACTGAGCAGAAATCGCGCCGCTGCACTCCAGCCTGGGGAACAATGGGGAACAAAGCAAGACTCCGTCTCAAAAAAAAAAAAAAAAAAGAAAAGAAAAAGAGGAACTTCTTAAAGATGCGGTTGTCTTTCTTATGCTTCCTTTAGCTCTTTTTTACCTCTCCACTGATACAGATTTTTATACCAAATAGCTGGCATTAGCTAAACCAATGTCTAGGAGAACTGATCCTCACGAAGGAAAATCATAATTTATTATTTTTTTAATTCATGGCATTTATTTGTACAAGAAATATATTTCTATTTAAGAGAAAGTAGAAAACAAAGGAGAACAGAAACAACTTTTTTTTTTTTTTTTTTTTTTTTGAGACAGAATCTCGCTCTGTCGCCCAGGCTGGAGTGCAGTGGCACGATCTCAGCTCACTGCAAGCTCTGCCTCCCGGGTTCACGCCGTTCTCCTGCCTCAGCCTCCAGAGTAGCTGGGACTACAGGCACCCGCCACCACGTCCGGCTAATTTTTTTGTATTTTTAGTAGAGACTTGGTTTCACTGTGTTAGCCAGGATGGTCTTGACCTCCTGACCTCGTGATCCGCCCGCCTCAGCCTCCCAAAGTGCTGGGATTGCAGGCGTGAGCCACAGCGCCCGGCCGAAAAAACTTTTTAAAATTTGTTTGGGGATCTCCCATATTTGCCAAAGTAATCCCACAAAAACAATTAACATTTGACTTTGAAAATTAAGACAAAAAATACAATGATGAATATTTTCTTGTAAAAGCAAAGACAGTAAAAATATTCAGATTTAAAATAAGCCTGAGAAAAAGCATGATTTCCTTGAGCTTACCTAAGTAAACTTATTTACAAGTGACTGTATCAATAATTAGCAAAAGTAAAAGTCATTATGAAATCCTCCAAATCTTTCAAAGTACTATCTTACATTCAAGCATTGAGTTTGCCCATAAAATTATTTAAGCTCAACCTTTTCCTCAATCTCCAAAACTCTGGCGTGTAACTACACAAACACTTCAATAGGGGACAGAATCTCCTTTTATCATTCATTCTACCAAACATCAACTTCATAAGAATTAGAATCAAGTGTAATAAGAATGAACTATATAGAATCATTGGTATAAATTTATAGGTGTTCAGACATAACCTTTAGACATATTTGTCAGTGTACATGTAAACAATACTCAATAACTTCTTTAATAGAGTTCTCCAGAGAAACAGAACCAATTGGATGTGGGTATATAACTCAGTTATATATTTCATCAGCTTCCTTTTTATGTAATAGAAACTAACTACAGCTAATGATGAATTTTTTTCATTCATTCATCATTAAAAGGGGAGAGAGAAATCCAGGCTGGGTTTGTGCCATTTTTATTCCCTCACAGTTCTCTTCTTGCTGCATGATTCTTCCTTTCAGATATTAACCAGAAGGAATGGTTAGCCTGACTATAGCTCTAGAGGAGCAACACAGGCTCTGGATAATGAGGATGCACAGGCTTTAATCAGTCCTAGCAGGAGGTCTTGGCTTAGACAACTATGTAGAGTTGATGGTATCCCTATAGGAAAAAAATATATATATATATGTTTTTGTGGTAGCAGGACAGAGTCAGTTTCAGACATTTGTTCAACAACTGTTGGTGTTCAACATATATTAGTATTTTGCACTAGGTACTATGTACTAAAAGTATAGTAAGGAATAAAAATAGGGAAATAAACAAAAACAAAATAAAGAAACAGAGAAAATTCCTATTACCCTTTAGGAAAAACAACATAAAATAAAGTAACAGAATCTAGAAACAGAGAATAACAAGATAGAAGCCTACTATATACCACCATTATCAACCTGTCAAAATAAACATTGTCAGTAATGAGACAAACTGGAATCATGTACCACCTGATAGGATGCAATGAAAAAAACGCAGCATCAATTCTGTGATATTCTTGCCAAAATGCATTGCCTGACTCTAGTCACAAGGAAACCTCAGAAAACCTAAAGGGAGCCATTCAAAAAAGAAGGAAGGGAAAAGGAAAAAGTAAGGGAAAGAGGAGAGGAGAAGGAAGGGGAGGGGGAAGGGAAGGGGAGAGGGAAGAGAAAAAGGAAGGGGAAAGCGAAGGAGAAAGGAAAGGAGAAAAGGAAGGAGAAGCAAAGCAAAGGAAAAAAAGAAGAAAATATGGGCCAGAAATCTTGGTTAAGTTAGGTCTAAAGATCTATTCTTGATACAAGGACATTAAAAAGACATGACAATGAAAGGCAATGCATGATTCTGAACTTGATCCTTTTGCTATGAAACATTATTGGGACTATTGGTGAATTTTTTTTTTTTTTTTTTTTGAGACTGGGTCTCGGTCTGTCGCCCAGCCTGGAGTGCAGTGGCGCGGTCTGGGCTCACTGCAAGCCTCGCCTCCTGGGTTCACGCCATTCTCCTGCCTCAGCCTCCCGAGTAGCTGGGACTACAGGCACCCACCACCACGCCCGGCTAATTTTTTCCTTTTTTTTTTTGTATTTTTAGTAGAGACGGGGTTTCACCCTGTTAGCCAGGATGGTCTTGATCGCCTGACCTCGTGACCCATCCGCCTCGGCCTCCCAAAGTGCTGGGATTACAGGCGTGAGCCACCGTGCCCGGCTGACTATTGGTGAAATTTTAATGCGGACTTGATAATTAGATGTAGCAATATATTAATATTAATTTTCTGGTTTTGTTCGTTGTACTGTGCATGTATTGCATTTGGGGGGGCACATATATTACTGTAACAGATTTGTAATATATACAATTATATATATGTATATACATATATAGACACAATTGTGTTTGTAGAAAATATATATGAAAGCAAGGTTTTTCAACTTTGGCACTATCGCTTCTGACATTTGGGCCACATAATTCTTTGTTGGGGGCATTTCCTGTGAATTGCAGGATGTTTAGCGACTTGGTTTGCCTTTAATAACTAAATGACAGTAGCATCCTCCTCACACCTTTCCCCAGGCTAACAACTAAAAATATCTTGAGATATTATCAGATGTTTCCTGGAGGGCAAAACTCCCCCTGGTTGAGAATCAGTCTACTAAAGTATTTGGAGATGACAGAGCATCAGGTTCGTTTCTATATATTATTAAAGTATCTTTCAAAGTTGAAGGTAAAATTAAGACATTTTCGGAAAAATTAAATGGGCCAATTTGTCACCAGCAAATCTGTACTACAAAACATGCTAGCAGAAGTTTTCTGGCCTGAAGGGAAATAACATCGAATCTAAACTCCAGATTAGAGGAAATGAAAAGCATAGAAATGGTAAGTATATGAGTAACAGGAAATACTTTTTTTTAATCTGCCGATTTTGTTGAAGGGAAACTGACTATTTAAATTTAAAAAGATATCATTTTATTGTGGGGTTTATGATGTGGACAGAAAAACTTATACTAAAAAAAATCACAAAAGACAGAGGGGGAGTAAAGGAAATGTTACCGTCATCAGTTTTTGTTGTTGTTGTTTTGGGTTTTTTTAATAGACTTTATTTTTAGGGCAGTTGTAAGCTCACAGCAAAATTGAAAGAAAGATACAAAGATTTCTCATACATCATTGTGTCCACACAGGCACAGCCTGACCCCTTGCTGTCATTCTCCTCTGGAGTGGCACATTACTTACCGCTGATGAACCTGCACTGGCACATCCTTATCACCAAGGTCCATAGTTATATTAGGGTCCACGCTTGCTGTCATACATTCTATGAGTTTAGGCAAATTCATATACCAGTATAGTATCATGCAGAATAGTTTTCTGCCCTGAAAGTCTTCTGTGCATATGAATAGGATAGGTGGAGCACAGATCACTTTTTAGGAAAATGTTGCCTTGTTTTGATTTGACAAAGTAGGCAACACTATCAATCACTGGAGAGAATGTAAAAATAGAACAGATGTCATCAGTTTTTTACATTATATATGAAGTTGTCAAAAATTACCTCGAAGTAAAATTTAGATTAGTTAAGTATAAATTGATGATTATTGTAATACAAATAACTCAATACAAAAAAGCGTTGCAACTAACTCATCTATGCAATTTAAAATGAATACTTAAAATACAATTAAACAAAAATATGAGAAGAGAAACAAGAGATTGTACAGTTTTTAAAAGTGGCAACACATTTCATTTAACATATTTATGAACTAAATTATTCAATTACAAGGTAGAGACTGTCATATTAGACAAAAGAATGAGACCCAACTAATGTTGTCTACCAGAAACATACATTAAACATAAAGACACAGATAGATGAAAAGTAAACCTACAAGAAAAGATAAACCATATACACAGCAAGCATTAGGAAGCTTGTGTGGCTACATTAGCAAAATGCAATGTAGACTGGAAAAGAGGGTGCATTATAAGAGAAAATGGGGGCATTTCATAATTATGAAAGAACCAATTCATCAGAGGACAATAATATTGCTTATATTATTGTCCTCTGATGAATTGGTTATTATATTATTGTCCTAATATGACATATATGTCCATAATTATGAAATGCCCCCATTTCATAATTATGAAAGGGACACCAACTTAATAATAAAGCCTCATAATTCATGAAGGAAAAAGCAGAATTGAAGGGAGAAATGGATAAATGACAATAATAATTAAAGATTTTAACATCCCTCTGTTCATCACTGATTGAACAGTAAGACAAACCATTCGTATGGCTATAGAACATTTCAACTTCATTATAAATCACCTTGATCTTATTGACATTTATAAAAACTACATTTCAAATGCTGAATATACGTTGTTTTCTTGTGTATTGAAAGCACCACCAACATAGGCCAAATGCTGAATCAAAGAGTAAGTTTAAATGAATTTAAGCTTTAGATTTTATAGAATATATTCTCTGATCACAATAAAATTTAATTTGAAATCGATGACATAAGAGATTCCTAGGAAAGCCCCAAATAGTTGTAAATAACATGAAACACTATTTAACTCATAGTTCATAAAAGAAATCAAAAGATAATTTAGAAAAAATATGAAATAAGGAAAACAGTGTATTAAATAAACATCTGCACCTAGATGTTTATTGCAGCACTATTCACAATAGGCAAGATATGGAATCAACCTAAGGGTCCAGCAACAGATGATGGTTAAAGAAAATGTGGTATATAGGCCGGGCACAGTGGCTCACGCCTGCAATCCCAGCACTTTGGAAGGCCAAGATGGGTGGATCACTGGAGGTCAGGAGTTCGAGACTAGCCTGGCCAACATGGTGAAACCCCATCTCTACTACAAATATAAAAATTAGCTGGGCATGGTGGCACGTCCCCAGCTACTCGGGAGGCTGAGGTGGAAGATCACTTGAATCCGAGAGGCAGAGGTTACAGTGAGCCAAGATCACACCATTGCACTCCAGAGCAAGACTCCATCTCAAGAAGGGAAAGGAAGGAGAGGAGAGGGGAGAGGAGGGGAAGGGAGGGGACAGGAGGGGAAAAGGAATAGATACACAATGAAGTACTATTCGGCCATAAAAGCAACATGCATAGAAATGGAGTGTATTATGTGAGTGAAATGAGCCAAGAAGAGAAAGTTAAACATTACAGCTTCTCACTCATATGTGGAAGCTAAAATATTTTGATCTTATAGAAGTTAAAACAGAGGATGCTAGAGGCTGGAAAGTATAAGAGGGAGGGAGGGATAGGGAGAGATTTGTTAAAAGATTCAAAATTAAAGCTAGATAGGAGGAATAAGTTCTAATGCTCTATACCATTATGGTATGACAATAGTTAACAATAACATATAGCTTCAAATAGTTAGCAAAGGATATTGAATGTTCCCAAAACAAAGAAATGATAAATGTTTGCAATGATGGATATGCTAATTACCATCACCTCATCAGGGTAATTAAATATATACACTATGAGTATTGAAACATCACTATGTACCCATAAATATGCACAATTATTATGTGCCAATTAAAAAAATAAAATAAAATTATGATAATAAAAGCTTCATATTTGTGGTGTAGAGTTAAATTGAGAGGGTAATTTATTATTTGAAATTCTTCTATTAGAAAAATACGTAGGTTTAAAAGTCAATGAAAAAATAAACAAAACGTAATTTGAAAAAATAAAATAACAGGTAATGAAAGAAATAAATGAAATTGAAAGTAAATAAATTCACAAAGTGAAAAGTTCCTTTGAAAAAATCAGTAAAGTTGTTACATACTAGTAAGACTAAGAAAAAAGGACTGATAAAAGAAGAAATATCATTACAGAACCTCTATATTTAAATGATAATAACTATTATGAACAATTCCATACTCAAGAATTTGGCAGCTTAAAGTTCTGTAAAGAGACAAATTACCAAAGCTTATTTAAGAACAAATTCATAATGTGAATTTTTCTGTATCTATATGTATCCAGATAGTCTAGGTTTTCTAATTTCTGGCCTATGGTTGCTCATAGTAGCCTCTAATGATCCTTACAATTTCAACAAAGAAATTCAGAAGAAATTGAAAAATTTATTGAAGCAGATAAAAACGGCAACACAACATACCAAAACCTATGGGATACAGCAAAAAGCAGTAGTAAGAGGGAAATGTATACCTATAATTTCCAAGATCAAAAAAGTGAAAAACCTCAAATAAATAACCTGATGATACATCTTTTTTTAAGGTCACTATAAATTTTAATCTATGATATAAAATATTACCTACAGATATAATTGAACATCAGGTATCAGAAAATAAAACATAACAATGAAATGCAATTTTGTAAATACTTCTATGGTACAAGCATTATTTTCCTCAGATTCAACCTTTTAATTGTGTTTTGTTTGCTTTCTGAAAATCACACTTTATAAAGAACACAAGTAGAGCTTGTTAAAATGATTGTCACAGATGTACTGTTTACTAATTCAAAAAATACTACATTCATTCGCTCATATCAATTTTATTCATTAATTATGAAGAAGAAAATATAATATTCCATGCTTGTCATGAAATAGCGGTTTCTTCTTCCAGTCTAATCAGGGAACTAATAAATGCTTAGTTCATGGCAAAACTTCCATTTGATTTACATTGACTTAATTACCTCTTAGGGTCTAGCCTCATCAATGGAGAAAAAGCACTTTTTCTTGAGGCAACAGCACATTAACAGCACTGAATACAAAATATGGCAAATTCAATGGCTGTCAGCATTGCTTTAGGAATTTTGAGACTATAAAAAAACTATAACCATGAATAAAAGAAAAGGGCTTATTAATATCTTCTTTTTGGGAGAGTGATACATTCTGAAGGTTTCTTGTTATTCTGTTGAATAGCAAGGACTTCCAAACTTAAGTGTCTTAAGGCTGAAAATTAGTTACATTCCTCAGATTTTAGCCTTATTAATGAAATTCCAAAAGTATTATAAGATTTAGTATGTCTTGAAATTATAAATTTGTAACAGATATTTTTCAAAATACATGCCTTCAAACAACTTAAATGCAAAAATCATTCATTCTTAATAATACCTAGCAGTTCATCCCTTGCTTCCCAGAAGTACTCATACAAACATGTGAATTTAAAAAATAGATTTTTCTGTTCAAAAAATAAAGCTTCTGCCCTTTTAAAAACTTGTCAGGCTTTCATTTGCCAAAATGTTGAAAACTGCACATATTCAAACATAGTTCCCGTAGGAACACATATTCCTCAACTCTCACACCTTTGAAGACACAGGAGACGGGCAATATAAATGTTCCCTTCTTTCCAGCTGATGTTAAATAGTTAGGTTTGCTTCATGAGATTATCGGAATAAAGGGTTAGATTTTCATTTTCCATTACTCTATCTAGTAAAATTAGACTTAAAGTAGGTAGAATACTACCAGAAGAATTACACAGTGATTGGCAAACTGGCCTAAAATAATCAGGCTTTTTATTTATACTTCCCTTTTTAAAGTTGTTATTTGACAACAGCTTCCATCTTTAACAGCAGGCAAAAGAAAATGAGGTGCCATGCTATATTAATTAAAATATTCCACAATGAAAGAAAATACAAAACCTGAAAATAACTTCAGTGCTACAGACATTTAAAAAGTTACAATGGTTAAAACTCTGAATAAAAAGATCTTGAGAACAGGTACATTTCAAAGCAATATTTTACACGCTTTGGAAAAAATAGCTATTTTTCAAATAACTTGATATATGGTTTACATATTTCATGCAGTCTCTGAGGTTTTTTTTTTCTACAATACTGTTTTGCATTAAAGTCTCTCATGTTGTTTACCAGTAATTGTTTCCTTAGGCTGAAATAAAACTTTGCTTGTTCATTAGTTTTCTGTATATCCCATTTGGTTTTGAAAGCAGCTCTTCATGTTTTCCATATTCAGTAATTTTTCCTTGATCAAGAACAGCAACCATATTAGCATTCTTAATGGTGGAGAGATGATGGGCAATAACTAACGCTGTTCTTCCATCCATCAGTGGATCTAGAGCTTCTTGAACAAGGTACTCATTTTCAGCATCCAGCGCACTGGTTGCTTCATCTAGGAGAAGAATTTTGGGATTCTTCAGCAGAGCACGGGCAATTGCAATCCGCTGTTTCTGCCCACCTGAGAGGAGAACACCCTTTTCTCCAACCACAGTGTTGAACCCTTGGGGGAAATTCCGGATCAAGACCACTGCATTGGCCACTTCAGCCACTCTCTGGACTTGCTCAGCGGTCACAGAGGAAGGCCATCAGCACCATAAGCAATGTTCTCAGTGATAGAGCAAGAAAACAAAATGGGTTCCTGTCTCACTGTCCCAATCTTGGATCTCAGCCACACTGGGTTTAGCTGACGGATGTCATGGCCATCAAGACTGATGGTTCCAGAAGCAGGGTCGAACAACCTCAGCAGGAGCGAAAGCACTGTTGATTTGCCAGAACCACCTGGGCCAACCAGTGCCGTGACAGATCCTGACGGAATGGAAAGGCTGAAATCCTGAAATATGGGCGCCTCCGGGCAAGCGGGATCGGCAAAATGCACGTTCTTAAACTCCAAAGCACCCTGGAAGCTTTTCTCATTTAAGATAACCCTTCCCCCTCCTTAAAAGGCAGATTGGGCTCTCTCTCCAGGAGCTCCCAGAGGCGCCCCCCGGCACCCAGTCCTTTCATCAGCTCCGAGTAGAAAGAGCTCAGACCTCCAATGCTTATTCCAACCCCGAAAGCATACATAGGAAGGAAGAGAGTTCACCCATGGTCATGTGGGCACTGCCCATCAGCAGCCCCCCTTTGTACAGGACAGAAAGCACAATCAGGTTTCCGGACAGCCTAGTTCTCCAAAGAAGCCAGCCCGAGCGAATGCCTCTTTCCTTGCTGACTACATCACATGGTCCACTTTGCTGGCCTATTTTTCTATTTCAGTCATTTCTTTCCCAAAAGCTCGAACAGTTCTTAACATTTCCAATACGTTCCTCCTGAGTGGCTTGTGCCAGCGAATCCTGGGTGACTTTGGTCAGTTTCCGTAGATATCGTCCATAAATTACATCAATGATTGACACTAGACGCACCACACTCACAACAAAGGTGGCCCGATTAGGTGAGACACAAAACATCATCCTGATGCCTACAGAAGCCCGGGCCCCGGCCCTGAGCCCATCTGAGAGGTTTTCAGTCACTGAGCGCCCCAGGAGTGCAGTGTCCGATGAGAGGCGGTTAATCAATTCCCCTGTGCCAGCCTTGTCAAAGAAAGCAACCTCCTGCCCCAGAATGGAGGAGAATAACGAAGTTCTCAGCCTCTTCACAACGCGCTGACGTGAAGTTTGCATGAGGTAGACACGAATGGCATTGGCGGCAGCACCACATAGAAACACGCCACTGAGGCCAAGGCAGAGGCGGGTCAGGTTGTCGCTGTAGTCCACAGTGGGGTTGGTATAGATGGCATCGATGATCTTCCCCAGAAAGAAAGGGGCAGACATGGAGATAACACCGGACATCGGAGAAATCCAACCGCAGCTGCCAGCCTCTGGCGCTCAGGGTACTCCAGCCCCAGGAGCTTCCCGGCCTCCGAGAGTCCGGGCGCCATGGGTCGTAGCCGCTGGTCGTCCCGGGAAGGCGCCGCCCGCCCGCGCCGCCAGGCCTCCTCCCCTGCCGAGGCAGTGGCGGTGGGACCGCCCGGGAACCCGGCGCTCGGGAGCCGAGGAGCGCCCGGCCGGCAAGAGCCCCGCACCTGCAGCTGCCGGGCCCAAGCCCACAGCCCCGGGAGCCGTCCGAGGCCCGCGTGGCCCCCCGAGCCGCCCAGACCCCCGCCCCGGCAGCAGCTCCTCCAGCGGCGCGCGGCTCCAACGCCCCAGAGCAGCGCCGGCCCCGCGCCCCATAGCCGCGCCAGCCTCGGGGCAGTGAAGGGCGATATGGACTGGGGGCGCGGCTGGCCGGGGCCCACACACAGGCTACCGGCGGGAGCCGCCCTGGCTCTGCGGGGCCCGTGGCGCCGATACATCTTAAAAGAACTAGAAAAGCAAGAATAAACCAGACCCAAAATAAGTATAGAAGAAAGGAAAGAATAAAGATAAGAGCAAAACTTAATGAAATTGAAATGAAAACATACAAAATATGAACAAAACGAAAAGTTCGTTTTTTAAAAAAGATAAACCAAACCAGTAACCTTTAGCCACACTAAAAAAAAACAAAAAACCCTAAATAAATAAAATCAAGATGAAAACGGGGACATTTTCATTGATACTGTAGAAATTCTAAGGATCATTAGAGGCTAGTATGAGCAACTATAGACCAATAAATTAGAAAATCTAGAATAAATGGATACTTTCCTAGATACATACAATCTAGCAAGAATGAACCACAAAGAAATCCAAAACCTGAAAAGACCAATAAGTAGTGAGACGGAAACAATTTTCCCAGGAAAAGCCGGGTGCAGTGGCTCACGCGTGTAATCCCAGCACTTTGGGAAGCCGAGGCGGGCGGATCACGAGGTCAGGAGATGGAGACCATCCTGGCTAACACGGTCAAACCCCGTCTCTACTAAAAAAAATACAAAAAAAAAAAAAATTAGCTGGGCATGGTGGCGGGTGCCTCTAGTCCCAGCTACTCAGGAGGCTGAGGTAGGAGAATGGCGTGAACCTGAGGGGCGGAGCCTGCAAGTGAGTCGAGATCAGGCCACTGCACTCCAGCCTGGGCGACAGAGCGAGACGCCCTCTCAAAAAATAAAAAAAAGTTTCCCGGGAAAGAAAAGCCCAAGACCCGACGGCTTTACTCCTGAATTTTACCAAATATTTTTAAAAGTAGCACAAAATGCAGCAGCAGGATTCTCCTGCCCCAGCCTCCTAAGTAGCTGGGGCTACAGGTATGCACCACCACGCCTGACTAATTTAAAACTGTTTTTGTAGAGACAAGATCTCACTATGTTGCCCAGGCTGGTCTCAAACTCCTAGGTAAAATGATCCTCCCACCTCTGCCTCCCAAAGTGTTAAAATTGCAGGCATAAGCCATTGCCCCCGCCTGAAAAAAATTATATGTATATATATTTATATTTTATATATATATATATATGTATATATATATATATATATATATATATATATATATATATATATATATATGTTTTTGTGTTTTTTTTGAGACAGAGTCTCGCTGTGTCACCCAGGCTGGAGTGCAGTGGCACGATATTGGCTCACTGCACCCTCTGCCTCCAGGTTCAAGTGATTCTCATGCCTCAGCCTCCCGAGTAGCTGGGATTACAGGCATATGCCACTACACCCGGCTGATTTTTGTATTTTTAGCAGAGACATGGTTTCACCATGTTGGTTAGGCTGGTCTTGAACTCCTGACCTCAAGTGATCCAC
The DNA here is from genome assembly GCF_000001405.40 of Homo sapiens. Taxonomy (NCBI): domain Eukaryota; kingdom Metazoa; phylum Chordata; class Mammalia; order Primates; family Hominidae; genus Homo; species Homo sapiens. Next base: position 28,401,494 of record NC_000015.10, on the reverse strand, counting down.
CCACCTCAGCCCCCCAAAGTGCCGGGATTACAGGTGTGAACAACCATGCCTGGCCAAAAATAATTTTTTTAAAAAGATTTTGTTCTGATTCTGATGGGAAAGGGACTCTTTTCTAAAGTTACTAGCAGTTCTTTAACTGGTTAGCTCTATGTTAGGCATAGGTATTACTTTTTAGGGTGGCAGGTATGTGAAAAAAGAAGGGAGGTGGACAAAACCAAGACAGCAGAAGTAACTATTTGAGGGATTTCAAAACCTTTGACTGACACTCACTTCCTGGGACAGTCTTGATTTTGCTACTCTTTCCTCATCTGTTTCTTTTCAAGCCTTGCTCCCTACACACTTACCCTAGTTCTAACCCTTCCTGCTGATGGGCACCCCATTCACAAGGCAACAGATACCAGATGTGAGGAATGGAAAGAAAAACATTCTTACTTGATTGTTCTTAGGAGTTATACAGTCAGGCTCTTGGTTGGAGGGCTCTGATGTGAAAGCTTGGCTTCAAGTCCACTGAGAAAGTAGTATGATTGAAGTGGTGAACTGGAGATGGGGTGGGGGTGGCCTACCACGAGGACTAATTTGTTCTTTACGTGTTTTTGTTTTTTTATTTTTTTAGACAAAGTCTCACTCTGTCGCCCAGGCTGGAGTGCAGTAGCGCAATCTTGGCTCACTGCAAGCTCCGTCTCCGAGGTTCATGCCATTCTCCTGCCTCAGCCTCCTGAGTAACTAGGACTACAGGCACCTGCCACCACACCTGGCTAATTGTTTGTATTTTTAGTAGAGACGGGGTTTCACACTGTTAGCCAGGATGGTCTCGATCCGCTAACCTCATGATCCACCCGCCTGGCCTCCCAAAGTGCTGGGATTACAGGTGTGAGCCACTGTGCGTGGCCTGTTCTTTATCTAATGGTTTGCAAGGGTGGAAATACCTCTGGGGAAATGTGATGGATTCTCCTAGGAAACTGACTTCACCAAATAATTCTTTTGAAACTGTTCAGAAACGAGACAAATGACATGAATCGATTTACAAAGAGAATTACCTCTGTGTCTGTGACCCAAGAGGCATTCCCATAGTGATACACTTGGACATTTGTTCAGGGGGCAAGCGCTCACGCCGAGTGATTTTCTTTTTTCTTTTCTTTTCTTTTTTTTTTTTTTGTTTGTTTGTTTTTAAGACTGAGTCTCGCTCTGTCGCCCAGGCTGGAGTGCAGTGGTTCGATCTCAGCTCACTGCAAGGTCCCCCTCCCGGGTTCACACCATTCTCCTGCCTCAGCCTCCCCGGTAGCTGGGACTACAGGCGCCCACCACCATGCCCGGCTAATTTTTTGTATTTTTTTTTTTTTTTTTTTTTTTTTTTAGTAGAGACGGGTTTGACCGTGTTAGGCAGGATGGCCTCGATCTCCTGACCTTGTGATTTTCAAAGCTGTTCGAGGGCATTTATCAGGCTTTTAACTCTAGGTACTCTTTCCCACAGTGTGAAGGCCAAGAGAAGGGATCCTGGGCTCTCTTCCCTGGCCCCAGGATGGGAATTCAGGGGGAAAAGGTCACCTATTCTCCTATTCTTATCCCACAAAAGAAAACTTATGCATCAGTTGTCAAGCTAAGGAGCTTCAGAGTCCACAAATAGGGAAATTGCTAAGAGCTTATCAGTAGTGTCCACTACCCATCCCCACCTGGGGTCACGTGGAGAATGATGGTGGGGGCGACGATCTTGTCCTACTTCAGGTGAAAAGCAGGGGTGTGGGGGGGTTTCATTGTGAAGGGCTCCTTTGTTAAAATTCCTTCCAATTCCAGGAAAAACATGCACTCGAAAGCCATTATCTCTTTTACTTCTTACTAGGGAACTTCCAGGAAAGAGACGGGGGGGGGGGTGGGGAAGAAGAGGGCAAAACAGCTGCAGTGAATGTAGTCACCTCTCCGATTGCTTTTCTTGTTGCAGAATATTTCACATGCCAGGATTTTCCTTCTTGTCCTCCGGACTGTTGATACACCCAACATCTTAATACGCTTTCAATCACAAGTTAAAGACATCCAGAGCCAGATTGCTTGAGCCTAGGCGTTCCAGACCGGCCTGGACAACATGGTGAAACCCAGTCATATATATATATATATTTTTTTAGGGGGAAATTTGCTCTTGCTGTCCAGGCTGGAGTGCAGTGGCGAGGTCTCAGCTTGCCAGACCTCCGTCTCCGGGGTTTGGGTGGTTCTCCTGCCAAAGCCTCCCGAGTGGCTGGGATTGCGGTGTGAGCCACCATGCCCGACTAATTCCTTAACTGTGCAACTACAAGGTCACTAAACAAATAAACTCAAGTCACAAAACATATTTTTCCTTAAATAGTAAAAAATAATATAATGCATGTTTCAATTAAATAACAATCTTTGTTTCTCGCTTCTATAATATGCTTCTCCCTGCACAGATCTCCCCCTTCGCCCCACATAATGCTTGAAAGGTAACTCTTGGTTCAGTGCTCAATCCTTTAAATGTTAATCCGACTGGGCCGGTGCACCTAAATAATTAATAAATGTCCTCCTAAACCCCATGAGTCTATCTAATTCCTTAAAAATCCCTCTACAGGACTGCAGGTGTGAGCCACTGCACCCCGCCTAATTTATTAATCAGAGAGGAATAGATCGGCCTGGCGTGGTGGCTCACGCTTGTGATCCAGGGACTTTGGATGATGGAGCACTGGGGATCACTTGAGCCTAGGAGATCCAGACTGGCCTGGGCAACATGGTGGAACTCGGTCTCTCTCTTTTTTTTGTTTTTTTGGAGGCAGAGTTTTGCTCTTGTTGCCCAGGCTGGAGTGCAGTGGTGCAGTCTCGGCTCCCTGCCACCTCCACCTCTTGGGTTTGGGTGGTTCTCCTGCCTCAGCCTCCCTAGTGGCTGAGATTGCAGGTGTGAGCCACCATGCCCGGCTAATTTTTTTTTTTTTGGTACACACAGGGTTTCTCCCTGTTGGTCAGGCTGGTCTCAAACTCAGGACCTCAGGTTATCCACCTGCCTTGGCTTCCGGGGATGCTGGGATTGCAGGCGTGAGCCAGCGCGCAAGGCCCAATTGATTAATCAGAAAAGAATAGATCAGCCTGGCGTGGTGGTTCACGCTTGTGATCCCAGGACGTCGGACGGCCGAGCGCTGGGGATCACTTGAGCCTAGGAGTTCCACACCGGCTTGGGCAACATGGTGAAACCCGGTCTCTCTTTTTTTTGGCGGGGGGGGGGGGGGGGTACAGGCAGGGTTTCTCCATATTCATCAGGCTGGTCTCAAACTCCCGACCTCAGGTTATCTGCCCGCCTCCTCGGCCTCTGGGGATGCTGGGATTGCAGGCGTGAGCCAGCGCGCCCGGTCCAGTTTATTAATCATAAAGGACTAGATCGGCCTGGCATGGTGGCTCACACTTGTGATCCCAGGAATTTGGACGGCAAGCGCGGCGGATCGCTTGAGCCTAGGAGTTCCAGACCTGCCTGGGTAACATGGTGAAACCTGGTCACTTTTTGTTTGTTTTGAGGCGGAGATTCGCTCTTGTTGCCCAGGCTGGAGTGCAGTGGTGAGGTCTTGGCTCAACGGGCCTCCGCCTCCAGGGTTTGGGTGGTTCTCCTGCCACAGCCTCCCGAGTGGCTGGGATTGCACGCGTGAGCCACCATGCCCAGCTCATTTTGTTTTTTGTTTGTTTTTGTTTTTATTGTTTTTATTGTTGGAGATGGGGTTTCTCCATGTTCATAAGGCTGGTCTCAAACTTCCCACTTCAGGTTATCCGCCCGCCTCGGCGTCCGGAGGTGGTGGGATTGCAAGCGTGAGCCAGCGCGCAAGGCCTAATCTATAAATCAGAAAGGAATAGGGCCGGGGATCCCTTGAGCCTAGGAATTCCAGACAGGCCGGGGCAACACGGTGAAACCCGCTCTCTTTTTTTTTTTTTTTTTTTTTTTTTTTTTTTTTTTTTGCGGCAGTTTCACTCTTGTTGCCCGGTTGGAGTGCAGTGGCGCGGTCTCAGCTCCCCGCGGCCTCCGCTTCCGGGATTTGGGTGGTTCTCCTGCCTCAGCTTACCAAGTGGCTGAGATTGCAGGCATGAGCCAACATGCCCGGCTCTTTTTGTATTTTTTTTTTTGGTATAGACGGGGTTTCTCCCTTCGTCAGGGTAGTCTCAAACTCCTGACCTCAGATTACGCGTCTGCTTCGGCCTCCCGGGGTGGTGGGATTGCAGGCGTGAGCCACCATGCCCAGCTTATTTTTTTTTCTTTTTTGGTAGAGACGGGTTTCTCCATGTTGGTCAGGCTGGTCTCAAACTCCCGACCTCAGGTGATCCGCCCGCCTCGGCCTCCCAGGGTGGTGGGGTTGCAGGAGGGAGCCACCGCGCCGGGCGCAATTTATTAATCAGAAAGGAACAGATGGGCCTGGCGTGGCGGCTCATGCTTGTGATCCCAGGACTTCCGATGGCCGAGCGCGGCGGATCCCTTGAGCCTAGGAGTTACACGCCGGCCTGGGCAACATGGTGAAACTCAGTCTCTCTCTCTCTCTCTTTTTTTTTTTTTTGAGAGGGAGTTTCACTCTTGTTGCCCAGGCTGGAGTGCAGTGGCAGGGTCTCAGCTCCCCGCAGCCTCAGCCTCCCGGGTTTGGGTGGTTCTCCTGGCTCAGCCTCCCGAGTGGCTGGGATTGCAAGCGTGAGCCACCATGCCCTGCTAATTTTTTTTTTTTTTTTTTTTTTTTTTTTTTTTGGTAGAGATGGGGTTTCTCCATGTTACTCAGGCTGGCCTCAATCTGACCTCAGGTTATCCGCCCGCCTCAGCCTCCCGGGGTGCTGGGATCGCAGGCGTGAACCACCGCAACCGGCCCAATTTTTAATCAGACAGGAATAGATCGGCCTGGCGTCATGGCTCATGCTTGTGATCCTAGGATTTTGGACGGCTGAGTGTGGCAAATCGCTTGAGCCTAGGAGATCCAGACCCGCTTGGGCAACATGGTGAAACCTGTTTTTTTTTTTTGAGACGGAGTTTCCCTCTTGTTGCCCAGGCTGGAGTGCAGTGGCGCGGTCTCGGCTCGCCGGGCCTCCGCCTCCCGGGTTTGGGTGATTCTCCTGCTTCAGCCTCCTGAGTGGCTGGGATCAAGGGCGTGAGCCACCAAGCCTGGCTACTTTTATTTATTTATTTATTTATTTATTTATTTATTTATTTATTTAGGTTGAGATGGGGTTTCTCCATGTTGGTCGGGCTGGTCTCCTGCTCCTCACCTGGGGAGATCCGCCGGCCTCGGCCTCCAGGGGTGGTGCGATTGCAGGCGTGAGTCACTGTGCCTGGCCGGAAACCCAGTCCCTTAACGGAAAAACAAAACAAAAACCACAAAGATTAGCCAGACCTGGTGGGCCCCCCTGGGTAGTCCCAGCTACTCTGAAGGCTGATGCAGGAGGATTGCTTGAGCCCGGGGTGGAGGTGGCAGTGAGCCATGATGGCGCTGCTGCAGTCCAGACTGGGTGACAGAGCAGGACTGTGTCTCAGGAAAAGGGAAAGGAAAAAAAGAATAATAAAAAGAAGTATATAAAATTGCTAAATCCAGGAACAGCTTCACAGTATATTGAGAGAAATAGAGGCAAAGGTTAGCAGACACCAATGTTCACTTAGTGGAACTGCAGGTGTCCCCAGACAGGAGGCTGCTACTTTTCCAACAGAAATCTATTATTGACCAAAAAAAGTTAGTTTGTTACAATATACAAATAGCTAAACTTTATATAGCCACGACCCTCTTCTAGCACTGCTCTAAGCCTTTTCCTGCTCTGGAATAGCTACTATTGTTACCTCCATTGTAGAGAAAACAGATGGGGGAGGTTGTTGTGGAAGGACCAGGGAAACTGACTATGAAATTGACTTGTAAGTTTAGGACTTAAAGGTTCTTCCTGCTTTGCTCCTTACATTGCCACATTTTAGTTAACATACCTCTTAAAATACTGGTCCTTTCTGTATTTGGAGGGACTCCTCTTGCAGTTTGAAGTTTTTTCTTACACTAAGCATCTGGTTAGAAGATCATCTCCATTTTATGTCAGTTTAAGTTTAGACATTGTTCAGTAAGGAATGTAAATATGAGCAAACAGTTATCTGATTGAAATAGATAAACTAGAAAAAAAATCACCTATGAGAAAGTCAACAAAATGTCAACTCTGGATTTGTGGCTATTTTCAGAATATTAATTTTTTGATATTTAATGGCATTGTGAATATATTTATTTTTAAGAATTCCTTGTCTTCTACAGATACATATAAGGTAATTAAAAATGATAGGATGTATAGGTTTTACTTCAAAATAATTCAGAGGAAGAAGGAATGTATATAAATGAAGTGGGAATATAAATGAAACAAAACTGGCTGTGGCCAGGTGTGGTGGCTCACGCCTGTAGTCTCAGCACTTTGGGAGACCGAGGCAGGTGGATCACCTGAGGTCAGGAGTTCAAGACCAGCCTGGCCAACGTGGTGAAACACCATCTCTACTAAAAATACAACAATTAGCCGGATGTGGTGCCGGGTGCCTGTAATCCCAGCTACTCGGGAAGCTGAGGCAGGAGAATCGCTTGAACCTGGGAGGTGGAAGTTGCAGTGAGCCAAGATCATGCCACTGCACTCCAGCCTGGGCAACCACAGCAAAATCCCACCTTTAAAAACAAACAAACAAACAAAAAACAACCAAAAAAAAAAACTGTCCATACCATGAATGAAAAATTGTTGATGATGTGTATATGTAGGGCAATTATATCATTTATTATATATAATATATATATTATTTTTCTCAACTTTTTTTTACATCTGAAACTTTCTATTGAACACATGGACATGTCCCTTGATAACTGGGGCTGCTTCCCCATTATTCTCTCAGCAGCCCTTCTGATTTTCACTCCATCTTCATTCTTAGAGATTCTGGATTTTATTTTTTTTTTTTTTGGGAAGTTCAAGTATGTCTTTGCAAGGATTATCGAGCATGTCTACCTACTCAATCATATTATCAGAAACAGAAAAAGTGTCCAGATTCTTGTCTTGTCCTGTTCAGATTTTTTAAATTCCAAGAACAGTCACCTTCTACCAGACACTCTGATGTTGGAAGACAAAGCATATTTGGTAAGTGGCGTGATTTCTGGGCTCCGATTTAGAACAGTCACAGCTTTCAACAATCCAAAAATAGCTGACTGTGACTCACCATATTTAGAAAGATGGAGATTATTAAAAAAAGAAAACCTTAATTTATCATGTGACCTCTAAGTATCTCGGCTGAAAATTGTAAAGATAGAAAGGTAAATCAAAAGATACAGAGACTGTAATCATGCACTTAATAAAGCGCTAAATCAAAATATATTTGGCATATGTGAAAGAGTTTAATTTTATCCCATTTTCTACTGGCACTATAGGTATTTGTAAGTACATATAAAACTACAGTGTTACATATAAACTACCAAAAAAGAACTTAAGAAACGAGACTAATCTAGCAACTTTATTTAAAAGTTTATCTTAAGGGAATAATTAAGGATGTCCATACAAAAGGATTTAGCCATGACACGAGAATGTTCTTCCTGGCAAATCAATGGAAATTATTAAATGTGCAAAAGGGAACTGTTGGAATAAATTCTAATGCCTTCATATGATCGTATGTCGTAACCTTTTAAAATGATATTAAAGAGTTGCATACATTGACTTAAACAGATATTCATAACACATCACTGAATAGGAGAAATACGGGCCAGCAAAGAACATAGAGTTGGTCCAATTTCTACAAAAAAAAGAAGACTAATAGCATGACGGCAGGGAAGGGGGAATATGTCAATGTATGTGTGTATATATATGTATGCATAGCAAGTATGAACTTGAAAGGATATATATCAAATTGTTTACACAGATTACCTCAGAGAGGTAAATAACTGGCCTTTGGTGTTCTGTGTTCCATAGATTCTGAATTTTCTTTTTTTATTTAAATAGAGATGGGATCTTAGCCAGGAGCAGTGGCTCACACCTGTAATCCCAGCACTTTGGGAGGCTGAGGAGGGCGGATTGCTTAAGGCCAGGAGTTGAAGACCAATCTGGCCAACATGGCAAAACTCTGTCTCTACTAAAAATCCAAAAATTAGCCAGGCGCAGTGGCTTATGCCTATAACCCCAGGTACTCGGGAGGCTGAGGCATAAGAATTGCTTGAACCAGGAGGCGGAGGTTGCAGTGAGCAGAGATTGCACCACTGCACTCCAGCTTAGGCAACAGACCGAGACTCTGTCAAAAAATAAAAACAAAACAAAACACCACCACCAACAACAAAACAGTAATAAAGAGAAAATCTTATGGACAGGAGCAATGTCTCATGCCTGTAACCCCAGTGCTTTGGGAGGCCAAGATGGGAGAATCGCTTGAGCCCAGGAGTTCAAGACCAGCATGGGCAACATAGCAAGACCTTTTCTCTACAAAAAATTTAAAAATTAGCCAGGCATAGTAGTGCATGCTTATACTCCCAGCTACCTGGGAGGCTGAGGTGGGAGGATCACTTGAGCATGAGAGTTGGAGGTTGCAGTGAACTGTGATCACACCACTGGGAAGCCATGACCCCATCCCTGCCTTCTTCCTCTGTCCTATGCTAGCAATAAGTAAGTTTCCCAGCCACAAATAATTATTAGAACCTCCTCCCCATGTGCCACCTCCAACCACCGCTAGGTATGATACAGGGGTGGCCCTACCCTCTGGAATATACAAAACCTTACACAGACACAATATATACACCGGGGAAGGGGGGCCACCCCAGCAGCCCATGCCTTCGCCTGGTCCACAGTTAGCCCCACTGTCCTGCCTCAGCTACCTCTCTGAATAAGAAGATTGGAGCCCCCACTGAGGGAAAAGTTGCTATGGTGAGAGTAAGGAGGCCATGAGGCCTCCTCCAAACAAACCAACTCCACCAGCCTCTGGCTCTTAAATAACAATATCTTCCAGAAATTTAAGGACTCAGCTCTGGTCAAGGTGGCAAAGGGTCTGTTTGTCTTTCCTCGTTAGACAGAGGTCTTGTCCTGCTACCCTAATTGTAAAGGGGTGACTGGGAAGGGGAGATAGGGACAGTGTGGTGGTGGAGACCCCAGCCCCACTTCTCCAGGCTTTGCTGACAGGGGCCTGCTTTTAATTTTAATTTTTATTTTTATCCCATGCCTTTTTTTTTAAATCCCATAACTTCTTTTTCATAACTTTTTTTGGTAACTTTTCATAAAACTTTCTTCTACTTTTTGGTCACAAGATTTTTTTGCCACAACTTTTTTACATTTTTTATCCCATAACTTTTTCACCCCATAACTTTTGTTAATCCCATAACTTTTTTATTTTGTGTTCTTTTAATAAACCCTTGCATAGTTATATTACAATTTTGTAAAAATGAAACATTATCTCATGCCAAGCATGCTCAGCATTTGCACAGTATCAATACCTTTAATACTATATTTTTGAAGACACACAGAATAAAATTTTAAGGCAAAAACAGCACTTTGCAACAACTTAATAATTTATTACATTACAGTAGCATCACACCAGCAGTCAATAATGCCACTTTAGGCAAAAGTCTTTCAGTATTTCCGTTTTACATTCCGCTTACAAGAATTCATAAATTGGTAAAATTCATTCTAAGAAAACTTGGCAAATAAAGCTTTGGACTGGAATTGGCATTTCTTTCTCTACTTTTCCTTCCCACCGTTTATTTCCTTTACAGTATTCATATTTTAAAATGTTTTAACTTATTTCAGAACATTAAGATAGCAGTTACATTGTTTAATAGTTATTTTAAAATGACTGTTTCAGATAAAGTTTTAGAGAAACTATAGTATGGATAGGGCTGATTTACATTTTCAAATTTTCTAAAAATCAGCTTTGGTTTTAGAGCTGATTTTTGTTCATTTCTGGAAAACCTATCAGATTTAATCCAATACTTTAAAAATGATTATTATATATTGCAATCTTTAAATCGGTGATTTGATTCTTCCTACAGAAATTCAAATTTATTGAATTGAACTCACATTTTAGAATTCTGTTTCTGATGAACTCTAACCTTCCAATGTTGCCCTCTAAGCAAATTGAAAGCTGCCTTATACCGAATGAGGAAGAATACCAATACTTGGCTGAATGAGGTATCGCAAAAGACTGCATGCACTTTGAAGAAAGACTTAAGTTATAGTCATGCGATTTCCATTCTTTTTAGCTTTTTCTTAAATATACGACAAATATCTACACAAAGAGTGGTATTTCCGTTAATACAGTCAATTTATTTTCCAGATTGACATTCAGCTTAAATATGCCAGTATGTGATTTAATCCACAGGCACCTGATGAACACATTATTGTCAGATTGGTTACAGATGCTCGTAGTTGTCTTTAAACTGAACTCAAAGAATGCAAAAACATCAAGTTCAGAAAATAAAAGGCAAGGACAGGACTTTAAGTGCATTTTAAAGCCACGGGCGAGAAATCGTACCACTGTTAACTAGCCGCATTATTTGGTCTAACATTTTTTCTTTATCATTCTGAAACTGGGTTTATCTAATACATTGATACATTCATACAATTTGGAAGAGTCCGTTGAAGTCACAAGGACCCGATGTTTGCACTCTTTCAGTGATTGCCGGCAAATCTGTTATTCCATCGGCAAAATCGTACTGCTGCTCTCCTGTTAATGTCGTATTTATAAAAGTATCATGAGGATGCCAAATGCTAAAAATGGAGATGGTCTAGTAACTAGAAATCCCCACCCCAGGGAGCACACATACATATCTCCCTACATCCTAATAATGTGATGTGTTTTGGAACACAGACATTAGAACTTCATGAAGTTTTAACTGTTGAGTCTTTCCCAAGCATCATCAAGTTATGATTTAGGCAATGTACAACTGAAATTCATTCATTCATCATGCATAGGCACAATCACATAAATACTGCACAAAATATGCCCGTAAGTGAAACCCAGAGGTACAGAAACACATTTCACTCTTCACAAAGAAGTTTGTGAGGAAATATAACTCTGTGATTGTATAGACATGTTTCCTGATAATACACTGACATTCACCAACAGTAGATTGCACTGCAGTTTGTACACATTTTAAGTTGCATAAACTTCTCCTTGATTTTCAAAGATAGTATAATACTGTCTACTAAAACTCCTTTTTGTTTCAACTAAGCACTCTCACATATATTAGTTTATAACAATGTTTATTATTATTTCAAAGTGTTTTCCATTCAAGGAAAAGAAGTCAATTCCTATGTCAAAGTAACCAAGGTGGTTGAAGAATAGGCAGAGTGGTCTAGATGGTAAAATCAATCTTCAAGCCTCAAAGAAGCTCCATGAACAGAGGAATGCCAGGTGTCACACAGCTTTCCTTCACTCTAATTCATTCTTGACTAGAGCTTGTATGCCTGTTCCAGGGACATTTGAACTCTTAAAGGATTTCTTATGATCTTTACTAAATACATTAAGAAGAATGCCAACCAGTGCCCTTTTGTGTACTGGGACATGCAGTCATGTGATTAAAACAGGTAACATGAACTCTGACTTTAAAATATAGATACAAATGCTCTAAGCTAGGAAAGGTTTTCCACATCCGTAGTCAATGATGGGAACCTTTCATTCCTCAGAAATAAGCCCTTTTTAGGTCATCAAAAAAGAGTACAACTGCTGAAGCTCATGATGCAATATCTTCATGAGCCCAGAGCACATACAAATCCTAAAGGAACTACAATAGTACAGCACTAATTCTTGGCAACAGAACAAATGAAACACACTCTATCTTGCACATACCTGCCAGAGCAGGCAACTTTCCTCTTCTGTGAAATTTAAAAAGCTCCCCCAAAATGTTATTACTCCCATCACCAATACACAGAAAATGAGGGAAAGGCTGTTTCCAGTTCTCGGCCTTTAAACAACTCTAAATGTCAGTACTCTTGGTGGCATATTACAAAGTATTAAATAGTGCACACTTGGGGCAAACCACATATTGTGCTAATGAAGAGCTCACTGTGATTAAGATTAGATCAAACAACAGCAGAACATAGGCACATTTTATCTGAATTCTGTAATGAATATACATGCTGCAATAACATTAAAAACACATGGCAGCCTATTCCAAACCAGCAAGAATAGTTTTGTGCAAATAGTGGGTCTTTGTGTGTTTGAACTCCCACCACGTAAGGGCAAACTCAATATGCATGCTAATGACCTACAATTATGAAATTGAAAAAGAAAATTGCGAAAGTATGCCAGAGTGAACATCAGTGAAAGCCACAGAGACCCACTCTCTTTTAACTATTTACAAATGAACTTAAACTATAAATTAGAAACACAAATAATCATAAGTGGCTATAACATTCAAATGAAGTAAATGAATTGTGTAGGAGATTAACCCCATAACTTTGTTTCTTTTTTAAAAATTTCTTCAGCAGCTCTTTGACGATGGTGATGTTTATCTCCTTCTTCTTGGCAGCCAAGCCCAGCAAAAGAATGGCACACAGCAGTTGCTGCCCAAGCCTGGGTGCTCCTGGTGGTCCTGCACGATCGGCTGTGCAGTAGGGTTGTCGTGGGGAGAACCCTCCCTGGCCTCTCCTTGCACAGGCTCCACGCTGTCAGTGAGGCTCACCTCACAAAGATCTTTGGAGAGAGGGAGGCGGGGATCTGAGCTCAGTGAGAGCCCCCCTGCTCCTGCCTGCCCACCCCGCCTGAGGGCTCTACTCACCACCATGCTTGTGGGCAGCCCCAAGCTCCTGGGGGGCTGGGGCTCCTGGACTGGGCTCATGAGCAGGGTTCTGGGCAGTCACCAAGAATTTGCTGTGTCCCTTGTAGTCGCCACCAGCTGCAACACCATCTCCTGCAGCTCCAGCAGCTTCACCTGGAGGGAGGGGTGCTCAGCTGTCACGCTGCTGCCAGCGCTCACCGTCACAGCCACCCCCACCCCCGCAGAGATGTTGCACACTCTACCTTCATCTCCTCCCTGTCCAGGGCCAGCCTGATGGTGTCCTCCTCCCGGTGCTGCATCTTTGGCACTGCCCCCTGGCTTTGTTATAGGGTGATAAACTTTCCTGCGGGAGGACAGGGCTCAGACGCTGGGGCCCCTCCAACAGCCCTGCAGCTCCCCCTGCCATGCCCTGGCCTCCCACTCACTGATGGCATCTCTCTCTGTAGTACTGGAAGAATCCAAGTTCTTCTTTCTCCACCAGCTCACTCAGGTCTGCCTTCTCCTCCAGGTGGTCCATAAAGCCGCTCTGGAGCCAAAATAATGGGGTCACATCTCGCCAGCGACCTGCCCTCAGGTGGCATTTTCAAGTCATGGAGAAGGCGGAGGTGAGTTCCGGCATGGGCCAGCTTCTCCGTGACTTCCTGCAGGGCCCGGTGGGTCTCCCCACTCACAGACTCGCCCCCAGGCCCTGGGGCTCCAGGGCCTCTGGCTGCCTCTGGCTCCTTCTGGGCCGAGGCCACCGGGTGAGCCAGGCGCTGGCAGCACACCCTCTGCTCTTTCACCTGCTCTTGTAACTGTGCCTGCTTCTCCTGGGCACTAGCTCCAGCGGACTTGAAAAATGCCACCTGAGGGCAAGATGTGAGCATTCTTGCAGGGGCATACACAGAACAAATGGGGCAGAGAGGTGGAGCGCAGCCCCTTCCCTTGGGGCCCCAGAGACTGCACATGTTGGTCACAGGTGAAATGGTGTCTGACCACTGGCTCCCAGAAGGGGTGAGGGTCCAGAGAAATCAGAAGGCAGGGAAACGAAGAGCATAAAGGGGTCTTGGAGGGACCACAGAGGAAGGAGGCAAAATGGGTTCAGGTGGAGTCAGGCTCACCATGGCCTCCCTGCTCTCCAGGTCCTGTGGGATGCTAGGAATGGGCCGAGGTGCCTCCTCCCCCTCACTGTCCAGATGTCCTCCTCCATCTCCTGGGGGTGGGGGTGGTGGCCAGAGGGGTCCTCAGACAACTCAACAAGGGAAGTATTGTGGGCCCACCTCTGCCTCCACCCTCATTGTGTAACCCTGAGCCAGGCCCTCCCCAGAGAGGAATGAGCTGCTGTTATTTATTTTTACTTTGAAGAACCAAGATCTTGCTATACTGCCCAGGCACATTCCCACTACTGGTCGGTGCGGGAGTTCTGACCTGCTCCCTTTCTGACCTCGGCCAGTTCAGCCATCCTTAGGCAACTTGGTGGCCCCCCGCTCACAGGAGGTCACCATATTGATGCTGAACTTAGTGCAGGCACCCGGTTAGTATAATGACCAGCTGTTCTAAAGGTCTCTTCCAACTCCTCAATCCTATGCTGCTAGCAGTCCCCCCTTCCTCCTGGGGCTCTCTCCTCTTCCTCTGAGCGGTCTCCCGTACCTTCCCCAGGGAGAGCCATGAGGCTCAACTGGGCCGTTAGCTGCTGTTTCTGCTGGCTCGCAGCTTCCAGACGCTCCTAAGGGGCCAGGAAAGAGTGAGAAGGCACAGAGTTTGCCAGGTCGTCCCCCTCACAGCCCCATCCTCGGCAGCTCCCTCCCCTGGGTCTCCTGCAACTTTTGGCAGGCCATCTCGGCCACCGCTTTGCCCCAAGCTTCCTGCTGCTGCAACTGGTTCATTAGCTGGGTCTGCTGCAGTCACTGCCTGTACAGCGCCTCCTTCTCACAGGTCAGCTGCTGATAGGCGGCCACCTGCTGCTGATAGGTGGCCACGTACTGCTGCAGGTGACCCAGGTAATGGTCTGGCTGCTGCTGCAGACTCTGAGCCTCTTGGCTCTTCAGCTCCACCTGCAGGAAGACCCTGGGTGTGAGGGCACGTGGTGGCTGGTTTGCAGATTCTGGGCCCATTAATAGGGTAGCGAGGGCACTGTGGGGCTCTGTCGCCTGCCCAGGCCCCTGGCCCCTTACTTCAGGCCTAAGTGACTGCCTTGCTTTCCTAGAACCCCATGCCTCCTTCCCCAGCCTCAAATCTCATGTCCTCTTCCCACCATTTCAACTGTAGGCCACAGAATGGTAGAAAAGTATGGGAGCCAACCACCATCTGCTAAATGTGCTACAGGCCTAATGCTTCCCATGTATTATCTCATTTAATCCTCAGCACCTCTGTAAGGAAAATGCTAACTTCCTTTTGAAGTTAAAGAAACAGAGACTTAGAGATGCGAAGTACTTGAATGGTGACCAGTGGAACTGAGGCTGGAATCCAGTTTTAATCTAAGGAGTCTTTTTGTTTTGTTTTGAGACAGAGTGTCACTCTGTGGCCCAGGCAGGAGTGCAGTGGTGCAATCTCAGCTCACTGCAACCTCCACCTCCTGGGCTCAAGCAATTCTCGTGCCTCAGCCTCCTGAGTAGGTGGGATTACAGGCATGCGCCACCACCATGCCCCACTAATTTTTCTTTCTTTTTTTGTTTTTTGTTTTTGTAATTTTAGTAGAGATGAGGTTTTACCATGTTGGCCAGGCTGATCTCAAACTCCAAACCTCAAGTGATTCTCCTGCCTCAGCCTCCCAAAGTGTTGGCACTATAGGCGTAAGCCACCGCATCTGGCATAAGAAGACTGTTATACCACTCTGTCTCTTCCCCTGTGATTGGGGGGGCTCCATGTCTCTAGCTGGAATGATGATGTCCAGACCTGGGAGGAGCCCAGGGCTACCCACCTCTAAAATCAGAGGGCAGGAAGCAAGAAACAGCCACAGGACTGCCCTGGAGGGTGCTGGGGTCACCTGCCCCCGGGCTGGAGCTACCGCTGGACTGGCACCTCCCCTCCCCAGAGGCTGGTGCCCACCCACCTCCCAGACCTTCTTGGATGGGGTGGAGGTTACCGTCTCCTTCACCTTGCCTAGCTTCTCCTGCAGCTCCTTTACTTGCTGCTCCAACTGTAGTACGCTCTTGTTCTCATTGTTCTGGACAGAGAGAAGCAATCAGCAGCCACCCACTGCAGCTGGAGACCCCAGAACTTGGTGACTGCCTCCCATGGCACCGGGAAGGGTGGAGGCAGGTTAGAAAAATCATCCCCTGTCTCCCACAGCCACCAGAGCAGGGCTCTGGCTCACAGGTGCCTTTAGGAGTAACATTTCACTTGAGGGCTACACTGCCCCATTTTATAGGTGGGGAAACAAAGGCCTGGAGGGCTAGGGAGGAGGGCAGGCTCCCCAGCTGGGGCAACGCACCAGCTCCTTGAAGCTGTTCTGTGGCTCGGCCAGCTGCTGAAGCCTCTCCTCCTGCTCTGGAAGCCTCTCCTGCTGCTCCTGAAGCCTCTCCTCCTGCTCCCGAAGCCTCTCCTTTTGCCCCTCATTCAGGAGACTTATGCGCTGATTGTACTCCACCTGGGCCTGGAGCTCTCCTGCCACTCTCTCTAGTTCCTTCCTCAGGTGCTGCAGCTCCACCTCAGAGGGCACTGCTGGGGGCTCCGGGGGCAGAGGTTCAGCTGAGAAAGGAAGCAGACAATAAGAGCCTCTGGATTCCAAAAAAAAAAAAAAAAAAAGAAAAGAAAAGAAAAAACCCTCCTCTTGGCGCACAGCTCCTCTCCGGCTCCTCAAACTTAGCCTCACTGCTAATGATTCCTCGCACCCAGATGGTAGCCAGTCTTCCAAAGCACTTTCAGAGAAAGAGCACTGCGGGTGGCTGACAACGGGCCCTCTTTGCTGATGGGGACACTGAGGCTCATTGAGATGACAAGACTTGCCGTCTCCTGGCACAGACCTCTTTCCCTCTGCCTCAAAGCCCTTCCATCCACCCACCTCGCTGGGGCACTCCAAGCCACCCTCACAGCCCTCTGATGCCAGTCCTGCTGCCAGGTCACGCCAGCCCCATCTTACCCATCTGGTGTTTGAGTTTGGACAAGCTCCTCTCCAGCTTCTCTACCCGATATTTATCATGCTTCTTCTCCTTCTTCAACGAGCAAACCTGCCCAAAGCACAGGGGGAAAGGGCCCTGGAGAGAGGGGCTGGAGGCTGGACATGCTACCATCTCCCTCTCTGCCCCCACCTCCACAAAGCCCAGTCCCAGGACCACCTCTGGCTCTACTATTCCCATTTTACAGGTGCCCAGAAAGATCCAGTGACCTATCTAATGTGGGGGGGCTGAAGGGTCAGATCTCACCTCCTGCGACATTTTTCTCATCCTCTGCTGCCACCGGGCCCTCTCTCCTTTTAGATGTTCAGCATATTCATCCCTCTCTAGCTGGACTTCTTTAAGTGACTCCTTCAACTGCAAGAATGGGCACAGAAATTAGGAAGGGCTGTCACTGGTCCTCACCTGCTCCTGGTTACCTGGGGTCATCTTTCTTCCACATCCCTCCTTCTGAACACCTCACCTGTGTCAGCTGCGCTTTCAGCAGTGCCTGCTCCCGCATGGACTGCTCTAACTTCCACTCCATACGTGCTTTACTGCGGCTGGAGAACTGCTGAAGAGTGAGAAGTTTCAATCTGGTGAGGCCGGGCCATTCCACACAGTGCCCCTTAAAAGGGCCAGGGCTAGGCCCAATATACAACTCGGTCAGTAAAGATCAAGGCATTTCCAAGCCCGTGGTTTGGTTTTTAAAGAACTCAGTAAAGTTGGAAGGGACAGGGAAAGAGATCGAATTTATAGCTGGCTAACAGAGGCCCAGAGAGATCAGATAATATTGCTATTGTTATTACTGTTATTATTACCACTGTTTGAACTTTTATGGAGTGCTTCACCAGATACCATGCTAGCAATCCCATTTAATCCTCGCAACCACCATGGGAGACAGTTACTATGATGACCTCTATTGTGTAGATGAAAAAACATGGAGTATTTGAGGTTAAGTGCTTGCCTAAGATCACTTAGGCAGAGCTGGGATTTAAACACCCAGATCTATCCAATTCTCTAAGCCCATTTTTCTTGCTGGGGGTGGGGGCACAGCTAGGAAGGGGAAAATTAATCTTTTGTTCACTTTTTGAAAGGATAATACATTCACATAGTCCCAAACTCAGAAGGTACAGAAGGGAAGTATCTCCCAGCCACCCTGTTGCTCTCTCCTGAGTTTTTATGAACACTTGCAAACATATTTTATGTATATTATCATAATATGTACACACACACACACGTTTCCTCTCTCTACAGAAATGGTAACATACTAAAGGTACTCTTCTGTACCTTCACAGTACAAGTACCCAATACCCACTGAGGACTTGGCCAAGACCACAGCCAGGTAAAGGCATGGCAGGCACTTGGCCTCCAAGCTCTACGTCCTGTGCTCTCTCCCCAGAGTGCCCCCCAACTCACCCACAGCAGCTGACTCAGTCCCAAGCTGCCGCTAACAACCATACAAAAAAGCAGTGAGAAATGGCCATGCTGCCTTCTGGGCAGGACACTCCATCCTGCAGAAGGGACCTTTAGGCTCACTCCTCTGTCTGCGAAGCCAGGCTCCCAGGGGACGGGGCAGGTGGTTGGACTCACCCTCTCCGCCTTCTTCTTCTGTGTGGCGGTGACAGCAGAGAGAGCCCGCTCTAACTCTCCTTTACGCTGCAATGAATGTTGCAGACGGACGGCCAGATCCTTGGACTCTTCTGTAATGAGAGAGTTGAGATGGGGCCCAAAGGACTCCCCCTGAAGACCTGTCAAAGTGCCAGGTTGAAGGATGACAGGGTACCCAGATTCCCACCTTCAAAGTATCTGAGAGAACGTTTCGTGTGGTACAGGTCCGTATTTAGTTTCCCTTTCTGTATGTTCAATCTCTGGATTTGAACCTTTGGGAGAAAAGCCAAGCAAGTGCTGAAAGAGAAGGAAAGAAACATTCTCCGGAGGACAGGAGAAAACTGCACACCGTCCACTCACCTCTAGCTCCCTTTCGGCTTTCTGTTTCTCGTTGTTTGCTTTCTTTTCCTGTAGGAAGAGGAAGACAGAGATCTAACCAGGCAGAGGCAGAGATGGTACTGCAAGAGACATGTCCCCAGAATGCCACCACTGCCCCTGCCCCGGGACAGGCCCACCCATGGGACCGGGTTATCAGGGACCCTGTGGGGGATGGGGTGGACTCTGGGGGGTGAGCCTTCTTCCCCAGGCTGGGAGTGGGTGAGACGAGACTCGGGGCCTCTACATCTGAGTGTCCCCCAAACCGAGCAGTCATGTCGCGAGCAAACAAAGAAATCATGTTACTTCTTCCAGCTGATGTTCCACTTGTTTATTCTGTTGTTTCTGTGGGGAGAGTCACATTAAGGTGATGGAGGGTGGCCCCCTCAACTCTATTCCCCAGAGCAGGAAGTGGTAGGCAGGGGCCAGGAATGGATTTTAAAGGCAAAGTTCTCAGACCCAGTGGGAACTCGAACTGGTAAACTCTCCTCAAGCTCCCAAGGACAGAGGATTTGGGTCTTTGTTGGCTTTTGTCCACAGCCACAGAACTCAAGGTCTGAATCTGGAATCTCTTGACAGGACAGTAACATAAACCTCTAGAGATGGAGTTTGAGAAAGGCCCCCCCTTCTGCCAGCTTGTGATTTAGAAAAGTGCATTCATTCAATAAACATTTACTGAGCACGTACGGGCCAAGTACGGTTCTTCACAGAAGATTTAGGGCGGAAAAGGACAGACAGGAGCCTTTGGCCCTGAGGTTTCCATTCTAGGAGGCCTTTAAATCTCAGACTCGAGAGCTAACAGAGACCTTTGATACTCACTACTTCCTCTGGAAACATGAGCCCAAAAAGGAGAGGTGGCTTGTCCAGAATCAAAGAGCAAATTAGGGACTGAGTCATGGCAGAAATACGGGGCCCCTGACAACTAGTCAGGCTAGCACTTCCCCAAGAGGCAACAATCCCAGGGCGTGTGTAGCAAGGACTCGAGCAGGGGCGTCTGGAGAGGGGAGAGTCAGCAAACAGGGCAGCAAAAAAAGAGCCATGCTGCATGCTCCGGGGTCCCTCCAGGTGAGGCCTGGGCGCCCCAGCTCCCTATTCGCCCTTGGCACCAGGGGCCGCCGTCCCCTTTCTTCAGGGCCCCAAGGGGAAACTAGAGCCCAGGATTGGCAGCGTGGAATCAGGGGACCCCAGTGGACTCTTACCAAAGATTTGATGGTGTTCTTCAGTTGACTGACTTTTACGGACCTCGAGTCTGGGACTACTGCTAGTTCTTGGCACGGGCTCTGAGGCGCATGCAGAGAGGAGGAGGTGGAGGAGGAGTGGGGGGAGAGGTAGAGAGAGCAATCATTAGGGCTGGGGTGTGTGTGGACTGTCTCAGCTGGCAGAGGGGCACCCCGTCCCACCTGGAGGAGGAGGTTGGAGGGCTGGCCTGCAGGGTCACTGCACCTCTGCCCAGAGCCTCTTACCTCCAGATCCTTCAGGGTAGCAGATGATGTAGGGCTCTCCCCGTGGATACCTGTTGCTGACTACAAGAGATGAGAGTGCACATGAAGATGTTCTGTCCCACTCAGTATCTAAGCCCTCTGACTTCTTTTCTTCCCCATCAACTGGCACAATTTTCTTTTCTGCCTATCTTGGACCCTTTGTCCCATAACTCCTTTGTGCCAACTTCTCTCATGGTTCTTATCTCCCCACCACAGCACCCTGTGGCCCTTTCAGTGACTCCTGTGCCAAGTGACTGTTCTCATTGTCCTGGCTTCCCCTTGAGACTGGGGATGAGGAAAATCGAACAGCAATGACCATATCCTGGGTGTTCTGGGTGTTTACAGCAGGCCATGTACTAGGGATTAACATAAAAACAACAATAACAAATCTCATTTAAACTTCACAAATGGAAGTGAAACAATACCACCTCTATTATACAGATGTGAAAAGAGAGGCCCGATGAGGTCTAGCAACTTGCCCTAATTCATATCCCTAGCAGACAAAGAGGCAGGATTCAAACCCAGAATTCTTCACAGGTACCCAACAGTCCATCCACAATCTTAACAATTACCCTCTAGTGCCCCTTGGGTCCCCTGTCCCCAGGAACCTAGTCAGCCAAGACTCACATCTCCAGGTGAGTGGCAACCACCAGAAGTGGCTGTCTCATGGATGCTGCCATTTGTTTTCCTGTTCCTCTTGGCTCCTGCTGGAACACCAGGGCTGTTTCTCTGCCAATATTCTTTTAACTGTCAGAAACAAGAGCAGTAATACTCATGAGAACTATCAGCCCCTGCAGCCACATCCTCCTTTACAGTTTTTATAAAATACTCTTATACACCATCTGATTTAATGATACCAACAACTGTACAAGGTGTTGTCACAATCATTTAGTGACTCAAAGAGATTGATATCATGGCTAGAAAAAAAAAGAAGAAAAGAAAAAGGCGACAGACGAACTTTGAAACTCAGTCTTCTGACTCCAAACTCTGGGGTTTTACCAAGAATCAGCAGCTGCCAGGGACCAAAACCAGAGGCAGAGGTAGAAAAGTAAACATTAAGTAGGCAGGAACTGTATGCCATGTGGTTTAGTCATACATCCTCACACGTCTGTTAGTGTGAAGAAGTGCACCAGTACCTCTCAAACTCTTATATCAATGTGTCCTCATGGCAGAAGGCAGCCTTTCTGTTAAATCTGGGAATTTATCAGAAAGAGGACAACCCAAGCCTCATTTCAGAGAGAAGTCTGGTATACTCTTAGAAACCTATGTGACTGTCATCCCTAAGTACATTAATGTTTTTTCTCTTGATCTCAAGAGAATCAATGGAAACTGATGCTTCAGAAAGATGTCCCATATGTATCCTGTGGCACTCAAAGTACCCCAGGTTTACATAATATGAGGAAGATTCAAGCTGTCAAGTTCAGTTTCCCAAGATCTATTCCAGAGAAGATGAGCAAATCTCACTTCACAGACCACTGGCTGAAGGGCAGTCTGGTCCCAGAACCATGGAGAATTAGAATGTGAGGTGGAGAACTCACAAAAAATTTGTTAAAATCTCTCTGGAAAGTAGAAGCCTGGGAGAAAACCAAACCAAGTCAAACCCATTCTCCAGTTGCCATCCAGAGGTACTGTCAATGTTTTGAGCTCACAGGGGAAGTGTAGGCTTTTCCCGCTGTCAATGTTTATGCTAAGGGAGTGAGGCAGCCTGAAACCTCTTGCTCCTAGGTCCCAATCTCCATTCCCCTTCCAGCTGGAAATTTGTGCTGTGACAAGAGGAACCAGAAATGGGGTGGCAATGCTTAGGGGACTGGGTCATAAGATCAAAGGCCAGTCTTGCAGTAATGACAGTTACTGGATGGACCGTGACATCACTACATTCCACTCTTCCTGGTGAGGGGGAGGGACCACATCAGCATGATGTCCGAGTCACCGCTCCATGATAGGGGAGGGAAAAACAGAGCTGGGACCCAGGTCCTTGGAGACACCAGTGCACACAGCCTAGGGAGGTCCACCTTGAGGCAGCAGGAGGGAAGGGAAGAGTCAGCAGCAGGGAGCCCCAGGATTCACCAGCCTAAAGTCACCCAGGGATGACTGGTGAGGGTGGGGTCTGGGGCTGTGGGACCCAGGTCCTTGGAGATGTGAGCCCAAAAAGCCCTGGGAGGTCAAGCTTGGGGTGGCAGGAGATGAGGGCCCAGTAAAGGAGCGGGGAGCCCCAGGATTCACCTGCCCAAAGTCACCCTGGGGTGATTGGTGAGGGCAGAGACTGGGCTGCTTGCTGAAGGGGTGGGGCTGACTGACAAAACTTTGGTGGGGGTAGCCCAGAGGCACCGGTGTGGGGGTCCCAGTCCGGTGAACCTCGGGAGTGGTATGGACTCTGGCAGCAGTCTTGTCGTTGGAGAGGATCTATGGCTGGGTTGGGGGTCCGTGACCTGGTGTGTTTTTACCTTTCTCTTGGCTGCTGCCAATTTACTTTGTCGAGTTTCTTCTGCCATCGCAGGGTGGGGAGGGAGGCGGGCTTGGGGCCACATCAGCAAAATCCCACCAAGCACTGATCAACACCTCCAGTCACCTACCAGGTAGCTGTGCGACTGAGCCAGAGGAGGCGTAACCAGGGATGCAGTAGAAGGCAGAATAGGGGCGTGGCCTTAATGCTCCAAGCCCATTGGTTAATGAGAAAGATGAAAGGGAAAGGGGGCGTGGCCAGGCATCATGTGTCCAGAGGGACCTTTGGCTCACAAGGAAAGCTGCCCATGCAACCACTGTCCCCACCCACTCTAAGAGAGGGGAGAGGCCGCCAACTCTGGGAGAGGGGCAGGGCCGGCTTTTGCTTTAAAAGCTTTTAAAAAATATATATGTGTATACTTTATATATATGTGTGTCTGTGTGTGTGTACCTGTGTGTTCCTCCAGAGCTGTCTTCATGATCCAGCTTCTATGCAAGGTCTATGATTTTGGCCTATATTTTTCATAGAGTACAAAAATTACCAGTATTACCTTAACCGAGATACAGATCCTATGAAGATGGAAAATCCATAGCATGCTTGATGATTACTGAAGCAGACTATATTATCCAACATTCCAATAAGATAAAATAATCACAATGACTTCTCTTTTTTGGAAAAATGTTTCTCTTATTCTCCTACGTTATTGTGAAGACTTTTTTTCTTAAACAAGAAACATGTGTAATATTTGTAAAAACACAAAGCTTTTGGGCCGGGTGCAGTGGCTTATGCGTATAATTCCAGCACTTTAGGAGCCTGAGGCTGGCGGATCATGAGGTCAGGAGATTGAGACCATCCTGACTAAAAAGGTGAAACCACATCTCTACTAAAAATACAAAAAATTAGCCAGGCGTGGTGGTGGGTGCCTGTAGTCCCAGCTACTTGGGAAGCTGAGGCAGGAGAATGGCGTGAACCCAGGAGGTGGAGCTTGCAGTGAGCTCAGATCGTGCCACTGCACTCGAGCCTGGGCTACAGAGCGAGACTCCTTCTCAAAATAAATAAATAAATAAATAAATAAAACTTCTATTTCTTTCACTTTCTAATATAATTTTAATATCTCCTCCTGGGATTTCACTAAGACACATTTTGGACCTCATTCTGATCTTCCTCTCCCCTCCAAGCCCACCAACTTCTGCCCTATCATCCATCCTCATGTCTCTCTGTGTGACATGCTGACTTACTTTTTGGAGAGAATCGCCTAAACAATTAATTCTTTCTTCTCGTGTCTAATCCATCCACTAGTTTCTTATTTCAACAATTACATTTTTATTTCCTTATTTCATTTTATTCTGAGACTGAGTCTCATTCTGTCACACAGGCTGAATTGCAGTGGTACGAACCTGCAGACTCGGCCTCCTGGGCTCAAGTGATCCTCCCACCTCAGCCTCTTGAGTAGCTGGGACTATAGGCAGGTGCCCCATACCCAGCTAATACCATACCCACACAGCAGAGACATAAAAGATTTCCATCCTCAAAGAAGGTTCCATTGAACAGCACTGCTCTAATTCAATAAAAAATACCACTGAGCACAACATAGTAATAGAAAAGATTGAAGAGGCAGTGCTGATACTTAAAAACCTGGTATTTTCAGCCAGGCATGGTGGCTCATGCCTGTAATCCTGGCACTTTGGGAGGCTGAGGTGGGAAGATCGCTTAAGCCCAGGAGTTCTAGACCAGCTTGGGCAACATGGTGAAACCCTGTCTCTACAAAAAATACAAAAAATTAGCTGGGCATGGTGGCATGTGCCTGTAGTCCCAGCTACTTGGGAGGCTGAGGTGGGAGATCACCCGAGCCTGGGAGGTCAAGGCTGCAATGAGGTGAGATGGCACCACCACACTCCAGCCTGGGTGACAGAGTGAGACCCTGTCTCAAAAACAAAAAACAAAAAACAAAACAAAAACACCTGATATTTATTTTTAAGTACACTATTTTCAAACATTCAGAAGTTATTTCATCCTACCTTCATGGTTTCCATTCTATGCCTGGTTTAGAATTGGGATCTGATAAAATAAACGTGTTCAACAGAACCACTTCTCATGGCTGTATAACAGATGATCAATATGTATTTGCTGAGGAAATTATACAATTTTCTTAATTTTTTTTTAACAAAAATTGTGGTTTCAAGGGACCAAACTTGAATACTACACCTTCATGTTCTAAGAATCAGGGGACTTATATAAAACCTCAGTTGCCTGATAAGGACTACATCAAAGTGAAAAGCCATGGGAAAGAACTAGAAAGTATACTTTTGACCCTAGTTCTGTAAAGTTTCCTTATGCCACAGGTAATACACATCGCAATTCCTGCCAAATTCTTTCCCTCACCTCTGTTTATGGTCTCGATTCCATAAATAGGAGAAGGGCATGAATTTGCTTTAGTTAGATAGACAGATAGATGGATAGAGAGATAGATGGATGGATGGATGGATGGATAGATAGATAGACAGAGATAAAGACAGAGACAAAGATGGAGACAGAGATGGACATAGAGACAGATTTGCAGAAGATAAGTTCTAGGTGAACTAGTGTCAACATTAAAGTGGTATGCCTACATCTAACTATTCTGGAGAGAAAAACATACCTCAAAGAAATTGACTTAAATATATACAGAGAAAAAGTTTAAGCTGAAAGCTACTGCCTTTTTATATGAGACACTTTAGGAAATTACTTGGGGGGCAAGAGAGAAAATGGGTGGACATAGCTCAGAGGTTACACAGTAGCAGATATGTAGGATGAACAAGCCTAGAAATATAATGTACAACGCGAGAAATATAGGTAATAAAATTGTGCTGTATTTGGGATTCACGCTAAATGAGATTTTAAGCTCCTCTTGCCACCAAACAAAAAGAAAACGGGTAACTATCTGAGTTGAAGGATACGTTAATTTGCTTCACTGTAGTAATTTTTTTTAACCATCTATATGCATCCCATAAAATCATGTTGTATACCTTAAATACACAGAATACAATTTATTTAACATAAAAAACTACTCCAATATTTTCTGCATTTTTAATATGCTCACCCAAAGAAAGCATTAATTTGCATCTTTGATGTTAAACAGATAGCCTAATCAAGTCACTATCAAGATCAAGACTAAAAGTTACAGCTTTTTTCTTTTGATGCCTTTCAGATATATCTATTTATATATAAAAATATATATACACACACACATACATACACACACACACACACATATATATGTAGTTATGTGTGTGTGTATATATAGTTACAGTTTTGGCCAGGTGCAATGGCTGACACCTGTAATCTCAGCCCTTTGGGAGACCAAGGCTGAAGGCTTGCTTGAGGCCAGGAGTTTGAGACCAGCCTGGGCAACGAAGCAAGACCCTATCTCTACAATTTTTTTTTTTTAACAAAATTAGCCAGGGATGATGGCATGCACTTGTAGTCCCAGATACTTGGGAGGCTGAGGCGGAGGATCCCTTGAGCCCAGGAGTTCAAAGCTGCAATGGGCTGTTACTGTGCCACTGGATCCCAGTCTGAGCAACAGAGCAAGACTTTGTCTCAAAAACAAAATTTATAATTAAAGATAAATAGTTATAGTTTTATGAACCTTGACTGCAACTGAGGGAAAATCCCGTAATTGGCAAAATGAATTCTGCCTGCTTGCAAAACTTCTGACTAATACGGAATGAATAATAGGAAGCCCATATTAGAGGATCCACATCAGTTAAAAAGTTTCCAAATAAGAGTGACTCTGAGTTCTGCAGAGTGAAAAGATTGGGTTCAAACCAAACACTTGAAGATCTTGAGTAAGATACTTAATCCCTCTGTGACTCACTGTTCTCAAATGTAAGTGAAGATAATTTGTAACTCAAAAAAAATGAAAAAGTTTTCTCTAAGATTGCAAATCCTAAGGATAATTTCATTTTAATATCAGTTATTTAGTCTGGATACACCATAATGCAGACTAATTTTCCCTCTGCTTAAAGACCACACAAAAACATTACCAATAAAATTTACTTGTGTATCAACTTTTACTCCTGAGACTTCATCGTTTGTTTGGTTAAAAAAAAAAAAAAAAAAAAAAGCGCACTAGACCGGGCACAGTGGCCCATGTCTGTGATCTCACTTACGGAGGCCAAGGCAGGTGGATGAGTTTGAGAACAACCTGGGCAACATGGAAAAACCCCGTCTCTACAAAAAAAAAATATAAAAATTAGTCAGGTGTGGTGGCACATAACTGTGGTCCCAGCTACTCCAGAGAGTGAGGCGGGAGGATTGCTTGAGCCCACGCAGAGGTTGCAGTGAACCAAGATGGCACCACTGCACTCCAGCCTGGGTGACAGAGCAAGACCCTGTCTCAAAAAAAAAAAAAAAATCACTATAAAATTGAAATTCACAACAAAATGTGCATACTTAACCTTCTTTTTATTTATTTATTTATTTTTAATATTTTGAGACAACATCTTGCTATGTTGCCTAGGCTGGTCTTGAACTCCTGGGTTCAAACCATCCTCCAGTCTTGACTTCCCAAGTACTGGGACTACAGGTGTGAGCCACCAGCCCCGCCAGCCCTGTTACACTATTCTTGGCCCCTCAAGTGACTGTATGAATTTTAGGATCAGCCTCTCGAGTTCCACAAAAAAATTCTATTGGGATTTGTGTAGGAATTTCTTGAATTTATAGATTAATTTGTTGAGAAGTAGTATGTTTATAGCATTGAGTCCTACGATTCATAATATATATGGCATGTATTTCAGTTTAGTCAGTTCTTCCTTTAAGTCCCTGGGTAATTTTTATATTTGTCTTAGTCCCTTCATAGTGCTATAACAAAACACCTGAGACTGGGTAATTTACACAGAGCAGAAGTTTATTTTCTCAGTTCTGGAGGTTGGGAAGAACAAGATCAAGACTCCAGCAGACACAGTGTCTAGTGAGGGCCTGGTCTCTGCTTCCAAGATGGTACGTTGAATGCTGCTTCCTCTGGAGCAGGCAAATGCTATGTTCTCATGAGGCAGAAGGGACAGATTTACCACCACCCACAAGCCCTTTTATAAGGAAGGCACTAATCTCATGCATGAGGGCTCACCCTATGTCTTAATCACTTCTTAAAGGCCCCACTTCTTAGTACTATCATCTTGGGAATTAAGTTTTAATACATGAATTTTGGGAGACACATTCAGGCTATGGCAATACTCTTCATGAAAGGCCTTGTGTATACTTTGCTAGATATATTCTCAGGGTTTTGTTGCTATTGTGAATAGAATCTCTTTTTTTTTTTTTTTTTTTGCCACGGAGTCTGGCTCCTTTGCTCAGGCTGGAGTGCAGTGGCGCGATCTCGGCTCACTGCAAGCTCCGCCCCTCCAGGTTTAAGCAGCCTGTTGCCCAGGCTGGAATGCAGTAGCATAGTCATAGTTCAATACAGCCTCAAACTCCTGGGCCCAAATGATTCTCTAAGCTAATATTTTTAATTTTTTAGAGATGGAGTTTCATTCAAGGATCACTAAAGGCCAGTGATCCTCCCGCCTCAGCTTCTGAAATTGCTGGGATTACAGGTGTGATTGAGCCATGGAGCCTGGCCAGACATGGGCTATTGATTCTCGCTGTTACTCTTTTCCCTTTCCTTCTAATCCTTGTATTGGGAAGAAAACAGTATGGAAATTTTATTTCTTCATTTTATTGATACGTAGATCTCTGCTTAGAAGACAATTTTAGTTTTAAATTATAAATGTTTTGTTCATTATTCATAGAAAACTAGATTTGCCATGGGATATTTATAAGTGTTGCACGAATGAAGGGTTTTCTAGTCAAATAAGTTGAAACACATTACGTTAAACAAACTTGGACAGTTTTGTTTCTGGTCAATTTTAGAGTTCTAAATTATGATTCTACTCAAGAGGATATTGTATGCGGTATTTTCAAACCAACTCATCCTGCGTCAGGTTGTGGTTACGCTTTGGGAGAGGAAGCTATAATCTTATACTGGGACTGTAATGAATGTATTAAAGTAATTTTCGTAGCTTTCTCTTTTTGGAGTTACCTGAGAAATTATGACACCCTTTTCCAAACAGGCCAAGCTGCTTTGCAAACACGATTTCCATAATTTTAACAATGGTGAGGCCAGGCACGGTGGCTCATACCTGTAATTCCTTCCAGCACTTTGGGAAGCCTAGGCAGGAGGATCACTTAAGCCAGGAGTTCAATACCAGCCTGGGCAACATGGCAAAAACTCATCTCTACAAAAAATACAAATATTAGCCAGGCGTGGTGGCACACACCTATAGTCTCAGCTACTCAGAGGTTGAGGTGGGAAAATTGCTTCAGCTCAGGAGCTCGAGGCTGCAGTGAACGGTGATCACGCCACTGCACTCCAGCCTGGGTGACAGAGCAAGACCCTGTCTCAAAAACAAACAAAACAAAACACAAACCAAGGGTGAGAGAGATGTTAGATGTTTTTGTCCTTGTTACAGATGTAAATGCTCAGTTGGAAAGAGGGAAGTATTTAGAGTGAAAAACTTTCGGTGGAACACACACAAAAATAGGAAGATCAGGTATAACTGTTCCAAAAAAAAGAGTATGGCAGTATAGAAGAAAAGGTCTCCATGAAAATGCAGAAGAACAATTTCACAGCTGGTGCTGGCATTTCAGAGACCTTGAGCTGGGAATCAAAAGATGGGAATTTCAGTCTCGGATGTGCCACTCCTTAGAGGTTTAATATCTACTAAACCCGGCGGGCTCCACTTGGTGGTGTTTGCTATTTAAAAAAACAAAAACATGTGGCAATGATCTTCCACGTGATTCTGACTTGAGCCCCACCCGAGTCTGCAGACTTACCCTTCCACTGCTTTGCCCTTCAAGTTTGTGCCCATTAGCAAAGAGAAATTTTCTCTTTGGGATCACTGCTGTGTTGATCTCAGGAATAGTTGGCGTTGAATTTAACATATTTTTCATATGTGTGTGCAATAGGGAGGCTGAGAAACTTGTCTTTTTTTTAAGGTGTTCATTTTTGGGGTACAGGTAGCAGCCTGCTCTACAATCCACACAGAAGCTGGAAATAGCCTCTAGAGAATTTCCACTTTTAGAGAAGATAAATTTATACATTTGTATCTAATCAACATTTTTTAGCTAACATAGTAGTCTAATTATACTATGTATAATTATACTATGTATAATTATGGGTACTGAAATGACACCTGGCATATGCTGTATGCTGTGTTATATATACATATATATTTACACATATACATATATATTACACATATACATATATATTTACACACATATATTTACACATATACATATATTTACATATTTTACATTTACATTTTACATTTATTTTACATTTTACATTTATTTTACATTTTACATTTATTTTACATTTTACATTTACATTTGACATTCTACATTTATTTTACATTTACATATTTTACATTTACAAATATTTACATATTTTACATTTATATATATATACATATATTTACATACATATATTTACATACATATTTTTCCATACATATTTACATGTGTATATATTTACATACATTCACATACATATTTACATATATACTTACATACATACATATTTACATAATATTTACATACACATATTACATACATATATGTACACATATACATATATTTACACATATACTTATACTATGTATAATCATGGGTACTGAAATGACACCTGGCATATGCTGTATTTAAAAATGTGAGGTTCAGTGAGAACACATGGACACAGGAAGGGAAACAACACATACTGGGGCCTGTCAGGGCGGGTGGGGGAGGAGCATCAGGAAAAATAGCTAATGCGTGCTGGGCTTAACACTGAGGTGATGAGTTGATAGGTGGACCAAACCACCATGGCACACGTTTCCCTACGTAACACTCCTGCACATGTACCCTAGAACTTAAAACAAAATTTTAAAAATAATAAAAAATAAAAATTTGAAATTCAGCACATAAACTGTTGGTTTTATTATTCATATTTTCTTAATTCAGAAATTATTTTCTGAACTATGGTTTATTCGATAATTTTGACGTAACAATTTTTTAAGAGGAAATTTAAGTTTTACTTTTTAATTGGGGCTCTTGGTTCTTTTTAAGAAAGACAGAGATAAATCATTTATACATTTAATTAGAAGAGACTGGGCTTGAATTTTTAAAAAGTACTAGAAATCGTAGCCACTATATATGTTATCTTTGAAATGTTTTAGACACTAATTACCTAAACAAGGAGCAAATAAGTTAAACCTCTTGGATTTTAATAAGAGCTAAAATGTACAGTTGTATTTTCTGGTTTTTTAAATTGTTACAGTCTAAATTTATTCTTCCTAATGAAGAAATGTATGTGCCGTCAATATCAGGTTCTTTGTGAGTACTCACAGTTCCCTTTGCCTTTTACGCAGTGAATGTGGGCAACATGCGTGGAACAGAAATGATGTCGTTTTCTTTCTTTTGAATATCACTATGAATCTAATAATTCAAAGATTCCTAACTTTCTGAATGCCATTATTAATTGGATTCACAATGACTTACCAGGTACAGAGTTGTCCAGTGTGTCTTGGGGTGAACTACTGAGAGTGGTATGAGGGAAGCGATTCTCAGCTAGCACTGAGTGGGGCCACTTCCAAAGAGGTGATGGGGTAAGAAGCACACACAATGTGGCATTTTCACTGCAAAGGGAGGTTTGTGCTGCCTCTCCTCCTGTGGCAGGTCTGCTCGCAGGGGAGGCTCCAAAGTTTGGCTTTGCTGGGTTTGGCATGTGAGAACTGATGAAATATCTGTATGTAGTATCTTTCAAGGATTTATATCGGTTGGATTTCTGTGTAAATTTGCATATCCCTTTGACTGCTTTACCCTATAGAAGCTTTGTATGCTTAACAAAATCTGTAACTTCTCTGTCACTTTCTCATTTAGCATCTGCCTTTCTGGCTTTTTACTTTATCTTTTTATTATTGTTTTTAGTTTAATGAGATTATGGTTAGAGAGAAAGATGGATGCATGATTCCGCTTCTTTGGAATTTGTTGAGATTTTCCTTATGGCTCAGTACATATGTACTTGGGGGGGTGAATGCTGTCACTTTGGAGAGATATGTTTTTTCTGTACATTAGGTCAAGCTTGTTAATTTTCTAGAGAGATGTAAATCTTCTATGTCTATGCTGATTGTTTTTTGTCTCTTTTATCAGATACTGAGATATGTATTTAAATTGCCCTCTGAGGGTTGCAATTTTGTCATATTTTGCTTTCATGTATTTTGAGTGCTAGTTATTAGATACATTAACATTTTAGATTACCTTCTCCCTTGGTTTATTAGAATTTTTATCATCATATTGTGACCTTAAAAAATCTCCCATATTGCTTTTTGCCCAAAGCCTATTTTATCTGATAATAATATAGCTTCCAACCCTTCTTTGGGTTAGGTACATATGACATGTGTATCTTTTTTCAATCTCTCTCAGTCTTTCTGTGACTTTATGTTTTAGATGTCTTTTCATACTGTTTATTTTCTGTTTTTTGTGTTTTTTTTGTGTGTTTTTTTTTTTGATACGGAGTCTTGCTCTGTTGCCCAGGCTGGAGTGTAATGGTGTGACCTCGGCACTGCAACCTCTGCCTCCTGGATTCAAGCGATTCTCCTGCCTCAGCCTCCTGAGTAACTGGGATTACAGATGTTCACCACCACGCCGGCTAATTTTTGTATTAGCAGAGATGGGGTTTCACCATGTTGGTCAGGCTGCTCTCGAACTCCTGACCTTGTGATCCCTCCGCCTGCCTCATCCTCCCAAAGTGCTGGGATTACAGGCATGAGCCACCACGCGTGCCCTAATTCTGTTTTATAGTCATTTTCTCTTAATTATTCAGTCTATTTACATTTATTGTGATTGTTGGCATAGTTTCTTTTATAACTTTCATCGTATTTTGTGCTATTTGTTCCATCTGTTTTTATTTCTTCATGTCTTTTTTGTCTCGTTTTTGCTAATTCCTTTTATATTCATGGTTATTCTGCTCTTGAAATGTATGCTATGTGAATATATTTGTGAGTTGACAATACTTTATTAGCAATTAAATATACTATTTCTCTTTTTTTTTAGAACTTGCTCAAATGTTACATAACCTCAATATCCTTAGTATCTAAATTAAACTGACTTTCTGAACAATCATCATTTTAAGGCAGTTACCACGATCTACTAAAAAATAAAAAAAATTAGCCGGGTGTGGTGGTGGGCGCCTGTAATCCCAGCTACTCAGGAGGCTGAGGCAGGAGAATCCCTTGACCCTGGGAGGCAGAGGCTGCAGTGAGCCGAGATAGCGCCACTGCACTCCAGCCTGGGCGACAGAGAGACTCCGTCTCAAAAAAAAAAAAAATAATAATAATAATAAAGGAATTTAAAAAAAGACTGGGTTTAACCATGTTGCCCAGGCCGGTCTGGAACTCCTAGGCTCAAGCAATCCCCCACGCTTGGCCAGTCCAAAGTCCTGGAATCAAAAGCGTGAGCCACCACGCCAGGCCGATCACGCCTGTCATCCCAGCACTTGGGGAGGCGGAGGTGGGTGGATCACCGGAGGTCAGGAATTTGAGACCAGCCTGGCCAACATGATGAAAACCCGTCTCTACTAAAAATACAAAAAAAAAAATTAGCCGGGTGTGGCGGCAGGTGCCTGTAATCCCAGCTACTCAGGAGGCTGAGGCAGGAGAACCACCAAAACCCGGGATGCAGAATTCGCCGCGAGCGGAGACCCAGCCACTGCACTCCAGCCTGGGCAACAAGAGGGAAACTCCGCCTCAAAAGAAAAAAAAAATAATAATAAGAGACAGATTTTCACCATGTTGCCCAGGCAGGTCTGGAACTCTTAGGCTCAAGCAATTCCCCACGCTCGGTTGTCCAAAGTCCTGGGATCAAAAGCGTGAGCCACCACGCCAGGCCGATCTATTTCTTTCTGATTAATAAATTGGGCCGGGAGCGGTGGCTCACGCCTGCAGTCCCAGCACCCCGGGAGGCCGTGGCGGGCGGATCACCTGAGGTCGGGAGTTTGAGACCAGCCTGACCAACATGGAGAGACCTGTCTCTACCAGAAAAAAAAAAAAAGAGCCGGGCATGGTGGCTCCCGCCTGCAATCCCAGTCACTCGGAGGCTGAGGCAGGAGAACCACCCAAACCCAGAGGCAGAGGCCGCGGGGAGCCGACACCGCACCACTGCACTCCAGCCCTGCAACAAGAGGGAAACTACGCCTCAAAAAAAAAAAGAGAGAGAGAGAGAGACCGGTTTTCACCATGTTGCCCAGGCTGGTCTAGAACTCCTAGGATCAAGGGATCCGCCACGCTCGGCCCGTCCAAACTCCTGGGATCAAAAGCGTGAGCCACCACGCCAGGCCGATCCTTCCTGTCATCCCAGCACTTTGGGAGGCCGAGGTGGGTTTACCTGAGGTCCGGAGTTCGAGACCAGCCTGGCCAACATGATGAAAACCCATCTCTACTAAAAATCCAAAAAAAAAAAAAAAAAAAAAAATTAGATGGGTGTGCTAGCGGGCGCCTGTAATCTCAGCTACTCAGGCGGCTGAGGCAGGAGAATCGCTTGAACCTGGGAGGCAGAGGTTGCAGTGAGCCGAGACAGCGCACCACTGCACTCCAGCCTGGGTGACAAAGTGAGACTCCGTCTCAAAAGTATATATATATAAAAATAAAAAATGAAATAAAAATAAATTGGGTGTGTGCGCTGGCTCACGCCTGCAATTCCAGCATCCCCGGAGGCCGAGGTGGGCGGATAACCTGAGGTCTGGAGTTTGAGATCAGCTTGCCCAGCATGGAGAAACTCCGTCTCTACCAAAAACAAATAAAAAAAATTAGCAGAGCAATGTTGGTCAGGCCTGCAATCCCAGCCACTCCGGAGACTGAGGCAGGAGAACTACTAAAACCCTGGAGGCAGAAGTCGCTGCGAGCGGAGACCCAGCCACTGCACTCCACCCTGGGCAACAAGAGCGAAACTCCACCTCATAAAAAAAAAAAAAGAGAGAGAGAGAGAGACCGGGTTTCACCATGTTGCCCAGGCAGGTCTGGAACTCCTAGGCTCAAGGGATACCCCGCGCTGGGCCATCCAAAGTACTGGGATCACAAGCGTGAGCCACCACACCAGGACGATCTATTCCTTTCTGATTAACAAATTGGGCCGGGAGCGGTGGCTCAAGCCTGCAATCCTAGCACCTCGGGAGGCCTAGGCAGGTGGATCACCTGAGGTCGGGAGTTTGAGACCAGCCTGACCAACAGGGAGAAACCCCATCTGTACCAAAATAAAAATAAAAAAAAAAATACAAAATTAGCCGGGCTTGGTGGCTTATGCCTGCAATCCCAGCCACTCTGGAGGCTGATGCAGGACAACGACCGAAACCCGGGAGGCGGAAGTCGCGGCAAGCAGAGACCCAGCCACTGCATTCCAGCCTGGGCAACAAGAGCGAAACTCTGTCTCAAAACAACACAAAACAAAAAGACCAGGTTTCACCATGTTGCCCAGGCCTGTCTGGAACTCCAAGGCACAAGCGATCCACCCTACTTGGCCGTCCAAAGTCCTGGGATCACAAGAGTGAGCCACCACGCCAGGCAGATCAAAGCGTTGAGCTGAATAAAGAGTTATCTTTTAGCATTTTGTGGAGCCCGGGTAGATCTGTGCAGGGGGAAGCATATTACAGAAGCGAGAAACAGAGGGTTATTTAATTGAAGCACGCATTATGTTTTTTTTTTTTTACGTTTTTAGGAAAAATATGTTTTGTGACTTGCATTTGTTTGTTTAGTGACCTTGCAGTTGCACAGTTAGGGAATTAGGGTTTTGATAATGCCTGGGAAGGGAGCGATAAGGCTCACTAGCCATAGGAAAACAGGTAGTTTTTTTAAAGGACTAAGGCTCTTTCTCATTCTCAGGGGGAATTGGGTTTTTTTTACATACAGCTGAGTTTTTGCTTACACATTTTTTCATTTCTTTTAATTCCTGTTCCAATGCCAGCATCCTTGCGGTGCGGTTTCCCAGCGGCTCTCTTGCCTTGCAGCTTGTGTCGGGAGTTGCAGACAGCCATGGCCCATGGGCCTGGCGCTGACGGACCCCGGAGCGGTGTCTGAGGGAGGTGGGCAAAGCCACTGGCTGGCCCGAGTGCATCCTCACGTAAGTGCACAGATCCCGGGCTCGGGTGCGACTGCGGTCGCACGTGGACACGGGTTGCAGACCCCTGGCAAATTGTGGAGCTGGGGGAAGGTAAGGGGAAATGTAAATCACTTTTCCCCACATTTCAGAGGACCTAGGCTATCAAAATTTTAAAAATTGTTAAAACTTTTACAGTATGGATCTCTCAGTTGAATGTTATTGAAATCAACCTAACCTCAGTTATTCACGCCTATAAGCTCCCCTTGAGGCTTATTACGGCCCCCATCCCCCTACACACAACTGTGTTGGTTTCTCCTTCCGCCTGTGCTCCTAAAGCACTCAGTGTTTACCTGCCATCATACTTTATTGAAAGCACAAACTTGTCACTTGTCTGTCTACCCCACTAAGCTTCTTGAGAATTAGAACTTTCATGTCTCTTCCCAACACAAACGTTTTATGTGTATTTTGTTGAAGAACTTCAAATATGACCTATAAAATTATGACTCATTTATGTTTCAAACTCCAACCTCTCCCTTGAGTTCCTTGCTCACAAGCAACTCCAGACTGAGCTTAGTTGGAATTCAGTAGCGCACAACTGGGATATCCGCACCGTACGGCTTTTAACAATTTTTTAAATTTTGGTCCTCTCAGCATCACAAATTCACTGTGTCCAAAATACAGTAGAATGTTGTTTCTACCCACCTACACTCTGCCATCCGCTGAAGTCCTTTCCCCTTGCTCCACCACTCAAGCCTTGCCTATCGCACTAAATGGCAGTTCTGTCTCTCCAGTTGCTCGCACATAAAACTAGGCTGCTATTTTGATGTCTTCACTTTTCTCTATTCTGTATCTAATTCCTTAGCAATCCTGTCAGTTCTACCTCCAAACTGTACTCAGCATATTCACTGCTCTAACTCCAGCTTAAATCACCATCATCCTTTGCCTGGAATGCTGCATCAACCTTCTAATCACTCTACTTTCCTCCTCCTCCTTCCTCCCTTTCTTCTTCCTTCGTATAAATCATCATTTCATCCTTCTGCTTAAAATCTTCTCATATTTTCTTATTACAGTTAAAACGGCAAACTCTTACCCTTGAGCCCTGCAGAATTTGGCTCCCATCAGTCTCTCCAACTTCACCTTCTGCCTCCTTCATGCTATAGCCATGCTCACTTTTTTTATTCCTCAGGCTTACCAAGCTCAATTGCATCTTAGAGAATTTGTTCTTGCTGTTTCTTCCGCCTGGAATACATGTTTCCCAATCTTTATAAGACTATACTTGTCTGTAAGTTTCATCTCAGATGTCACATCTAGGAGAGGTTTTCCTTGACCACTGTAGCCAAAGCAAATGTTGATCATTGAGTGAATAAGGGAATGAATGAATGGAGTGGTATATAATGTAGCAGAGTAGATAATTTAAGGCTAATTCACTATATATCTCCAAGCAAATAGATTTGTAATGCTTTTCCTGCCAACAATCTATACAGCTGATTCACAAATACTTGGTTGACAGGTTTTATATATCATTGTGGCTCATCAGCTTATATATTGTTGGGGCCAGAATCTATACTTACACTTTATTCAAATTTGATTTTACAGAAGAGTTGAGGTTTTTATTTTTCTTTTAATTAAGAGGGCTGTGAAATTATTATCTATAATTCTAAATCTCATTTAATTCCTCCCAATAGGTTTCAAGATGGATTGGAACCAAAGTTCACTTCTTTAACAAAAGTGCTTTATGACTTTAATAAAACAGTAGAGAATGGTAGAATCCATGGCAGCTCTTTACAAAAACTTGTGATAGAAAGTTTTGATGATGAGCAGACTTTGCAACAACTGGAATTGCAAAATGAAGCAATTTTACAGTGCTTCCAGAATGCGGTTAGTGAAAGAAAGATGAAGATATCAGTCTTCTCCCAGAGAGTGAAGAACAGGAGCATGAAGAGGCTGGTTCAGAAACAGAGGCTGATGGCCAGGAGGACCTAGAAGATTTAGAGGAGGAGGAGGACGTGTCAGATATGGGTGGTGACAATCCTGAAATGGGTGAGAGAGCTAAAAACTCAAGCAAATTCAGGGCCAGGCGCGGTGGCTCACGCCTGTAATCCCAGCACTTTGGGAGGCCGAGGCAGGTGGATCACGAGGTCAGGAGATCGAGACCATCCTGGCTAACAAGGTGAAACCCCATCTCTACTAAACATACAAAAAATTAGCCAGGCGTGGTGGCAGGTGCCTGTAGTCCCAGCTACTCGGGAGGCTGAGGCAGGAGAATGCCATGAACCCGGGAGGTGGAGCTTGCAGTGAGCCTAGATCACGCCACTGCAGTCCAGCTGGGCGGCAGAGTGAGAGACTGCATCTCAAAAACAAAAACAACAATTACTTAACTTTAGGATGCTCCAATAATCAAAATTGATAGTGGCTTGTGAACAGATAGATTACTTGAATAGAATAGAGCCCAGAAATAAACCCAAATGCTTCTGGGGGAGTTTGGTACATTATAAACATGAGATTTTAAATCAATGAGGAAAAGAAATCATTTGCAGCTCACCCCACCATACACAGCAGGAATAGGAAGTCATTGGCAGAATAAAAAGATGGTAAGAACAGAACAGAATTGTAGAACAGTACATTTCTTGCTTCCCCACTTTTCAAAGTATTTTTTGCTTTTTCACAAATGTAAGTGTAATTTTATTTTCTAAATGTATACTAATTCTTTTCTTCTCTTTCTTAGATGAATGACAAAAATTACATCTTTAGAAAAAGAGTTGTTAGAAAAAAGCCTTGGCTGCATGTGGGGGAAGTGACAGCACAGAAGAGACCAGAGAAGAGCCTCCTGGAGGAGAGCCTGCACTTTGACCATGCTGTCCGGATGGGTGCAGTGCTCTTTTCTGCAAAGTGTTCACTTCTCTGCTTTTTCTATGGTCCCATTTCATAGAAAGATTTGGGGTGATGTTTCTTTCCCTCAACTTTTATTTTGAAAACTTGCAAACACAGAAAAGTTGATAAAATCATACAGTGAACATCTGTATGCTATTCAACTGGATTCACTAGTTAATGTTTTGTCACACTTGTTTTCTGTCTTCTGCGTATGGAAGATTGTATATGTGCCCTTTTTCCCTCTGAATCATTTCAAAGTAAGTTGGCAGTATCAGAGCATTTCACTGTTAAGTACTTTCGCAGATATCTTCTAGGAACCAGGACTTCTCCTATATAATCACAATACCATTAATCCACCCCCAAAATTTAACATCAATACACTAATGATACCTACTGTATAGATTATAATCAGCTTCCTTGCAGCAATCTGTTTAGAAGGCTTGCATCCTGTCACTGTCCACTGATTAAATTTTGAACTCTAACTTGAAACCCTGGTCATCTCATTGCCTTCTTTCTTATACCCATTAAGTCAAAAGGAGCTCTCATTTTATTTCAACAGAAAAGAGAATGGAAAAGAGGGGAAGAGTCCCTAGTACCTTGGATAAAGTATGAGCACTTACTACCATATGTATTCTAGTTCTGTGGTTTTCAAACTTCAGGGAGCATCTCAAGGCTTATTAAAGCACAGATAGCTGTCCTTCCCCACTTTCTGATTCAGGAGGTGTGGGGCTGGCCCAGGAATTTGCATGTCTAACAAGTTCCCACGTGTTTCTGATGCTGAGGGTCTAAGGACTACAATGCATGAATCCGTGGTTTAGTGGATATCCACCTAATGAATACATGTTGTATTTCCTTTGGCACCCGTGATTACAGAGGAAACACCTTTCAACTGGAAGGTATCATTAAACAGAGGATAAGAGATCAGGTCAGTAAGAATTAAATTTCACTTAATTGAAATGTCACTCAAATGTTTAGAAATAATATGACAGGCCAGGCACAGTGGCTCATGCCTGTAATCCCAGCACTTTGGGAGGCCAAGGCAGACGGATCACTTGAGGTCAGGAGTTCGAGACCAGCCTGTCCAAGATGGTAAAACTTCCTCTCTACTAAAAATACAAAAATTAGCTGGGCATGGTGGTGCATGCCTATAGTCCCAGGTACTCGGGAGGCTGAGGCAGGGGAATCGCTTGATCTCGGGATATGGAGGTTGCAGTGAGCTGAGATGCGCCACCGCACTCCAGCCTGGGCAACAGAGTGAGACTCCATCTCAACATAAATAAATAAATAAATAAATAAATAAATAAATAAATAAATAAGATAAAAATAAAAATAAAGGGAAGATGGGACAGCTTTGTGTATTGCATGTCCTGAAAATGGGCTGATTTCTCTCAAGAGGCAGGGATTTAAGCTCTGTAGCCTATGTGGGATACATACAGGAGAAAAAAGAAGAAAAAGAAAAGAAATGTAAATATAAATAAATGAAAATAACACTTTTCCATGATTATAAAGGAAATCACATTGTTTTTGTAATAATTTGGATGACAAAATGTAAAGAAAAATCTTTAATTTTGCCACTCAAAACATTCTGGTTTGTTGCTTTTCACACTTTTTATGCTGTAAACATTTTAAAAAGTAGAATCACAATACATGGTCTTTTGTCACTTACTATATTTTAAGCATGTTTCTATGGGAGAAATATATC
The DNA here is from genome assembly GCF_000001405.40 of Homo sapiens. Taxonomy (NCBI): domain Eukaryota; kingdom Metazoa; phylum Chordata; class Mammalia; order Primates; family Hominidae; genus Homo; species Homo sapiens. The sequence continues at coordinate 28,361,091 of NC_000015.10, read as the reverse complement.
CTGGCATCATCACTTTCAACAGCTGGATGTATGTTAAGTGAATCATTGCCACCCCAGAGGTGGATTTCCTTCTATATATATTTTAATGGACTCGAGTGAGGATTTTTGCACTGAATTCATAGAAGTAGAATTTCTAGAAGAAAATAATATAAAACAGTTTTAGGATTTTTAAAACAAATGTTCAAATCATCCTATAGGAAAATTGGTTGAGTTTACGCTCCCACCAACAGGGACAGAGCTCCAGGTTCCGCCTTCCATTTGTCGTCTTCGCTGGTCTTTAAGCAGAAAATCTCATTGTTTTCATTACCTTTCTTTGATTTCTAGTGCTTTTGAATCTTTTTCATTTGCTCATTGGCCATTTTTATTCTTGTGGGAAGTGCTGGTTTCTCCATTGCCCATTTTCTGCTGCAAATCATTCATTTTTTTTTTCTGAGTAATTTAAAAGATTTCTTTATAGGCTAAGGATACAAACCTTTAATCTGTCATTGAGGTTACAAAGATCTTCTCCCAGTAAGTAATTTGTCATTTCACTTTATTTATTTATTTTTTGCTAGCAAAGCACCAAAGTCAAATTTCACTTAATTTTTATCCTGCTGAATGAACACATTTTAAGTTAGTGATTTTAGTGGAAACAGGAGCAGGACAGAATGTAATAATTAGATCTCGCTCTGTCACCCCAACTGGAGTGCAGTGGCATGATCGTAGCTACTGCAGCCTCAAACTTCTGGGCTCAAGTGATTTTCCCACCTCAGCCTCCCAAGTAGCTCTAGGACTACAGGTGTGTGCCGCCAAGCCCAGCTAATTTTTAAATTTTCTTTGTAGAGATATGAATTCGCTATGCTGCCCAGGCTGGTCTTTAACTCCTGACTTACCCCACCTTAGCTTGCCAATATGCTGGGAGTACGGGCGTGAACTACTGCTCCCGGCCAAGAGCTTACTTTGGTTTGCTAGCAAGGTTCTTGGTATCTTTTTATATTTGAGGCTTTCGTGCTAGTGCTGAAGTATTACACTCACCATCTGAGGTTTACAGGACTTTTGTTTTAATATTGAACCGAGGGAACTGTTTAGTTTTGCATCTTTGCAGGTATACAAAATGTGCCTACCAGGACTCTGCTTTATATCCATTGAAAAGCAAGAAGTAATACAGTAAAAGTTTGCCTGGCTACAGGCTTTGGAAGAATGGAGTATTCTGGTTTAAGTCTATTAACTTGGAAGGATGAAGGTGGAAAAAATTCAAACCTTTAATTTCCTGTTGAATGTAATTTGAAAATATAGCCAATGAGTCCACTTTTCTTCTCTAGTAAGTTTGGACATTCAGATCTACTTGGTCTTTTATCATAGAACTCCTAGTGTGCCTGAGTCTTACGTTGTGAAAATCCTTTTCTAAAACTTTAGATGTAAGAGGATAGAAATGATATTGGATGAGATCAGGCTGGATGAGAACTGATACCTGTAGATATATTTTTTAGATGAAATCTCTGATTGCCACACGTTTTCTTATTGAACTCATAAAAATAAAACACACTGGCTGGAGGGTGGAAGTAGGAAGGAGATTTATGTCTTTTAATTGCATGTCATTGTTTCATATTGAGACAGAACGTATAGTATCCCTGGCTGTGGACCTACAAAAGGAAACACATTTTTCTACCTGCTGTATGGCAGAGGTTCCTGAGCACCTGGAGGGATTATTGCAGCACGGATTGCTGGGCCCTACTGCAGAGTTTCTGATTCATTCATGTCTAGGGTGGGGCCTGAGAATTTACATTTATAAGAAGTTCCCAGGTGCTCCTGGTCCGGAGACTACATGTTTGAGAGCCACCCTTACATACTAACTGTAAATTGTAGAACTCTAGAAAAAAGCGTAGTTTGGACTGGGAGAAGAAGCACACAGGTGATGGAGCAAATCATGAAAAAGTCAACCCTTGATCCCAGGTAACAAGCAATACACAGTGACATAACACAATTCTTGGTTTTCATGATTGCAAGTCATAGCCAAGTATCGAGTGAGAAATTCAGTTTCATTTTCAGGGCTTAGAGGCCAGGTGATTCTAGAAAAATCGGATTTAGTGATTAACTCATGAGAGTAGGAGTTATTTATGTCCTTTTTCTCTCCCCCATCACTTAGCATTTAGCCTTACTTTAGAAGGGTCCTGTATTTGCTTTAACCTTGTAAAGAACTTTGAGTGCTTATTAAATGGAAAGCCTTGTGTGTGTGTGTGTGTGTGTGTGTGTGTGTCTGTGCATGTGTGTGTGTGTGTGTGTATTTAGAGACAGAGTCACATTCTGTAGCAGCCCAGGCTGAAGTGCAGTGGCATGATTTTGGCTCACTGCAACCTCTGCCTCACAGGTTCAAGGGATTCTCCTGCCTCAGCCTCCCAAGTAGCTAGGATTACAGGCACCTGCCACCATGCCCAGCTACTTTTGTATTTTTAGTAGAGACAGGATTTCATCATGTTGGCCAGGCTGGTCTTGAACTCCTGAATTCGGGTGATCCACCCGCCCCAGCCTCCCAAAGTGCTGGGATTACAGGCATGAGCCATCATGCCTGGCTCAAAGCTTTGTATTTTTAAAGATATTAGACATGTTTCTTGTTTGTTTGTTTTTTTTAAAAAAACTAAATGCTAATGTAGGAGAATAAGAGAAAGTTTTTCCAAAAAAGAGAAAACATTGTGATTATCTTATTGGAATGTTGGATAATAAAGTCTGCTTTATCAATCATCAAGCACACTATAAAATTTCCATTTTAATAGGACTTGTACCTCAATTGAGGTAATAAAGTTTTAAAGTTTTTAAAGTGAAAGCCAGCCCCGCCCCTCTCCTGGAGTGGGCGGGGACAGCGGTTGCATAGGCAGCTTTCCTTGTGACAACACAGGTCCTTGATGACACGCTGCTGTCTGGCCACACCTCCTTTTCCTTTCATCTTTCTCATTGACCAATGGGCTTCAAGCATGAAGGCCACACCCCTATTCTGCATTCTAGTGCAGCCCTGGTTACGCCTCTCTGGCTCAGTCACACAGCGACGTAGAGGTGACTGGAGGTATATACTTGTCCTCACCTGGATCATGCTGATGTGGCCCCAACCCCACCTCCCTACCCATCCCCACCTCCCTACCCATCCCCACCTCCCTACCCATCCCCACCTCCCTACCCATCCCCACCTCCCTACCCATCCTATGATGTCCAAAGAAACCAGACAGAGCAAATTGGCCGAGGCCAAGGAACAGGTAAACGCACCAACACCCCAACCCAACCCGAGGCCCCCTCTGACAGCCGAACTGCTGCCAGAGTCTGTGCCACTCCTGAGGGACACCAGGCTGGGCCCCCCACCCCAGTGTCTCTGGGCTCCCCACACCAAAATCTTGTCAGCCAGCCCAACCCCCTCATAAGTCCTGCCCCTGCTCTGCCCGGCACACCAGGGTGACTTTGAGCAGGTGACTCCTGGGGCTTCCAACTCCATACTCCGCCCTTACCTCCTGCTACCCCAAACCCGACCTCCCTGGGCTCCTTGAGCTCACATCTCCAAGGACCTGGGTGCCCCAGAACCTGCCCTCACCAGTTGCCACAGGGTGACTTTGGGGATGTGACTCCTGGAGCTCCTTGCTCCTTAATTGGCCCTCACCTCCTGCCGCCCCAAGCCTGACCTCCCGGGGCTCTTTGGGGTCACGTCTCCAAGGACCTGGCTCCCAATTTTGTGACCCCCTCCCCAGTCTCAAAGCGGCAACTTGGGCATTGCACTCATGTGTCCCCCCCAACCACTCCACCGAGGAGTAGAATGTAGTGATGTCACAGTCCCGCTACAAACTGTCATTACTACCACAAGACCGGCCTTTGGTCTTAGGACCCAGTCCCCTAAGTGTTCTTGCCCACTTCTGTTTCCTCTGGTTGCAGCACAGGTTTCCAGCTGGAAGGGGAATGGGGACTGTGGGACCTAGAAGAGAGAGGTTTCAGGCTGCCTGACTTCCTTACCACAGACCTTGACAGTGTGAAAAGCCTACACCTCCCCCATGAGCTCAACACGTTGACAGTGTCTCTGGGTGGCAATGGGAGAACGGGTTTGGTTTGGTTTTCTCCCAGGCTTCTACTCTCCAGAGAGATTTTAACATTTTTTCTCAGTTCTGCACCTCAGATTTGAATTCTCCATTGTTCTGGGACCAGAGTGCCCCTCAGTCACTGGTTCTGGAGTGAGATCTGCTTATCTTCTGTGGAACAGATCTTGGGAAACTGAACTTAGCTTGAGTCTTCCTCATCTCATCTCAACCTGGGGTACTTTGAGTGCCACAGGATAAATATGGGGCATCTTTCTGAAGCATCAGTTTCCCTTGATTCTATTGAGAGACAAAACATTAATGTACTTAGGGATGAAAGTCACATAGATTTATAAGCGTATACAAGACTTCTCTCTGAAATGAGGCTTGGGTTGTCCTCTTTCTGTTAAATTCCCAGATTTAGCAGAAAGGCTGCCTTCTGCCATGAGGAGACATTGATGTAAAGGTTTGAGAGGTACTGGTGTACTTTTTAACACTAACAGACGTGTGAGGGTGAATAACCCTAAACCACATAGTGCACAGTTCCTGCCTACTTAATATTTGCTTTTCTACCTCTGCCTCTGGTTTTGGTCCCTGGCAGCTGCTGATTTAGGGCAAAATCCCAGAGCTCAGAGTCAGAAGACTGAGTTTAAGTTCCATTACTGCCTTTTTTTTCAGCCATGGTATCAATCTCTCTCAGTCACTAAGTGATTGTGACAACATTTCCTACAGTTGGTGGCATTAAATCAGATGGTCTATAAGAGTATTTAGTATAAACTGTAAAGCAGGATGTGACTGTAGGAGCTTGTAGTTCTCATGAGTATCACTGCTCTTCCTTTCCACAGTTGACAGACCATCATCCCCAGACCAACCCTAGTGTTGGTACAGCAGCAAGCGACACCAAAAAGAAGAAAATAAATAATGGCACTAACCCTGAGACAACCACTTCTGGTGGTTGCCACTCGCCTGAGGATGTGAGTCTTGGCTGGCCGGGCTCCTGGGGACAGAGGGCCCAAGGGGTGGTGGAGGGTAATTGTTAAGATTGTGGAAGAACTGCCAGGTACTGGCTAAGAATTCTGGGTTTGAATCCTACCCCTCCATCTGCTAGGGATATGATTTAGCGCAAATTGCTTGAGCTCTTTGGGCCTCTCTTTTCACATCCGTAAAATACGAGTGGTATTGTTTTCCTTACATTTGTGAAGTTTAAATGAGATTTGTCATTGTGTTTTTATGTTAATCCCTCGTCCAGGACCTGCTGTAAACTCTCCTTCTTGGGCTTGCGTTTCCTGAGGTAGAGTTAGAGAGTATCAGAGGTTTCTGTTAGCTCTGAGAGCCCGAGAGTTAAAGGCCCACTAGAATGGAAACCTCGGGGCCAAGGGCTCCTGTCTGCCTTTTCTGACCTCTATTCCCGCTGTGAAGAACCGTCCCTGGCCCGTATGTGCTCAACGTTTGCTGAGTGAATGCACCTTTCTAAATCACAAGCTGGCGGAAGGGTGGGCTTTTCTCGCACTCCACCTCTGAAGGTTTCTGTTACTGTCTTTTCAAGAGAATCTAGTTTCAGACTTTGAGTTCTGTGGCTGTGGGCAAAAACCAAAAAGACCCAAATCCTTCTTCTTTGGGAGTTGAGGAGAGTTGACCAGTTCATGTTCCCATTGGGTCTGAGAACTGTGCCTTTTAAATCCATTCCTGGCCCCTGCCTATCGCTTCCTGGCCTGGGGAATAGAGTCAAGGGGGCCACCCTCAGTCACCTTCCTTTGACTCTCCCCACAGAAACAATAGAACCGAGCTCAGCTGGAAGAAGTAGTGTGATTTCTTTGCTCACGACATGACCGCTGGGTTTGGGGGCACTCAGATGTAGAGGCCCCAGGCTCATCTCACCCACTCCCAGCCTGGGGAAGAAGGCTCACCCCCAAGATTCCACCCCATCCCCACAGGGTCCCTGATAAACTGGTCCCATGGGTGGGCCTGTTCTGGGGCAGTGGTGCCATTCTGGGGGCATGTCTCTTGCTGTGCCATCTCTGCCTCCCCCTAGCAAGAGCTCTGTTTTCCTCTTTCTATAGGAACAGAAGGCAAGCCACCAACATCAGGAAGCCCTAAGGAGGGAGCTAGAGGTGAGTGGAGGGTGTGAAGTTCCCTCCTGCCCTCTGGAGAATGTTTCTTTGCTTCTCTTTCAGCATTTGCTTGTCTTTTCTCCCAAAGGCCCAGGTTCAAACCATACGAATCCTTACATGTCAGAAAACTGAGCTTCAGATGGCACTTTACTACAGCCAGCATGCTGTCAAGCAGTTGGAAGGTGGGAATCTGGCACCCCATCATCCTTCAACCTGGCACTTTGACAGGCCTTTAGGGGGAGTCCTTTGGGCCACATCTGAATGTCTCTCATTCCAGGAGAGGCCAGGGATCTGATCAGCCGCCTGCATGATTCATGGAAGTTTGCAGGAGAGTTAGAGCAGGCTCTCTCTGCTGTCGCTACACAGAAGAAGAAGGCGGATAGGGTGAGTCCAAACACGGCCCCGTCCCTTGGGAGCCCAGCTTCGCAGATGGAGGAGTGAGCCTAAAGGTCCCTTCTGTAGGATGGAGTGTCCTGCCCAGAAGGCAGCATGGCCATTTCTTGCTGCTTTTGTGTGTGGTTGTTAGAGGCAGACTGGGGCTGAGTCGGCTGTTGTGGGTGAGTTGGGGAGCACTGTGAGGAGCGAGCACTGGACATAGATCTCAGAGGCCAAGTGCCCGCCCTGCCCATACTTGGCTGTGGCCTTGGCCAAGTCCTAAGTGGCGGTTAGGGTACTTGTACCATAAAGGTACAGAAGAGTATCTTGAGTATGTTATTATTTGTGTGGAGAGAGGGGGCAGGTGTATATGTGTGTGTGTGTACGTATTATGGTAACATACATAAAACACGTTTGTAAGGATTCATTAAAAAACTCAGGATAGAGGCACAGTGTTGGGGGGAGATATTTCCCTTCTGGACTTTCTGAGTTTTGGACTATGCGAACGTATCATCCTTTCAAAAATTCAACAAAGGATTAATTTCCTCCTTCTTAACTGTGCCCCTACCTCCAGCGGAAGAATGGGCTTAGAGAATCAGATATACCTGGGTGTTGAAATCCCAGCTCCAAGTGATCTTAGGCAGCACTTAACCTTTAATACCGCATGTTTTTCATCTACACAATAGAGGTAATAATGGTAACCGTCTCCTATGGAGGTTGTGAGGATTAAATGGGATTGTTAGCATAGTGCCTGGTGAAGCACCCAATAAAGGCTCCAACAGTGGTAGTAATAACAGTAATAACAATAACAATATTATCTGATCGCTCTGGGCCCCTGTTAGCCAGCCCTAAATTCAATCTCTTTCCCTGTCCCTTCCACATCCACTGAGTTCTTTGAAAAACAAATGAGGGCCAGGTGCTCTCGCTCACGCCTGTAATGCCAGCACTTTGGGAGGCTGAGGTGGGCGGATCACCTGCGGTCAGGAGTTCAAGACTAGACTGACCAACACGAAGAAACCCCGTCTCTACTAAAAATACAAAATTAGCCCGGTGTGGTGGCACATGCCTGTAATCCCAACTACTCGGGAAGCTGAGGCAGGAGAATTGCTTGAACCCCGGAGGTGTAGGTTGTGGTGAGCTGAGATTGTGCCATTGCACTCCAGTGAGGGCAACAAGAATGAAACTCTGCCAAAAAAAAAAAAAAAAGAAAGAAAGAAAGAAAGAAAAACAAATGAGACCATGGGCTTGGAAATGCCTTGAGAACACGTCAGGTGTGATTGAGAGTGAGGAAGTGTTACTGTGGAGTAGTCACTGTAGCAGTTGTTCCTGGTCGTCCAGCTACTGCTGTGCCTGCTCTATCCTGACTTAACCTTTCTCTATTTGCAGTACATTGAGGAGTTAACAAAGGAGAGGGACGCCCTGAGTCTGGAACTGTACAGGAACACGTAGGATGGGGGAAGGTGGAATGGGAGGTCTGGGGGCCCTTAGCATGGGTGGTGTGCTGGGAGGTGGGGGGTCCAGGTGAGTGTGGGGAGAGGCTCATACATGTTTTCATGTGTGCACACGGAAGCTCTAGTGCTGGCTGTGCCACTGACTCATGGGGTAGCCTCAGGCAACTCATGTCTTCTCTCTGGCCTGCCACCTGGGACTTTTAATTCCTGGGGTCCCTTCCAGCGCCACGGTTCTGTGGTTGTGGGGCGAGGGTAGGGGGTCAATCACCAAAGTGGTCTTTTATGTTCTTCATTCATTCCTTTCTCTACTGCCTCTGGCCATAGCATAACTGATGAGGAGCTGAAGGAGAAAAATGCCAAACTACAAGAAAAACTTCAACTTGTAGAATCTGAAAAGTCTGAGATCCAGCTCAACGTAAAGGAGCTAAAAAGGAAACTGGAGAGGGCCAAGCTCCTGCTGCCACAGGTGAGCAGCTGCAGCCCCGGGGGTTGTGGGAGACCCATCCAGCTGGGACCATGGTCTAGGGATCATGCAGGGTATGGGGAGGCTCCAGCCAAGAGCTGGAAAATTTGGGTCCTTGTTCTGGCCCCGCCATAGAATCCTCTAGAGTGTACTAAAAATGTACAAATTGGGGCCCTGCCTGGGGAATCAGAATCTCAAGAGTTAGGGCTTAAAAATATTTTTTTAAAGGATCATGGATGAAAACCATTATTTTATAGATTACATTTATTTATTTATTTATTTATTTATTTATTTATTTGAGAAGTAGTCTCACTCTGTCACCCAGGCCAGAGTGCAGTGGCGCAATCTCGGCTCACTGCAAGCTCCACCCCCCGGCTTCACGCCATTCTCCTGCCTCAGCCTCCCAAGTAGCTGGGACTACAGGTGCCCACCACCACACCCAGCTAATTTTTTGTATTTTTAGTAGAGACGGGGTTTCACTGTGTTAACCAGGATGGTCTCGATCTCCTGACCTCGTGATCCGCCCACCTCGGCCTCCCAAAGTGCTGGGATTACAGGCGTGAGCCACCGCGCCCAGCCTATAGATTACATTTATGTGGCTAGCTCATGATTCTGCTTCCTTCTGAGGTTCAAAAAAACACTTTCACTATTCCAGCAGCAGCTGCAGGCGGAGGCTGACCACCTGGGTAAGGAGCTGCAGAGTGTGTCAGCAAAGCTCCAAGCCCAGGTGGAAGAGAACGAGTTGTGGAACCGCCTGAACCAGCAACAGGAGGAGAAGATGTGGAGGCAGGAGGAGAAGATACAGGAGCGGGAGGAGAAGATACAGGAGCAGGAGGAGAAGATACGGGAGCAGGAGGAGAAGATGCGGAGGCAGGAGGAGATGATGTGGGAGAAGGAGGAGAAGATGCGGAGGCAGGAGGAGATGATGTGGGAGAAGGAGGAGAAGATACGGGAGCTGGAAGAGAAGATGCACGAGCAGGAGAAGATACGGGAGCAGGAAGAGAAGAGGCAGGAGGAGGAGAAGATACGCGAGCAGGAGAAGAGGCAGGAGCAGGAGGCGAAGATGTGGAGGCAGGAGGAGAAGATACGGGAGCAGGAAGAGAAGATACGGGAGCAGGAGAAAAAGATGTGGAGGCAGGAGGAGAAGATTCACGAGCAGGAGAAGATACGGGAGGAGGAGAAGAGGCAGGAGCAGGAGGAGATGTGGAGGCAGGAGGAGAAGATAAGGGAGCAGGAGGAGATATGGAGGCAAAAGGAGAAGATGCACGAGCAGGAGGAGAAGATACGGAAGCAGGAGGAGAAGGTGTGGAGGCAGGAGGAGAAGATGCACGACCAGGAGGAGAAGATACGGGAGCAGGAGGAGAAGGTGTGGAGGCAGGAGGAGAAGATACGGGAGCAGGAGGAGAAGATGTGGAGGCAGGAGGAGAAGATACGGGAGCAGGAGGAGATGTGGAGGGAGGAAGAGAAGATGCATGAGCAGGAGAAGATATGGGAGGAGGAGAAGAGGCAGGAGCAGGAGGATAAGATGTGGAGGCAGGAGGAGAAGATACGGGAGCAGGAGGAGAAGGTGTGGAGGCAGGAGGAGAAGATACGGGAGCAGGAGGAAAAGAGGCAGGAGCAGGAGGAGAAGATGTGGAAGCAGGAGGAGAAGATAAGGGAGCAGGAGGAGAAGACACGGGAGCAGGAGAAGATACGGGAGCAGGAGGAGAAGATACGAGAGCAGGAGGAGATGATGCAGGAACAGGAAGAGAAGATGGGGGAGCAGGAAGAGAAGATGCAAGAACAGGAGAAGATGCGGAGGCAGGAGGAGAAGATAAGGGAGCAGGAGGAGAAGATACGGGAGCAGAAGGAGAAGATACGGGAGCAGGAGGAGAAGATATGGGAGCAGGAGGAGAAGATACGAGAGCAGGAGGAGATGATGCAGGAACAGGAAGAGAAGATGGGGGAGCAGGAGGAGAAGATGTGGGAGCAGGAAGAGGAGATGCAAGAACAGGAGGAGAAGATGCGGAGGCAGGAGGAGAAGATAAGGGAGCAGGAGAAGAAGATACGGGAGCAGGAGGAGAAGATACGAGAGCAGGAGGAGATGATGCAGGAACAGGAAGAGAAGATGGGGGAGCAGGAGGGGAAGATGTGTGAGCAGGAAGCGAAGATGCAAGAACAGGAGGAGAAGATGCGGAGGCAGGAGGAGAAGATAAGGGAGCAGGAGAAGAAGATACGGGAGCAGGAGGAGAAGATACGAGAGCAGGAGGAGATGATGCAGGAACAGGAAGAGAAGATGTGGGAGCAGGAGGAGAAGATGTGTGAGCAGGAAGAGAAGATGCAAGAACAGGAGGAGAAGATGCGGAGGCAGGAGGAGAAGATGCGGGAGCAGGAAGTGAGGCTGCGGCAGCAGGAGGAGAAGATGCAGGAACACTAGGTGAGGCTGCAGGAGCTGGAGGAGAGGCTGGGGAAGCTGGGGCAGAAGGCCGAGCTCTTGGGGGGAGCAGGCGGAGGTGTGTGCAAACCCTGGAGATCATACAGAACGACCTCACCACAACTTAGCAGATGGTGGTTGGCTCCCTCTGCTTTTCCACCAGTCTGTGGCCTACAGTTTAAATGGTGGGAAGAAGGGTGTGAGATTTGAGGCTGGGGAGGGAGGCATGGGCCTCTAGGCAAGGGAGGCAGTCATTTAGGCCTGGAGGAAGGGGCCAGGGCCAGGGGCCTGGGTAGGCGACAGAGCCCCGCAGTGCCCTCACTACCCTGTTTATGGGCCCAGAATCTGGAAGCCAGCCACTACCTACCCTGACGCCTATCCTGCAGGTGGAGCTGAAGAGCCAAGAGGCTGAGTCTGCAGCAGCAGCGAGACCATTACCTGGGTCACCTGCAGCAGTACGTGGCCGCCTATCAGCAGCTGGCCTCTGAGAAGGAGGCACTGCCCAGCTGCAGCAGCAGGAAGCTCAGGGCGAAGCGGTGGCCGAGATGGCCCACCGATAGTTGCAGGAGACCCGGTTGAGGGAGTTGATGAGGGCGGGGCCCCAAGGGGGATGATCTGGCAACCTCCGTGCCTTCTCACTCTCTTTCCTGGCCCCTTAGGAGCACCTGGAAGCTGCCATCTAATGAGCACATGACAAGAAGGCAAAGACAATAAACATGTAAAAGCCGGCAGCAAGGCCTGGAGAAGAGTAAGCCGCCATGTGACTGTTTAGAATATAGTCTGAGCACAAACCTGAAAAAAAAATTTTATTTATTTTAAATTGTGGCAAAATACTGGCCAGGCATGGTAGCTCACGCCTGTAATCCTAGCAATTTGGGAGGCCGAGGTAAATGGATGACCTGAGGTCAAGAGTTCAAGACCAGCCTGGCCAATACAAAAATTAGCCGGGCATGGTGGCGCATGCCTGTAATCCCAGCTACTTGGGAGGCTGAGGCAGGAGAATCGCTTGAACCTGGGAGGCAGAGGTTGCAGTGAGCTGAGATCGTGCCACTGCACTCAAGCCTGGGTGACAGAGCGAAACTCCGTCTCAAAAAAAAAAGTTTCTTCCTTACATGTATGTTTCTATTAGTTTTCTTCTTGGTCTTTCTCATTTAGTCTTGTGTTGTCTTTTGGCATTCATAGTAAACTTTTATCTGCCTCCAGAGAGTATTGACTTTGAGTTTATGGCACACAATTGGAGTAAGGGCAGATCGCCTTCATCTACTTCGGGACTAAGCTGGTTCAAAGCAGGTTTTAGGTTTTCTGATGGCTGGTCTATGTTTTATTCATTTGGACTCCCAGGGGTGGCCCTTCCAGGGTCCCCACCAAGGTCCCATCTCCCTCCTGGGACCCAAATTCTCATTAGGTCATTTCAGCCCTGTGAGAGTGCCAAACATTCAGCTAGGCTCTCCAGCCTCTTAACTACCACTTCATACTCAGTTTCTTAGCCTCTTAGCCCTCTACTGTTGACCAATCACCAAATGTGGGAAAGCACTACAGACTGTCAGGATCACCTCCTAGGCCTGGTCACTCAAGTCCTGACTGAGGTCTCCAATTACCTTCCAACAATTGTTTTTGATTGGGGGCGGGGCACATTTTTATCCAGTTTTTCTAACTGCTCTTGTGGGGAGGCGAATCTGTAACAAGCTCCTCTGCCTTTATTGAAAGTTGAAAACCTTCATCTGTCCTTTTTTTGTTGTTGTTGAGATGGAGTCTTGCGCTGTTGCCCAGGCTCTAGTGCAATGGCACGATCTCTGCTCACTGTAACCTCTGCCTCCTGGGTTCAAGCAATTCTCCTGCCTCAGCTTCCCGAGTAGCGTGTGCCACCATGCCTGGCTAATTTTTTTTTATACCTTTAATAGAGGCAGGATTTCACCATGTTTTCCAGGCTGGTCTCGAGCTCCTGACTCAGGTGATCTACCTGCCTCAGCCTCCCAAAGTGCTGGGATTACAAGTATGAGCCACTGCATCCGGCCCATCTGTCTTTTAAAACATGTTTTTAATTGGAGGTATAATTTCTATTAGTGAAATGCACAGGTCTGGTTTACATTTTGATGAGTTTTAACTCATTTAACATTACTATGGAACCCACCTCCTTTGAAGATACAGAGTATTTCTATCATCCAGAAAGTTCTCCTGTGCTTTCATGCTGTCCCGCACTCCCCCAGCAGCTGATGAACATGCTGAGGACATTGGTACTGGATTCTGGCCGCCCCAAAAGAGCCGCTTTGACCAGGCTTACCCAGCACTAAATCCCTGCCTGCTCTCTCAAAATTTCCATCTTTAAACTGGTTGTACCTATAACCCTCCCTCATCAAGTCAATAGATAAACAAACCCTGAAAAATAAACAACTCTTCCTGGCCCAGCAGCCCACAGCCTAATATTTACTGTATTCCCAGGCTTTCAGAAATGTAACTCGCCTGCCGGTTCACCCTCACTAGGGCGGCAGCTGCACGGGAGCAGCTGGGCTCACCCATTAAGCAAGAAGCCAATAGCTGGACAGTGACACTCAGACCCCAGGCTGGGCGAGCCTGGCTGAAAGCCCCCTTCTTTCCATCCGACTGTGGAGAAAGGGGGCGGAGCACACACAACTCTACTGCCCTCCACATCCTTCACCTGTGCTTCCTCCTGGGAGAGGGAGCCGCTCATTAATTTGGCCAAAGCCTTCTTGAGGGCTGTAGGTTTCACAGGCTGGGTGTGTGGGGGCCACCGTGCTAGAGACAGAGGCTGGTGTGTCAGAAGGTAGCCACCTGGCCAGAGGGGGGTCAACCCCCTTGGTGACCTCCTTCCCCCGGCTGGACACAGTGCCCTGCACTCTCTACATGTGACTGTTCCCCTCAGAGCTGCTTCCAGGGGAGGGGTTCTAATCCTGTGGGTGGGGACATTGTGTTACTTTACAGTGGGCCATGGCTCCCTCTGACATCTCCAACTCAGAGGCAGTAGAGAGAAGATGAGAAATTCCCTGCCCCTCCTCCCTCAGCACCCCCACCTCTGCACATGTCCACATGTGGAGACCCTGACAATGGGCCCTGGGAGTGCCGCCATCTGTGCCTGCTTTCCATGCCTGCAGCAGCCATGCCCACTCTCCAGACCCTCATCCGCCTGGGTCAGTAGACGCTTCACTGCCTGTGGTCCTGCGCCTACACCTGGGCCTCTGTACCCGTCAGTTCCCCCAGTCTGGTTCTTATTCCCTGCAAAGAGTAGGGAGCCTATAAGGTCACCTGTTGAGCAAGCTGGGGGAGAGAGTAGGGTGGGGCTGGGAGGATGAGGAGGAGAAGCTCATGGTCGTGCTGGAGACTCAGCTGAGCAGAGTCTATGCAGGCCCATTGGCTGCCTACCCAGTGGTGATCTCGCTCCCACCCTCATTTCTTCTTTGTTAACAAAACCATGACCTCATTAAATACTGGACACCTATAAACCTCATGGACCCTCCTCCAGCCTCCCCACCGTGTACCGGTGAGTCTAAGTCAACTCTAGTCATTTCATTCCTCTGGACATTGACTGCTTAGGGCTTGGGCATGAGCTGCCTCTTCACCTGAGCCTGAGCCACAGGTACCCTCTGCACCTACCACGCTGATGCACTGGGCCAGGGAGAGCGCCGTCTGGATGGAGATGAGCTGTGAGGAGCTGGTGGCTGGGCGGATCAGGTTGTTGTAACAGGTTTTGTTCAGAAGGTCGTCCATCAGTTTCTGCTCGGCATGGGCCATGCGGCAGTCCCCTGGGTAAACACACAGACATGCTGGGCCCTTGTGCAGCTGTCTCCCACTGCAGCTGACAGCTATGAAGCAGGAGCTGAGAGGGCCAGGGAGCACAGACACCCTGAGAGCTGGCTGAAGCAGTGAAGGTGCTGGCCGGCCTGGCTTTCCCTGGGGACTTCAAATGACATTCACGACAGAGCTCAGCTACCTCCTCCCCATGCCATACCTCTTCCTCCTCCTCCTCCCTCCGTCAATGAACAGCATCCCACGCTCTACACATCTGATACAAAACTGGGTGTCTCTTCCTGACTCCTCCCTTGGTTCACCCAAGTGGCCACCAAGTCCTGTCTGTCCTCCCATCTCCACGGCTACAGCCATGTCCCTGCCTCCCCCGCCCTGCCCACCTTCTGTTCTCTCCACCTGCACTCTGCCCCTGCCATCCATGTGCCATACAGTGGCAGACTGATCTTTCTACAGCAAACTGGACGAGGGCCCTTCCCTACCCACAGCTCTCAGAGCTGGAGGTGGAGTTGAAGCTCATGTTTTGGCTTGGCATTCAGAGCTCTTTCCCCCTCAGCACTGGCTTATCCAGAGTGCTCACAGTGCAGGGCAGGAGCCTCGTGACTCAAATGTGGGTTTGGTGCA
This sequence comes from Homo sapiens, assembly GCF_000001405.40. Classification (NCBI taxonomy): domain Eukaryota; kingdom Metazoa; phylum Chordata; class Mammalia; order Primates; family Hominidae; genus Homo; species Homo sapiens. The sequence goes on along the minus strand of NC_000015.10, from coordinate 28,345,870 downwards.
GAACTGGGTCTGAGGTGGTGCTTTCCCTGTGAAGAGACAGGGCCGACATGGGGGAATTTTCTGGGTTCAAAGTTAGACCTACAGAGTGCAAAGTTTCTCTGAGGCACCAAATGGAGGGGTCCAGCTAGCAGCTGGCTCCTGGTCTGGAGCTTCAAGGAGAGGTCTCAGCTCAGAGCCACATTCAATAGCCAGCTTACATGTGGCCTCCTGCAGGGAGCCCCTGGAGCTTCCACAGCCTCCGTTCTGCCCCTCTGCATACCCCAGATCTCCTGCTAAGTGGCGTTTGGGTCTTCATGTCATCTCCCTCCCATGTCTGGGAGTAAAGGTGAGGTGCAGGGACTTGCGCTTGTGTACTCTGGTGTCTTAAGGGAGAGTGTGTCAAGTAGAGTGGAGGCGGCTTGGAAAGAGGGAGACTCAGAGGAGAGTGAAGGACACATGACCAGGCGAGCCTGGGAGCAGGAAAAGAGAGTGAGCAGAGGCAACTGCTGGGTCAGGGGAGCGGATGGGAGGATCAGGGAATGCGGGGGGGCTGGAGAGGTAGGGGTGGGGATGTTGGCGAGGGGCTGCCTGGCTCGCCAGGCTCAGGAGTCAGTTACATCCTCCCACAAGGGCCAGCTCACCTGGTCGCCCCAAAGACCTCCCTCTGTGGGTGGGACCAGAGGGCCAAGAGCACGGATAACCCAATTGAGCAGGACTGAGGCGGACTCAGGTGGGTGCTGGGCCGGACTCCTGGCTGTGGGGAGCAGCCGCCACCCTGCCTATTGCATCCACTTTCCAACTCGCTGCCTATCTGAGCAGATGCGATATTGGGCACCTTGTGAAACATGCTCCTGGTGCACCTGCTGCCTGCTGCCCCTCCTGCAGAGTGCCCGGGCTCTCCAGAGGGGATTCCTATGGAGGCTTGGCCTAGATTCTGAGTCCTGCCTCTCATACCTGGGGCTGCTACCCCAGAGGCCAGCTGCTTGAGTACCCCGGAAGCCAGTCTGTAGCCCCAGGCTACAGCTGGGTCCATCCCACAGCCCTTCTCTAATGTACCTATTTGGACTGGCTGCTCATTTCATAGAGAGGGGTGTGTCTTGCCCCAGACCATCTGGCATGTCTAAGGCAGCTGTGGGGTCAGAATCTGCAGCTCCCAGCCCTCAGCCCAGCAATAGTAGGAAAGGCTGGACCCCACATCTCTGAAGTCCCACTGGGTTGGTGTGAGCGGGCTCCCGAGTACAGGGCTGCTCTGCAGGCTGTGGGGCTCATGCGCCAGCTCTGAGCCCACCTGATGTGCTCACGTTGCTCACCTTTGGGCCTGTCCTGCCTCTCAGGCATTCGGCTGACCCTGAGGGCCTCTCCCTCATCTTGACCACCAGCTACGGGCTCTGATTTAGAGGTTCCCAGAACCTTAGACCATTTGGCCGGCCCCCCATTTCTCACCTGAGGAAACTGAGACCAGAGAGGGATAGCAACTTTCTCAAGGACCCCCAGCAATTCAGAGGCAGAACCAAGTCTAGGAGCCTCTTCTCGATAGAGGTTCCCCCTGTCCCCTGAGCCTTCGTTAGTGCCTCATTAACTTCCCTGTAAGGAAACTGCCCCGCTGAGGCTGGAAATGGTGCTGTCCAGAGTGGTGTGTGCCAGTGACTGTGCTTGTGTTTGTACTTGTGAGTGTGTATGGGGGTGGGGATGAGGGGTGGGAATAAACGGCAGGGATGCTGGGGGCTGGATGCACTCCACCTCACCCCAAAAAGGGGCACAGCAGAGCCCAGCCAAGCACAGCACATGCTTCGACTTTCCAATCTGCTGAATGCCTGTGAGGCCGGCTGGGCCCAGAAGACAAGGGACAGGCCTTTCCCCATAGATGGCAGGGGGGACCCAGGATGGGTGGAAGCTTCTGCCGCAGCTTTGGGGGTCACAACCCAGCCCATGGGCTGACACTTAAGCAGAAAAGCCACCTCTAGGGGTCAGTCATAATCTAGTGATTCTGATGAGGAGGGCCCCACCAACCTCTGTCCAGGGTCTTGTCTGGGAAAAACTGCTCCCTGGCAGAAAGAGGCTAATAATTTGAGAGGAAGCCATAGCTGAAACCCTAAGCTGTGTGAGTGTGTGTCCAGTTTGAGAAAGCATATCCGACTTAAACATTTGTATTGAAAAAATGGAAACATATTCCCCTTGTTTTGGAATACAAACTGCAGAAAGCAGCAGTTAACAGAATCTTATCGGAAAGGTCAGACTCTGCATCTGGAAAGGCACAGTGATTTTCAACTGCGGTGTGTGTCCTTAACTGAGGAAGGGAAGGTGAGATTTATGTTTAGTAAAAGGCAGCTATGAATTTACCTTTTATAAAGAGCTTGCTATATACTATTAGTGCTTTTCAGTCATGTCAGAATCAGCCAGATGCCTGTGGAAATGCAAATTCCCAGGCTTCATTCCCAGAGATTCTGGTCCTGTGAGCCTAGGGTGGGGCCCAGAAATCTCTATGGGGTGGTGCAGCCTGCCCCAGGACCACACCAAGAAACACTGCAACTGGCCCACACACATCCCAGTCCACAAATATGTAGGCAGGCATCTTATCTCCACAGAACAGATAGGGAAACTGAGGTCAGAGTGGGGAAAGAAACGTCATGGGGCCACCCAGCAAGTAGTAGCAGAGCCACGATACACCCACTGCCTGCAGACACCATCTCTGATGACAGCTCCACCTCCCCACAGGAATCTTGCCTACCCCCACCCCTACCTCCTGCTGCCCCTATGGTGGGTCTCCGTCCAAGGAAGATGTATCCTAGGTCCTCTAGGCTGACTGCGGCTCAGAGGAAACCTTGGCCCAGAGTGTAGGAGCTAGAGGGGTCCTTGGAATTCACGTGGGGAATTTGAGGCCCAAAGAAGGCAGTCCTCACATTTGAACTCTGTCTGGAGAAGGGCTAGGTCTTCTTCCTGAGTGGTAGTTTTGACTTCACCAGCCTGGCCCTCAGTCAAGCTGGCTGTCCAGGCCCGCCACACCTCGGGGTGGGTGACCAGAGGCGGTGGTGCCATAAAAACACGTTTCCTGGGAGATCCACCCCCAAAGCTCAAAACATTCCAGGGCTGGTGATTTGGGCAAGCCCCCTTCCCTCTCAGCCCAGTTTCCCCATCTCTGCAACAGCCGTGCTGGTGGAGACTTCTGATACTGAGCTGCAGATTTTCTCCTGGGTGCCTACACAGCCCAGGTTGCCGGCTCCTCTGTGCCCACTCTTCAAGAAAGTCAGCTCTTAGGTAAGGAAGGTGCCTTGGCCCTATCAGGAGCAGGAGCCGGTGCACCCCCAGCTTCCCAGGCCAGTGGGGATGACCCAGGCTGCCTACAAAGCTGCTGCCCAGCCCAGAGACACCCGCCTGGGAGGGTGGCCCTGGCCCTTGCAGCGGCTCTGAGAAGAGTCGGCCCCCACTCCAAAACTGGCAGAGCCACCCATGCCTTCCCTCAGCCCAAAGAGGCTTTTAGGAAAATGAATCGTCTCAAGTTCAAACCCATGGGGTTGCTGAAAGACAAGACAGTGCAGGGTGAGCTGGTGCGAGGGAGCGCTGCTCGGTGCAGACTTTGCAGGGAGGGCACTTAGGAAAAAGGACTGGAGTCTGGGAGGGTTAACTAGCTTAGGGTTAAAGGGAGGGGATGGAGCTGGAGTGAGCTGGCCTCGTCCTCCCCCTTGGGCCTTCCAGCCTGGGCTCAGGTGATTCAAGGGAGCAAGCACCTCCCTCTCCCAGCCAGGGAGTTCTCGCCACATTCTGCAATCAGTACCATTCCCCTGGGGGCTGGGTGACAGCCCCCACCTCTGGACCTGGCTGGAACTGCTGTCTCAATTCTAGATCCAAAAGAATCTCTGGCAGCTTCTCCATCTCCCTCTCAGTCCAGCCTCACCTCTTCGCCCGTGGAGGAGCTCCAACAGCAAATCTGGCAACTGGAGGAACAAGGCAGGAAGGGCAGGGTCTGAGGAAGGAACCACCTTCAAAAGGCAGCTCTGCCACCTTCTCTCCAGGACTCTCAGGCTTGCTTTCCTATTGCTCCCTCGACATCCTTTTGCTATAATCTGCCATGTTGACGTATAGTCTTTAAAAGCAACAATGCTGTTGACGTGGAGCAGACTTCCCATTTGGGATGGTTTGGAGAAGTTAGGTTTGAGGGCATCCTCTCTTCTGCAAACTGCAGCAGTAATAGATGAGATATACAAAGTAAATAAAGGCTGGGTGCGGTGGTCGTGCCTGTAATCCCAGCACTCTGGGAGGCTGAGGCAGGAGGATCACTTGAAGCCAGGAGTTCGAGACCAGCCTGGCCAATATGGCGACACCCTGTCTCTACTAAAAATGTAAAAATTAGCTGGGCATAGTGGTGCACACCTGTAGTCCCAGCTACTCAGGAGGCTGAGGCAGGAGAATCACTTGAACCCGGGAGGCAGAGGCTGCAGTGAAATGAGATCCCGCCACTGCATTCCAGCCTGGGCGACAGAGTGAGACTCCATCTCAAAAAATAAAAATAAAAAATAAAGTAAATAAAAAAGACATGCCCAGGCTGAAAAATAAGTTAATTATCTCCATGAACGAAAAGCAGACAAGAAATGCAAAGTGGTTGGAGGCTGAAGAGCCTGGACCCTCCTGGGCTTTGGGAACCAAAGATGGTGGCAAGTCCTTTGGGATAAAGAGGGACAAAATGACTCCTAGCTAGAAGCTGGGAGCTTGGGTGTACCCCAGTACTTGAAAGGATGCTAGCTGGGCGCGGTGGCTAATGCCTGTAATACCAGCACTTTGGGAGGCCGAGGGAAAGTAACTCTTATGTCAGTGTGAAGCAAATCAGACAGGACAGGGGAACATGGAGGGGAGGAGAGCCAAACCAGGGCCTGGTTCCAGACCCACCACACCCGCCCCGTTGAGCCAGGAGCACAGGTGGCTCTCTGCACAACATCAAGAGCGAGGACATGCTTTCAGCTCCACTTTAACTCAGGTTCCTAATGTGACAGCAGGCTTGTCAATCCCACTTGCCCCCGTGTCTCACACCAGAAAACTACCAGCAGTGTGAGTAAGGACAGAAGCAGGAGACAGAGGAGCCAGGGTTGGGGAATCCCATAGCAACCCACAGGCCCTCATCACACACGGCAAGGATGCGCCTTCACTGGGCTCACCACCACCACTCGACATCACCTTCACTACATGATACCCTGCCTGGATAACACCACTGTAACACAAGAAACAGGTCTAGAATCTAGCATGTATGCTACACCTGAAGGAGCAAGAGACGGTAATACAATACAATGAAATTTTTAGTTTATTTAATATAAAATTTAGAGCCATAATCAAAATGTGTAATTCTGATGGGATTCACTACTTATAAAAACTTTGCAGCGCTCTATTTTCAAATGTAAATGGTATTCTGTGGCTCCTCGCCAGCAAGTAAATAACGATCTACTCTGAAATACGTTTCACGGCTTATTTTTGGCAAGCAGCGATTTCTCCAACTCACGTTTTCCAAGGGAAAAAAGGACGTGAAATGTCTCCAAAAGTCTCTTACGATCTTTAGATAAACTACTGTTCAACAACTGCATCTGCCAAGTCAACACATCAAGAATCCTTCACTCACAAACACTTAAGGTGAGAAAACAGTGTCTACCCATGCGGGAGAGGGACACATGATCCATGCTTATGAAGACAGCCTGGATATCGGCTACTGGAAAGCTGCGAATGCATTTTTCTTTTTCTACTTTCCAAAATTTTTGTGAGGTGATACTTATTTCTATGTTTGTGTCTATTCTTTCTATTTTGTATTTTTTAGTAGGTACATCCTTACTATAAATCTGCTGTAGAACCAATGTCCCATACAGGACCCCACGTGCCACAGGAACCAAAAAGTCACACGCAGCGAAGACGAAGACACAGGAGACAACCTGTGTGGACAGCACAGAGCCACCTGCCCAGGACACCAATGGAGCCACAGGTGCAATTCAGAATGTTCTTAGTCGTATTAATAAACATGGCCAGGTGCGGTGGCTCACGCCGGTAATCCCAACACTTTGGGAGGCTGAGGTGGGCAGATTACCTGAGTTTGGGAGTTCAAGACCATCCTGGCCAACATGGTGAAACCCCATCTCTACTAAAAATACAAAAATCAGCCAGGTATGGTGGCATGCTTCTGTTAGTCCCAGCCACTCAGGAGGTTGAGGCAGGAGAATCATTTGAACCCAGGAGGCAGAGGCTGCAGTGAGCTGAGATCGTGCTACTGCACTCCAGTCCAGGCAACAGAGTGAGGATCCATCTCCGGGTGGGGAAAAAAAATTGTTTTTAGTCACATTAACAAAAGTAAAAAAAAAAAAAAAACACACCAACAAGAAAAACAACAACACATAAAATTAATTGTACTAATGGCTGGTTGCAGTGGCTCATGCCTGTAATCCCAGCACTCTGGGAAGCCAAAGCGGGCAGATTACTTGAGGTCAGGAGTTCGAGACCAGCCTGGCCAACATGGTGAAACTCTGTCTCTACAAAAATACAAAAATCAGCCAGGCGTGGTGGTAGTCCCAGCTGCTCGGGAGTCTGTAGTCCTGTAGTCCCAGCTGCTCAGGAGGCTGAGGCAGGAGAATCACTTGAACCCAAGAGGCGGAGGTTGCAGTGAGCCAAGATTGCACCACTGCACTCCGGTCTGGTCAACAGAGTAAGATTCCATCTTAAAAAATAAAAATAATTTTAATAATGTATCATAGTTATTCCAACAGATCAAAAATATGACCATTTCAACATGAAATCAATCTAAGAAAAATTATTGAGATATTTTACATAGGTTATTTCATATTAAGTCCTCAAAAACCATCTGAGTAGCTTACATATGTAACACATTTCAATTTGGACAGTGAAATTTGCATTGAAAACATCTGATCTCCATTTAGACTCATAAAATACACAGTTGACAAAGTAGACTCCCAAGGCCAAGTGATTCTAAACATACTTAAGTGCTTTCTAATAACAGAATCAAATTTTCAAACCTGCATTTTAATGAATAAAAATTAAACAGATAAAATATTCAGTGTCTCAGCTATGACGGACAGACTTCAAGTGCTGATCAGCAAACGGTGTTGAGTGTAGCCAGATGGGCCAGCGCAGGCTACACAGCTGCAGCTCAAACAGCACAGCTGCAGGTCAAACAGGCCAGTCTCTCTGCGCACGGGAACAGTCTGGGCAAGCAGGAGACGGGGAAAACGGGCACTGCCCTCGTGAGAACAAAGGACCCACAACAGGAACCCTGCACTCACCCCCTGCCAAAGACCAACAGCCCCACGAAGCAGCCACTTCAGAAAAGGGAGAGGCATTCAAGAACTTAGAAAAGCACCTCTGGAAAATGCTCACTTTAAAACTTTGCATGTAACTGTACATTTTAATTACAAGGTTTTTAACATCCATTTTCTCATGTATTCTTAATTAACTCTGTGAAAGTAAACACAGCTTTTATTCTTACTCCTATAGTTACTGTGTTGGAAGTCCACCTATATGAACAAACTGTTGTAACTGAAATTTTCTGAGAACAAATCCCAAGCTCTTTCCATCGACACAAACTATATTGTTTAGTTCTCTTTATTTCCATTTGTTAAAGACCAGAATGTGTGAAATATGCATTATCAGATTAGAAAAACAAAACAAACATCAGAAAAAGGTTTTGCAAAATAGCATTTACTAAAATCTATGACAGAAACTAGCTCTAAAACTTCCTGTTTCAAAATTTCACTGTGTGTGCACTAAGTTAGTTTTGCTGGCTGTGGACAGCAGGCCCACCCCACGCCGCGGGCCCACCCCACGCCGCGGGCCCACCCCACGCCGCGGGCCCACCCCACGCCACAGGCCCACCCCACGCCACAGACCCACCATGGCCCCATGAACAGGCCAGCTGAGAGCTGCAGCCACTGCCCAGGGCTCCCTGGTCTGTACTCGGCTGCCTGACCCAAGCTGCCAGGGCTCTGCTTTCTCTATGTGTAGAAACAAAAACCAGGAGCATCAGTTGACGAAAAGCAGATTTTTATTGAACAGAGGTATAAATGTGTTTCATTTTCTAATAAATCTCTTTCACAAATCACCTTGCTGTTTCGCTCTTCTTGAATGATCATTTTTACACAACACTGTCTGACTGTTTTGGCTTCTGCCAAGGTTAGCGTCTGTTCACAGGCTGAGTCTGACTTCCTCCTCCCACCTCCTCCTAGTCTGGCCTTCCAAAATAATGCTCACCATTCTATCACATTGACTTCAGTTTTGAAAAGAAAAGTTATCTTACAAAGCAGTATGTACAACTCTGTAATATGTAAAGTGAGGCAATGATAGAACCAGTTTTAAAAATAACCTTCCATGATGATTTTCATTCGCACCTACCTGCTTATTAGTAAGAATCTTTTTACATGTTTACTGCACGCCCCAATTTCTCTTCTGTGAAAAACTTCTGAGTATCATCACACCCTCCAACTTCTCCTCTCACCTATATTGAGAAGGGTCTGCTCTTTATCCTAACATCTATACTAGGTAATTTTCAGAATATTCCTTCAATCATCAAACAAATTTTTGAGACCCTTGCGCTAGATTTCACTATCTTAATATGAAAACCAATAATCACCTATTAAAATACAATACAGGCCGGGAACAGTGGCTAACACCTGTAATCCCAACATTTTGAGAGGCCAAGGCAGGTGGGTCACCTGACGTCAGGAATTTGAGACCAGCCTGACCAATATGGTAAAACCCCATCTCTACTAAAAATACAAAAATCAGCCAGGTGTGGTTGCAGACGCCTGTAGTCCCAGCTACTCGGGAGGCTGAGGCAGGAGAATAGCTTGAACCCAGGAGGCGGGGGTTGCAGTGAGCCAAGATCGTGACACTGCACTCCAGCCTGGACGATAGAGCAAGACTCCATCTCAAAAAAAAAACAAAAAACAAAAAACACCATTAATAAGTAAATAAATAGGCCAGGCGTGGTGGCTAATGCCTGTAATCCCAACATTTTGGGAGGCCAAAGTGGATGGACCACCTGAGGTCGGGAGTTCAAGACCGGCCTGACCAACATGAAGAAACCCTGTCTCTAATAAAACTACAAAATTAGTGGGGCATGGTGGCGCATGCCTGTAATCCCAGCTGCTCGAGAGGCTGAGGCAGAGGAATTACTTGAACCTGGGAGGCGGAGGTTGCAGTGAGTCAAGATCGCACCACTGCACTCCGGCCTGGGCAACAAGAGCGAAACTCTGTCTCAAAAAAAAAAAAGTAAATAAATAAAACACAATACAATACAGCTAATATGATTTACCTAAGAAGCTGTTGTATGAGCTGAACCAGAGGCAAACACTGTTTGCCAGAAGACTCACAGATCCCCGTATTAATAAGGTCTTTATCCAATGGAGTCCTCCTTCTATGAAATGTTGAGGCATTTGCTTCCTGTTCATAAATTTCTTTTTCCTTCCGTGCTTCTTTTTTTGTATCCTGTAATTGACAAACAGAAATTGTTTACAAGTGATCTCATTACCAGGTGTGAAGGCACACAGGCTGGCTGAGCCCTGACCCCAGTGCCAAGCTATCCCAGCCTCTGTGGCTGCCACACCCATCCACCCACAGGCCCCCCACCTGCCCTGTTGGAAACCCCAACTCATTTGTGCAGTTTCAAACAGTGTCTTCTTTTTACAGATCCAAGGTCCAGGCTGCCTCTGCTGATGCTCTCCAGCCTCCTTCTGTGAAGTCCCTAAAATCCTTAACCCTGCTAATGGCTCACACAAAACCCAATGTGATCGGCTCCACACACGCAGCATCCAGCTGCTCTGTAAGGACAAGAAGGAGCTAGAATTCTCACACACAAAAGTCCTGGTTCAAATGCAAATGGCAAAGCCACTTTGGGAAACTATGAACACACACTTACCCCAGGACCTAACAAATTCCACTCCAAGTGTTTATCCAAAGGGAGAACATATGTTCACTAAAGTACTTGTTCACAGCACAATTGTGGCAGCTCTACACGGCCAAAAACCAGAAAGCCTGGGCGCGGTGGCTCACGCTTGTAATCCCAACACTTTGGGAGGCCAAGGTGGGGGGATCACTGGAGCCCAGGAGTTGAAGACCAGCCTTGCAACACAGTGAAACCTTGTCTCTACAAAAAAATCAAAAAACTAGCCGGGCATGGTGATATGTATGTGGTCCCTGCAACACAGGAGGCTGAGGTGGGAGGATCATTTGAGCCTAGGAGGACAAGGCTGCAGTGAGCCAACCTCAGGTCACTGTATACAGCCTGGGTGACAGAGCAAGACCCTGTCTCAAAAAAAAAAAAAAAAAAAGAAAACAAAAACCAAAAACAATTACATGTCCTTCAATAGGAGAATGAACTAACAAACAGTACTACACCTATAAAATGGAAAACTTCCCAATAATAAAAACGAAGTCGCAATACACACAACAGTGAGTGAATCTGAAAATCATTCTCCAAGGCAAAGCAGGAAAGAGTGCATACTATACAGTTATATTGCTGCGACACTCAGAGCAGGAAAAATGAATCTAATCTCAGGGCAGGGGAGTATCCTGGCTGCAAGTGCCAAGGAGCACAGGGATCTTTCCGGGTGACGGGAATGGTCTACATGAGGAACAGGTTACCTGTTAACTTCACTGAAACAGACAACATGCAGTATTTTATCACAAATCATCTCAATAATTTTTAAAATTAGCACATAAAAGAATTTTAATTTAAAAAAATACTTGGATATAAGTTTAGTGTTTTACTGTTTTCAGTTATTCTTCACATGTGTGAGTGTGGTATTTCCGATCTCAGCCCACCACCAGGTCACGTGTGCCTCCAAGGCCATACCTGGATCTCTGCAGTAATGGCTGCGTGTAAGGCTGACTCCAACCCTCCATCAGCCATCAAGCTGCCCACCAGAAGATCAATCACCAATCGATGACCTGGACTTATGTTCACTTCATTGCCTGAAACTGAAATAGAAAGTCTGTGCCAATTTGAGTGAAACGCCATCCCCTCCCAGCACCCTGACCCATGCCCTCTCCTGTTCCTTCCCCGAGCCCACCTCCACAGGACAGGAGAGCAGAGTGCCCGGGCCTGCTTCTCAGCGGTGGGCAACAGCATGGACCAGCCGCTCTGCAGCATGGCCTGGGAGGCCGACTGCACGGTGCTCAGCACGTCTGCGCTGCTTGCCAGGGTCACCACCTTCTGCTTCAGGCTGTTCAGGAAGACGCTGCCCAGACCTAAACCAAGGAATTCCAGGTCAACCTGGTGACTAATGGCAGCATGCAACTGAAAGGAGAAAAACAATTTTCACTTAGAACCCCTAAAAATGAGTGAATTTCAAAGTCTTATTAAACACTGAATAAAAGTCAATTTGAAGTATTATTTAAATAGACAAAATAACTTCTCAGTTTACGTATTTTTAAAAACTGGACTAAAAAAACTCTTACCCACAATAGTTGAAATATTTTCTAGAGGAATTTTTTTTAACCCCGCTATGAACACATATATGGAAAAGCTCAAGATGAGCAGAAGAGCTAAACAACTAGCAACAGCAACCTCCACCCCGCCCCAACAATCTGCACCAAACACAGAAATAATGGCTACAATGTAACCACAAAAGCTGCCACAGGCGGTGGCTCATGCCTGTCATCCCAGCACTTTGGGAGGCCGACGTGGAAAGCTCACTTGAGATCAGGAGTTCAAGATCAGCCTGGCCAACATGATGAAACCCCATCTCTATAAAAAAATCAGCCGGGTGTGATGGTACACACCTGTAGTCCCAGCTACTTGGGAGGCTGAGGCAGGAGAATCACTGGAACCTGGCAGGCCAAGACTGTACCACTGCATTCCAGCCTGGGTGACAAAGTGACACCCTGTCTAAAAAAAAAAAAGAGCTGCTAAAAATTAGACTGCGGAGCTGAGAGTACACAGGGAAACTCCTCAAGTGCAAAACCAAAATTCACATGGGCACACACAGCAGGAGTCAAGAGGTTCCGGGCTCTGAAAGCAGAGCCAAGCCGCCAGGCTTCAGCACAACCTCCCACACGGGAATGCACACAAGGACCCACTGAACCCGAGCTTCCTGCAGAAGGCTGGGAGCCACTCAGGATCACCTGCCTGCCAGCCAACCGCAGCCAGGGGGCAACACACTGCCCGTCCCAGGCTCTGGGTAGCAAGAGGCCCCATGAGAAATCAGAGACCCGGCCTTGCCCTGTGAGTAGAAGTGAAATCAAAAGCACACCACTCATCTAGGTATAGATATCACAGGTCAGGAAATGACCACCGAAACTCACCTGGAGTCTGTGAAACCTACAGAACCCTCAGGACCCCGGAGAGGCAAATGCAAAACCATACGCTGGGACACCTCGACAGCCTAAGACATACGCAAGGCCACGCCCCACAGCACTGACCAGAACAGACACATCACCGCAAACCAGGAGGGGCAGCAAACACCTGGGGCGCAACCACGCAAACGCCAGGATGCCACAGGTATGGTGATAAATGAGTGCTACAGAGGACTAGAGGAGAAGCATGCTCCAGACCTCTGCTCAGTTCATTACTGCAACTAAACACTACACTCAGTTCTGTACATTCTAGAAGCAGGGCAAAAAGGGGAGGGGCTGGAAGAGGGACATGACGGGTTGTTACAAGAAACCACTGTAATAAAAGGGAAAAATTACTATGTCGAGAAAACCGTGGTTCTTGTCATTAAGTTAGAGGGTTTTATTACAAAGACAAAAGATGATGATCAAACACTTCAGCTTTAGTTTTGCTAGGGAGGAAGGCTTTTGTAGCTTTTATTGTGACCCTAACCACAGCCTTCATGGTGAGGAAAGGAAGGTATTGCTTTGGGAGCCGAGCTTACTGAGTAGATCAAGCTTGTTCAACCCACGGCCCGAGGGCAGCATGTGGCCCAGGGCAGCTTTGAATGTGGCCCAAAGTAAAATTTCTTAAAACATCATGAGATATTTTTGGGATTTTTTTTTTAAGCTCATCAGCTATCATAAGTGTATTTTATGTGTAGCCCAAGACAATTCTTCTTCCAGTGTGGCCCAGGGAAACCAAAAGACTGGACCCTCCTGGAGCAGGGTTTTCACAGGACAGAGGAGAGACAGGCCAGCACTGGTCTCTCAGCTGAGCTCTGTCTCTCTCCATCACCTGTGATCTCACCCAGTCATTTCTCCACACGCAACAACAGTAAAACAGTAAGAATACCAACAAACTAATGATTATAGCAAAAATAACACAATCCATATACACTCTTCCTGCATGCCGAGGCTGACTTCCAGGACAAACATAAAATAAACAGATCAAGTTTTTTAAGCCTTGCGTCCATTATTAGTGCATTACAATCTTACTTTAAAATACTTCCCCCAACAGGCTAAAACCTATGTCCTTCAGAATACATAAACCTTCTTACAAATCGCTAAGACACTTATAAAAGGAGCAAGAGGAAGGGAAATCACGAATACCTGAAGTCGGGGAAGATTCAGCGTTGCCACGGCCACGCACTCTTTCTCCTGGGGCGGGGGCCAGTCCGCGGAGCCATCCATCCCCTCACTCACCTGCCGAAGCAGGAGATCCAGCTGCTCAAAAGTCACTGAGCAAATATCCACCCCAAAAGGGACATGGAGGCCAATGGACCACTCAGAACACGATGACCAAGCAATGCTCTAAGAGGAAACGCAACAATCGGAAATGAATCTCCAAATGCAGCTCTTGGTCTGTCGCACAGGAGTCACCAGCTTGTGTGATGGAGCTGCCTTATATTATTACCTATCATCCCTCTAACTGCCCAGTGGAAAAGCATTCATGGGTGTCTAGCTCACACACTATCAGCTTCCAATTCTCCCACCCATTTCACTAGCCCCATCTCACTTGGCCATACCTAAAAGAGTAAAAACATTTTAAAAAATCTTTTCACTCTCAAAATGATTAATGCACATTAATGGATGGCAGTGAGGCTCTCCATCCACTTGAAGTGGTATAATAGCAACTCTAACTAGACAATGAATTGTTAGACACATATAACACACACAATACCTTTCATAGTGAGAGAACAAGTAATCGGCAAAAATCTAGGAGAACTGTAGAACACCTTCAATAAACTGGATCTAATTTATAGAACACTTCACCCAACAACAGCAAAATACATATACTTTTTTTTTTTTTTTTGAGACAGAGTCTCGCTCTGTCGCCCAGGCTAGAGTGCAGTGGCGGGATCTCAGCCCACTGCAAGCTCTGCCTCCTGGGTTCACACCATTCTCCTACCTCAGCCTCCTGAGTAGCTGGGACTACAGGTGCTCACCACCACGCCTGGCTAATTATTATTATTTTTTTAATTTTTATTTTTAGTAGAGATGGGGTTTCACCATGTCAGCCAGGATGGTCTTGATCTCCTGACCTCGTGATCCACCTGCCTTGGCCTCCCAAAGTGCTGGGATTACAGGCGTGAGCCACCGTGCCCGGCCATACATACACTTTACATATACTTTTTTTAAATTTTATTTTTTTTGAGATGGAGTCTAGCTCTGTCGCCCAGGCTGGAGTGCAGTCGCACGATCTCAGTTCACTGCAAGCTCTGCTTCCCAGGCTCAAGCCAGTCTCCTGCCTCAGCCTCCCAAGTAGCTGGGACTACAGGCGCCCGCCATCATGCCCGGGTAATTTTTTTTGTATTTTTAGTAGAGACGGAGTTTCACCCTGTTAGCCAGGATGGTCTCGATCTCCTGACCTTGTGATCTGCCTGCCTTGGCCTCCCAAAGTGCTGGACCATACATATACTTTTTAAGCACATACAGACCATACATATACTTTTTACACATATATGTATACATATATGTATATACAGACCATACATATACAGACCATACATATACTTTTTAAGCACATACAGAATGTTCACTGAGAACATAACCTGACACATAAATCTTAACAAATTTAAAAGAAATGAAATCATATGCAGTTTGTTCTCCAATCACAATGGTATTAAACTAGAAATCATTAACAAAACAATCTGCAAACACTTCAAAATAAAACAACATACTTAATAATCCATGGGTCAGGCCGGGCGCACTGGCTCACGCGTGTAATCCCAACACTGTGGGAGGCCAAGTTGGGGGGATCACCTGAGGCCAGGAGTTGAAGATCAGCCTGGCCAACATGGAGAAACCCCATCTCTACTGAAAATACAAAACAATTAGCCGGGCATGGTGGCGGGTGCCCGTAGTCCCAGCTAATCAGGAGGCTGAGGCAGGAGAATCGCTTGAACCCAGGAGACAGAGGTTGCAGTGAGCCGAGATCATGTCATTGCACTCCAGCCTGGGCAACAACAGTGAAACTCCGTATTGAAGAAAAATAATAATAATAATCATCATCATCATCATCCATGGGTCAAAGAACAATTCTCAAAAGAAATTAGAAAATATTTTGAACATAAATGAAAATGCACCAAAATTTGTGGGTTTAATTAAAGCACTGCTTAGAGGAAAATTTATAGCATCAAATCATTATATATTACAAAAAAGATAGGTCTAAATCAGCAATCTAAGTTTCCACCTTAAGAAACCAGAAAAAGAGCAAAGTGAACGCAAAACAAGCCAAAGGAACAAATGCCAAGATAAAAGCAGAAACTAATGAGATTGAAAGCAAAAAAAGAAGGGAAAAATTAATGAAACTTAAAGATCATTCTTTGAAAAGATCAACAAAATTGAAAAACTCTAGGAAAACTGACAAAGAAAAAAACAGAAAAGATACAAATTATCAGTATCAGGAATGAATGAAGGGACATCACTGCAGGCCCCACAGACTTCAGACGGTTAGCAAGAGAACACTAAGGAAAACTTGACACTTAAAAATCAGACAACTTAGATGAAATAAAGCAATGTCCGAGTGCCACAAACCAGGAAAATCCTCCTAGAAACAAACAGGTTACCTGAATAGTTCTGTATCTGTTAAATAAATTGAATTTGTAAAAATTTTTTTTTTTTTTTTGAGCCGGAGTCTCACTCTGTCACCCAGGCTGGAGTGCATTGGTGCAATCTCAGCTCTCTGCAATCTCTGCCTCCCAGATTCAAGTGATTCTCCTGCCTTAGCCTCCTGAGTAGCTGGGATTACAGGCGCACGCCACCAAGCTCGACTAATTTTTTGTATTTTTAGTAGAAACGGGGTTTCACCATGTTAGCCAGGCTGGTCTCAAACTCCTGACCTCAGGTGATCCACCTGCCTCAGCCTCCCAACGTGCTGGGATTATAGGCACGAGCCACCGTGCCCGGCGTAAAATCTTTTAGAAAGAAATCTCCAGGTTCAGATGGATTCAAAAACATTTAAAGAAGAAATAACACTAATTCTACACAATCCCTTAGAGAAAATGGAAAAGGAGGGAACACATGCCAATACTTTGTATAAGGTCAGCTTTCCCCTGACAGAAAGCCAGACGAGATAGTATAATACAAAGAAAGAAAACTGCAAACCAACATCCCTGATGAGCATCAACAGAAAAATCCTCAAAAACGTGTTAGCAAGTCAAATTTAGCAATATAGAAACAGAATAGGGCCGGGCGCAGTGGCTCACGCCTGTAATCATAGGAATATTGGGATGCCAAGGAGGGTGGATCACTTGAGGTCAGGAGTTGGAGACCAGGCTGGCCAACATGGTGAAACCCCATCTCTACTAAAAACAAACAACAAACAAACAAAATTAGCCAGGTGTGGTGGTGCACACCTCTAATCCCAGCTACTCAGGAAGCTGAGGCAGGAGAATTGCTTGAACCCAGGAGGCAGAGGTTGCAGAGAGCTGAGATTGCACCAATGCACTCCAGCCTGGGTGACAGAGTGAGATTCTGTCTCAAAAAAAAAAAAAAAAAAAAGAAAGAGAGTAGTAAATCGTGGCCAAGTGATGCCTATCCCAGTAACACAAGGCTTGGTCAGTATTTAAAAATCAGGCTGGTATAGTGTCTCACACCTGTAATCCCAGCACTTTGGGAGCTCACTGCAACCTCAAACTCTTAAGCTCAAGCAATCCTCCTGCCTCAGCCTCCTGAGTAGCTGAGACTACAGGTGCACACCAGCATGCCACGCTAATTTTTAATTTTTTTGTAGAGATGGGATCTCTCTGTGTTGCCCAAGCTGGTCTCTAACTCCTGGGCTCAAGTGACCCTCTCGCCTATGCCTCCCGAAGTGCTGGTGTGAGCTGTTGCACCCAGCCAAAATACGGCAGATTTGTAGTACCCCAGAAGGCTCCTTCCTGACCTACACTTTCCCACAAAGGAAACTACCCTTCTGACTTCAATCATCGTCAGTTCTGCCTTCCTGCGCTTCATCTAGGTGGGCTGGTACTGTGCACTGTCTCTCATACCTGGCTCCCTCTATTCACCCATGTCGTTGAGTGTTCCTACCACTTCATTTTTCTTTTTTGGCTGTGTAGTATTCCATGATGTGACTGTATCACCATTTATTCACTCTCCTGTTGATGGACATTTAGGTTGTTTTCATTTGGGGCTCTTATGAATAAAAATGGCAGTGAACATTCTTATATAAGTCTTTTTGTGGACATATGCACTCGTTTCTCTTGTGTACATGCTTAGGATGGAATTTCTGAAGGTAGGCATAGATATAGCTTTAGTAGAAGCTGCCAAACAGGTTTCCAATGTGCTTATACAATTTTATGCTACTGCCAGCTTGACAGTTCTTGTAGCTCTACATCTTTACCAATACTCTGTATAACACAGCATTTAACTTTAAATAGAGATAAAACGATGGTAAGATCCAAAGAAGTGTGCATGTTCCTGAAGAACATCCCGTAAAGGGCCTATTTTATTCATCTGTTTCGGGCACTGAAAACCACTGCATGGCTGGATGAGGAAGGAGGCCTGGTACAACTCCCAAGAAGGCATGTGTCCCTCGGGTGGGCTTTGTTTCCCAGAAACTCTGGGGAAGGGGTGGAGAGGCACCTTCTGGGCCAGCTGGTCTCCTCTGGCTTTTCTTGTACCCTAGGGCTCCCTCCAAAGAGACAGAGAACAGCCTGGCCGGGGAGCAGTATCTCCTACTGCGCTTGCTGTGAGCCAGCCACTCTGCCTTCTTTCAGGAATTACAAAATCCACAGGTCCCCGGCATTCTTATTTATGTATTTATTCATTTATGAGGCATGGTTTTCCTCAGCTCTGTTGGATGGGTCTCTGTGAAGGGAGCTTGGTGGGGGCGAGTGGCCGCTCCCTGGAGGAGGCAGGCCCCTGGTCAGGATCTTTGGGGCTCCAGGTCTCATAAGTGGGGGGCCAGGCTCCCTAGAGAAACCCTTCTTGGCTAGGGCTGGGGAGCCCACCAGAGTGACCCAATCAGTTCTCAGGGCCTGTGATGGGGCCAAGTGGTTTTGAGAAGCCAGTGTTCAGCTCCATCCTAAAGAGCACTCATGCACGTTGAGGAGGAGGGCCGGGGTGCACAGCTCTGACCTGAGTCAGACCCACCTCAGGACTTAGCCCAGCAGGAGGCCCAGAGTCACTGACCATAAAACGAGCAGATGCCTCCCCCGTGCTGATGGAGATGAGTCTTGGGCATCAACTCTAATAATTTCTAACTGCACCCAGAAATACTGATTCACACAGCAACTAGTGAATAATAGCCTTTTAGAGCTAAAAAAGCCTCATATATTATAAATTAACATATGCATTTTACACAAACTAGAGGCACCGTGGTGGGCCAGCAGCAGCCTGTTCAGGGGCCACAACAAGGGAGATTGGATTTCCTTAAGTGCAATGGGAGTTACTGGCAAGGCTTTAAGGTTTTAGCCACAGGAAAGATGAAAGTATTTTAGAGCAATGTGGGTGGATTCAAAGTGAGGTTTTGAACTAGATCAGTTTTTTTTTTTTTTTTTTTTAGACAGAGTCTGACTCTTATTGCCCAGGCTGGAGTGCAGTGGTGCTATCTTGGCTCACTGCAACCTCTGCCACCCAGGTTCAAGCAATTCTCCTGCCTCAGCCTCCTGAATAGCTGGGATTACAGGCACCTGCCACCAAGCCCGGCAAATTTTTGTATTTTTAGTAGAGACGGGGTTTCACCATCTTGGCCAGGCAGTTCTTGAACTCCTGACCTCGTGATCCACCTGCCTTGGCATCCCAAAGTATTAATTTTTTTTTTTTTTTTTGAGACGAAGTCTTGCTGTGTCGCCCAGGCTGGAGTGCAGTGGCCCGATGTCGGCTCACTGCAAGCTCCGCCTCCCAGGTTCACGCCAGTCTCCTGACTCAGCCTCCCGAGTAGCTGGGACTACAGGCGCCCGCCACGATGCCCAGCTAATTTTTTGTATTTTTTTTTAGTAGAGATGGGGTTTCACCGTGTTAGCCAGGGTGGTCTCAATCTCCTGACTTCCTGATCTGTCCGCCTTGGCCTCCCAAAGTGCTGGGATTACAGGGGTAAGCCACCACGCCCCTCCAAGTATTAAATTTTTTATTTAAAAAATCTCCCCTCTCCAAAGATCTCCCAGCATTTCTGCAGAGGTCTCTACCTAGGTAAGGAGAAGAAACTATTCTTGGCCGGGTACAGTGGCTCACGCCTGTAATACCAGCACTTTGGAAAGCCAAGGTTGGAGGATTCCTTGATCCCAGAAGTTCGAGACCAGCCTGGCCAACATGGTGAAACCCCATCTTTACCAAAAATACAAAAATTAGGTGGGTGTGGTGGAGTGTGCCTGTAGTCCCAGCTACTCAGGAGGCTGAGGTAGAAGGATCGCTTGGGCCTGGGAGGTCAAGGCTGCAGTGAACCAAGGTGGTGCCACTGCACTCCAGCCTGGGTAACAGAGTGAGATCCTGTCTCAAAAAAAAAAAATTATTTGTGAGGGTGAAATTTAAATACCTTTGTGCATAGCTATCAGTTATTCTTTGTTTTAATATTTAGTTTATTGTGAAATATAACACATATAGAAACATACATAAAACAACACACAGGGCCAGGCCCGGTGGGTCACGCCTTGTAATCCCAGCACTTTGGGAGGCCGAGGCGGGCGGATTACTTGAGGTGAGGAGTTTGAGACCAGCCTGGCCAACATGGTGAAACCCCATCTCTACTAAAAATACAAAAATTAGTCGGATGTGGTGGTGCATGCCTGTAATCCCAGCTACTTGGGAGGCTGAGGCAGGAGAATCGCTTGAACCTGGGAGGCAGAAGTTACAGTGAACCAAGATCGCGCTACTGCACTCCAGCCTGGGCAACGGAGTCAGACTGTGTCTAAAAAAAAAGAAAAAAAATATAGGCTGGGTGTGGTGGCTCACGCCTGTAATCCCAGCACTTTGGGAGGCCGAGGCGGGCAGATCCCTTGAGGTCAGGAGTTCGAGACCAGCCTGACCAACATGGAGAAACCCCATCCCTACTAAAAGTACAAAATTAGCCGGGCATGGTGTTGCATGACTGAAATCCCAGCTACTTTGGAGGCTGAGGCAGGAGAATCGCTTGAATCTGGGAGGTAGAGGTTGTTTTGAGCTGAGATCACGCCATTGTACTCCAGCCTGGGCAACAAGAGCGAAACTCCGTCTCAAACAAACAAAAAACAAAACAAAAACAAAAAACACAGTGTAACATGTTATTATAAAGTCACTGCTCAGGGACCAACTTGGCCGCTCCTGTGCCTCTAGAGGGAAGCTCCTTCCCACTGTTCTTTAGAGTTTTATATGTTAAGTACAGGAGTCAACAAACTAGGCCTATGCACCACATCTGGCACCCAGCCTTTATTTATTTTTTGAGATGGCGTCTCACTCTGTCACCCTGGCTGCAGTGTGGTAGCACAATCTCGGCTCACTGCAAACTCCACCTCCCAGATTCAAGCAATTCTCCTGCCTCAGCCTCCTGAGTAGCTGGGATTACAGGTGTGTGCCACCACACCCGGCTAATTTTTATATTTTTGGTAGAGACGGGGTTTCACCATGTTGGTCAGTCTGGTCTCGAACTCCTGACGTCAGGTGATCCGCCTGCCTTGCCCTCTCAAAGTGCTGGGATTACAGGCATGAGGCATGATGCCTGACCCAGCCTTTTTTAAAATGAAGGTTTCGGCTGGCGCGGTGGCTCATGTCTGTAGTCCCAGCATTTTGGGAGGCCAAGGCAGGTGGATCACCTGAGGTCAGTAGTTGGAGACCACCCTGGCCAACATGGTGAAACCCCGTCTGTACCAAAATACAAAAATTAGCTGGGCGTGATGGCAGGCACATGTAATGCCAGCTACTCGGGAGCCTGAGGCACGACAATCACTTGAACCCGGGAGGCGGAGGTTGCAGTGAGCCAAGATCACACGATTGCACTCCAGCCTGGGCAACGAGCGAAACTCCATCTCAAAATACAATAATAAAAAAAAGGATGTCCTTTTTTGTCTCTCAACCCCGTTTTTTATTTTTTTTTATTTTCAGACAGGGTCTCGCTCTGTTGCCCAGGGTGGAGTGCAGGGGCCCGATCTTAGCTCACTGCGGCCTCAACTTCCCCAGCTCACATGATCCTCCCACCTCAGCCTCCCAAATAGCTGGGACCACAGGTGGGTACCACCATGCCCGCCTAATTTTTGTATTTTTTGTAGAGATGGGATTATGCCATGTTGCTCAGGCTGATCTCGAACTTCTGGGCTCAAGTGTCTCTCTGCCTCCACCTCCCAAAGTGCTGGGATTGCAGGCCTGAGCTACCATGCCCAGCCCTGCTTTAATTTAAAGTGTATTACATTTGATATTAGTACAGCCCCTTCAGCTCTTTTTTGGTTACTATTTTAATTGTATCTTTGTATCCCTTTACTTTCAATCTGTTTCTGTATTTAAAATGTTTATCTTGTAGATAGCACATTGGTGGATCATATTTTGTTCTTCAATCCTTTCAGCCAGTCTGCTTTTCTTTCTTTCTTTTTGAGACAGAGTTTTCCTTTTGTCACCCAGGCTGGAGCGCTATGGTGCGATCTCAGCTCACTGCAACCTCTGCCTCCTGGGTTCAAGCGATTCTCCAGCCTCAGCCTCCTGAGTAGCTGGGATTACAGGTGCGTGCCACCAGGCCTGACTAATTTTTGTATTTTTAGTAGAGACAGGGGTTTCTTCATGTCGGTCAGGCTGGTCTTGAACTCCTCACCTCAGGTGATCCACCGCCTCAGCCTCCCAAAGTGCAGGCATTACACGCGTAAACCACTGCGCCCGGCCAAAGTGGTGGATTTTTTTTCTCAGAAAATCTATTCCATTCTTTTTCCAGAAACCAAATTTGTACAAGTTAACTAAAATAAATATTTATACTCTAATTTTTTTGTTCTGAGGTCTGAGTTTTTAGAATTTTATCTTTACATGTTTAGAAAAATTAGAAAATATAGATAGAACATAACCAAGAAAATAATAACAACTTTCCTTCTGTTCAAAGTTCATTACTATTAGCCGAGTGCAGTGACTCACACCTGTAATCCTAGCACTTTGGGAGACTGAGGCGGGCGGATCACTTGAGCCCAGGAGTTCGAGACCAGCCTGGGCAACATGGCAAAATCCCGTCTACAAAAACTACAAAAATTAGCCAGGTGTGGTTCCATGTGCCTGCAGTCCCAGCTAGTGGCAAGGCTGAGGTGGAGAACCACCTGAACCCGGTAAGTCAAGGCTGCAGTGGTGCAGCCTCTGTCCCCCAGGCTGGAGTGCAGTGGTGCAATGTCGGCTCACTGCAACCTCCGCCTCCCGGGTTCAAGCGATTCTCCTGCCTCGGCCTCCCGAGTAGCTGGGATTACAGTCACGTGCCACCACACCTGGCTAATCTTTGTATTTTCAGTAGAGAAGGGGTCTCATCATGTTGGCCAGGCTGGTTTTGAACTCCTGACCTCAGATGATCCACCTGCTCTGGCCTCCCAAAGTGCTGGGATTACAGGCCTGAGCCACCACGCCCGGCCGTTATTTTTCTTTCTTAGAGGCAGGATCTCACTCTGTCGCCCAGGCTGGAGTGCAGTGGCACGATCTAAGCTCACTGTAGCATTGATCTCCCAGGCTCAGGCGATTCTCCTGTCTCAGCCTCCCGAGCAGCTGGGATCACAGGTGTGTGCCACCACACCTGGCTAATTGTTAAATTTTTTTATTTTTATTTTTTAGAGATGGGGTCTTGCTATGTTGCCCAGTCTGGCAACATGGGATCCTCCAACTCCTGGCTTCGAGGGATCCTCCCGCTTCGGCCTCCCAAAGCGCTGAGAATTACATACGTGAGCCACCACGCCCGGCCTATATTGTTTTATAGTTCTTCAATTTTGTTTTGTGGTCGCTGGAGGTGTTTCCTTCTTCGATTCCCTGCACAGTGCTTCCACAGCTGCTCCATGGAATCTGCCCAAGACTTTTGCTGCGTTCAGTTGAACACACAGGAGGAAGCTCTTCAGGCCCCAGCCAGCCGACCGCACAAAGATGCGTTCTCATACCCAGGGGAGCTGGTCTCGCCACTCGACCCGCGCCCTGGATAGCTATAGTTAGTGTGAGCGCCACCACCCGCCGCGGCGTGATCAAGAGCGCTCCGAGCCAAGCAGTCTCCCGTGGGAGTGCGGGAGTGCGTGCGTGTGGCGGAAATCCCGCCTTCCGGCGCCCGCTGTTGGCCTTGGCCGCAGCCAGGGCGCTCCAAGTAGGAAGATAAGCGGGATTGCTGGAAGCGGGAGAGTCGGGAGGAGCGGCGAAGGGCTCCTCTTCCCCATTGGCTGCGCCCACGGAGCAGCCTCGTTGCGATTGGCCGTACGCGGGGGGCGGCAGTCCCGCGTCGGCCCGCCCCTCGGGCCGCGAGAGGCGCCGGGATCGCGGGCGCCGGCTGAGCCAGCGGCTCTTGGGAGGCTGCGTCCGCGCGCCGGCGAGGCGAGGCGGCCGGGCCCTGCGCGTCAGGTCCTGGCCTGGGGCACCTGGGCGGCCGGTGGCGGGGGCGGTACGGGCGCGGGGCTGGCGGGCGGCCGAGCCCGGGAGGCGGGCGTGGGCGCGGCGGCCGCACCGGGGCCTGCGCGGACCACCCGCGGGGCAGCCTCGGGCCTCTCTCCATCTCTTAAGTGGTGGTGGCTGTGGGTTTTTCTGCAGGCGATCCTTTTGAGTAATTTTTTGTTTCACGCACGCGCCCTGCTGTGGGGTAAAGCGGCAGATTCATGCTGCTGTCATTTGTCGTTAAAACGATGGGCTCCCTGTTATGTGTGTGTACTTCTTGGATTTGAGGGCAGGGGGATGACATTGTGACTTGGCTTCCTGTGACCGTCCATTCTCAAGGTCTCGTCAGCGTGGTGCAGAAACTCGGCACACCCTGCTTACCTTGGAAGGAGGCTTTCCCTTCCCCACCTCCCTCTCCCTCCATCTCTTCCCTCTTTCCCTCTCTCCCCTTCTCTCCCCTCCACCAGCTCTTCTCTCCCCCCTTTCTGTTCTCTCTCTCTTTTTTCTTTTCTGGCTTTCGGGAGTGTCTTTGTAAACTATTAAAAAGCGTTAGGTCTTCAGCGTATGTGTTTACTTGCAGGCCTGAGACCTGGGAGGAAGCTGGAGAAAAGATGCCCTCTGAATCTTTCTGTTTGGCTGCCCAGGCTCGCCTCGACTCCAAATGGTTGAAAACAGATATACAGGTGGGGTTTGACATGTCTTTTTCTTGGTGTGTTTCTGCTTCCATGTTTAAATTTCTCGTGTAAGGCTTTTTTTTAGGGTATGTAAGGGGAAGTCAGTTGTATCTTGCTGAATTAGAGGAGCAGGTTTATTTCCTGTAACTTAAAATGTAACAGTCTTTATGGCTGTTTTTGTAGATCGTGCGCGGCTGCCTTTTAATTAGTTTCTTGCAAGTGCACGAAACTTGAGATCTATTAATAGGCAAAATTTTTTTCCTATTTATTATTACTGGTTAAGAAATCTGCCACACTCCTAACCATATCATGGTGACTGTTGTTTGTTACTGATCGTTTTTGAGCTGTTGAGTTAACTGTGGAGGGGAAAATTGGAGAAGTAAGTTGCAGTAATTATGGCCTATAGAAACTCACTCATTTTATGAGGTCTTGTGTTTGTGTTTCTGGAGAGACAAGAGTTAGTTCAGTTGAGCTGTTTGTTTTGTCTTTGTAACTCCTTATTAAGAGGAGTGCTCAGATTTTCACATCAAGAATGTGAGGAAACAATGTTGGCCTTAGATCCTAATTTTTTGATTTAATGAGATAACTGCAAGCTTGTCAGGACATTATTAAATAAATAATAACTAATATTTCGATAGACAATTATTTACACCCAATCTACTTTTATTTGGAAATGGCTTGGAAAAACTACTTTTGGAACTCCTTATCAGCAGCAAAAAGAAGTGTTTGAAATATTTTGTGTGTGTCTGTATTTTCCTACTCCCTAAGGTTAACCATTTTAAGTATTAAGTAATGTGCCTTGACTGTTCATCAAAAGTCGTGTAGGCTGTTAAGCAGTAGTTGATCATGGATACTTACACTGAAGTGTTATTGCCCCTTCCTAATTTTTTTTTTCTTTTTAAACAGGTATTGAGTGTTGGTAGATATGAGAGTCCAGTGTTTAGAGCTGTGTTGCGTGGCCGGGCGCAGTGGCTCACGCCTGTAATCCCGGCAGTTTGGGAGGCCGAGGCGGGTGGATGCCCTGAGGTCAGGAGTTGGAGACCAGCCTGACCAACATGGTGAAACCCCGTCTCTACTAAAAATACAAAATTAGCCAGGCGTGGTGGTGTATGCCTGTAATCCCAGCCACTCGGGAGGCTGAGGCAGGAGAATCGCTTGAACCCGGGAGGTGGAGGTTGCAATGGGTCAAGATCATGCCATTGCACTCCAGCCTGGACAATGAGAGCAAAACTGTTTCAAAAAAAAAAAAGCTGTTGTGGATGATGGGATTGTTATTCATAGTGTAATGTTACATAAGACAGAGTACAGAGAATTGGGTCAAGAATTGGTGTAGTTACTCTTTGGGTTTGTTTCTCTTTAAACATTTCCTTTGATTTAGCTATAATGATCTGTTTTGTCATTTTAAGTGGATGGGAGAGGTGAGAGATGAGTACTTTCATATTTCTGAAATCCTGAGATTCAGGCAAAGTTTTAATAATTGTTTTATATTAGTGTTTATGTATTTTGAGAAACTTTTTGGAGTAAAGGACTTTACGTAATAAAGTGTTTTTCTTAATAATTGTAATTTAATAACTGCTAAACATGAGTTCTAGTGTCTTGATCTAAAACCAGTTTAATGCTGAATTGAGTTCCTATGATGGGTTGGGCAGATAAACATACAGTGAAGCACCATTTATATCTTAGAGGGCCTGTTGTTTTGATTTATTAAGTTTAATACACAGTACTTGGTCCTTGTTACACATTTCCAATATGATTAGAAAGTCTTTTTTTTTTTTTTTTTTTTTTTGAGACGCAGTCTTGCTCTGTCGCCCAGGCTGGCGTGCAGTGGCGCAATCTTGGCTCACTGCAACTTCCGCCTCCCGAATGCAAGTGATTCTCCCGCCTCAGCCTTCCGAGTAGCTGGGATTACAAGTGTGTGCCACCATGCATGCCCGACTAATTTTTGTATTTTTAGTAGAGATGGGGTTTCACTGTGTTGGCCTGGCTGGTCTCCTGACCTCAAAGCGATCTGCCTGCCTCGGCCTCCCAAATTGCTGGGATTACAGGCGTGAGCCACTGCACCTGGCCAAAAAAAAAGTCATCTAAATTCCTCCTAGGAGTAAGGGAAATGACTAGGTTTTGGATAGTGTGCACCAGAGGAAAAATGTGTTACAGGTCTAAGTAGCATGAAAAAAGTGATTGCTAAGCTTTGTTTTATGTTCCACCAGCATTGGTTGTTAAACACAAGGAATGAATGGTGGTGTTTTACCGTAAGGAATAAGACATGGTTTCCCTCTTTGGGGAGCTTCCCTGCAGACAGGAATTGCAGATGGAAGCCTTGTGCTCACAGGTTTTACCCTTATCTTGTTGAGGATGGCTCTCCCAGCTGGAGTGGGAAGCGCTTCACTGCTTGAGACTTTTGTATTGGAAACAGAATTGACACCTGGGTAATGAATAATACATGGGATAGGAAGATGTTTCTTAGCCATAGGATTTAACCGATCTGTTTTCCACAGCTGTTTTTGTTTGAAATGCCCTTAAAAGTTTTAGTAACTTTAGAAAGGAAGAGTTTTTGGAGTGTGAAAACTTATAATGCTTGTGTGTTATAGAGAGCACTTATTGACTTCTTTATCATAGACATTATTTGGATACGTCAGGCCTAGGGCCCTACATCCAGCAACCTCTAATGCAGGGCTCATTTTATGCCAGGCATATATATGTGGTTATTACATATAAACAGTTTAATTGTACAATACTTTTTTTTTTTTTGAGATGGAGTCTGACTCTGTCTCCCAGGCTGGAGTGCAGTGGTGCCATCTTGGCTCACTGCAAGCCTCCTGGGTTCATGCCATTCTCCTGCCTCAGCCTCCCGAGTAGCTGGGACTACGGGTGTCCACCACCACGCCTGGCTAATTTTGTGTACTTTTAGTAGAGACAGGGCTCCACCATGTGGGCCAGGTTGGTTTTGAACTCCTGACCTCAAGTGATCCACCCGTCTCGGCCTCCGGAAGTGCTGGGATTATAGGCGTGAGCCACCGCGCCCGGCCTGTTCAACACTTTTCTGCTTGGTGTGTGGAGTGATTGAATCACCATGTTTTCCTTCACTGCTCTCGTAAAGAGTAATACGTTACAGAGCTAAGAGGTGTCAGTCACATCACTTTTTATTTTTACAGTGAAAGTACTTGTAATCTGATGTGATTGGTAGTTTTTTAGCAAACCAAAACGTCAGTTAAGCAAAGGAACTATAAAAAACAATATATGATACCTTAAAAGCTTTTTATTCTTAAAACACATGCCTGTTCGCCAGTTTTGTTGTAAGGTAAAGGCGCATGTCTTTGAGCATAAGTCCAGAATGGAGTTATCCTGCCCCTTCTTGCATAAGCTGCACTCAGATGAATTTCCTACAGTTTCTATTTTTGTGTTCTTTTTTAAGTGGCACATGAAATTAGATAGGCATGAAGCAATTTTTTAAAAAACTTTTTATTTTGAAATAATAATAGACTCTCAGGAAGTTGTAAAGAAACTAGAGAGGTCACTGTATATTTGCGCATACTGCCCCAGTGGTTACATTTTATGTAATTATAATAGAGTATAAAAACCCAGAAATTGAAGTTGGTACAATGTGTGTGCGTAGTTCTGTGCCATTCTATCAAGGGTCTGTAAATGTAACTACTACTACAATTTCCTATGCAGAACTGTTTCATCACTACAAAGATGTCTCTCCTGCCTCTCTTCTGCCACCATCTCTAACTCCTGACAACCACTAATCTGTTCTCCATCTCTATAATTTTGTTACTGTGAGATTACCAAGTGATATGTGACCTTCGGAAATGATTTTCTTTACTCAGCATAATGCCCTCAGGTCCGTCAAGGTTTGTTGAGTATATCAGTAGCTAAACTGGGACCATTTATTTGTCTCTTCCTCTAATCATCAATTAAGAATGACTACGCATAAATGTAAGCTCTTAGAGTTAAGCTTATTGTATATAAATATTGTCACTTCGGCTGGGCGCGGTGGCTCACGCCTGTAATCACAGCACTTTGGGAGGCCGAGGAGGGCGGATCACTTGAGGTCAGGAGTTCAAAACCAGCCTGGCGCCCATGGTGAAACCCTGTCTCTACTAAAAATACAAAAGAGTCAGGCGTGGTAGTGTGCGCTTGTAATCCCAGCTACTTGGGAGGTTGAGGCAGGAGAAGTGCTTGAACCCAGGAGGTGGAGGTTGCAGTGAGCCGAGATCATGCCATTGCACTCCAGCCTGGCCAACACAGCAAGACTCCATCTCAAAAAAAAAAATTGTCACTTCATGCTTAGAAATATCAGTAGATGGCTACATGGCTGGGTGTGGTGGCTCAGCCTGTAATCCTAGCAGTTTGGGAGGCTGAGGTCAGGAGATCGAGGTCATCCTGGCCAACATGGTGAAACCCCATCTCTACTAAAAATACAAAAATTAGCTGGGTGTGGTGGCACGTGCCTGTAGTCCCAGCTACTCAGGAGGCTGAGGCAGGAGAATCGCTTGAACCCAGGAGGCGGAGGTTGTAGTGAGCCGAGATCGCGCCACTGCACTACAGCCTGGTGAGAGAGCGAGAATCCGTCTCAAAAAAAATAAAAACGATCAGTAGATAAAAAAAGTATAAACATGAGTATCTTGATAAATTCTGTTCTCAGGCTTTCAGGTTCATAATCCAGTTGATAGATGACATGTAGAAATAAAAGAATTTGTAAACATGGGAGTCTTCATTGACGTTTTTAGGACTGGATTCTAAGGGTGGTTTTTACCTCTAATATCCAAATACTGGTGCCTCAATAGAACAATTTTTGTTTTCAAAATTCCATGATAAAAAAGATGTAGTAACCCTGTATGTGACATTTTGTCAGGTTAATTGAGAGCATTTTGCAGCAAAAAAATTTTTTTTTGTAGAGGCAGGGTCTTTCTTTGTTGTCCGGGCTGGTCTAGAACACCTGCATTCAAGTGATCCTCCTGCCTTGGCCTCCCAAAGTGCTGTGATTACATGTATGAGCCACTGTGCCTGGCCTGGTGTTTTAAAGAACTAACTTTTAACTTTGGTTCTTGGAAAAGACTAGTAATACTAGTTATTAAAAAAAAAGGAAAAGGGTTTAGCCGTAGGACTTTGATGACAATTCCTTTTTTTTTTTTTTTTTTTTTTTTTGAGACAGAGTCTCACTCTGTTGCCCAGGTTGGAGTACAGTAGCAGTATCTCAGCTCACTGCAACCTCCACCTCCCAGGTTCAAGCCATTCTCATGCCTCAGCCTCCTAAGTG
The DNA here is from genome assembly GCF_000001405.40 of Homo sapiens. Classification (NCBI taxonomy): domain Eukaryota; kingdom Metazoa; phylum Chordata; class Mammalia; order Primates; family Hominidae; genus Homo; species Homo sapiens. Next base: position 28,316,110 of record NC_000015.10, on the reverse strand, counting down.
GCTGGAATTCCAAGTGTGCACCACCACACCCAGATAATTTTTTTTTTTTTTAAACAGCGGAAGAGGTGATTTATTATATGGTTGTTACACTCGGCCACAAATAAACACAGAAATAGTCCAGAATGTCACAGGTCCAGGGCAGAGGTCCAACATGGGCATTTTGTTTATGAGCAAGGTGGGTCTCAGAGGTGATCGGCGATCAGAGGGCGATGAAGTTCTAGATCCATTGAGACAAGCTCTAGACAGTGGCATGCAGTCCCACAACTTGTACCAGCATCCCCAGCGTCTGGCATTCCATGTTTCTGCTCCTGTGGCCTCCACAGTGCAACAAGCTAGCGGTTTACTTGGACCTCTGCCTCATCTTTCTTCTTTTGCGCTTCAGCCTGCGCATTCGCTTCTTCCTCCACTTGGCTCTCATGGCGCAGAGGTTTCCAAGAAAATGGCGCTAACGCCGAGAGCCAGATAATTTTTTATATTTTTAGTAGAGATGGGGTTTCACCATGTTGCCCAGGCTGGTCTTGAACTCCTGAGCTCGTGATCCACCTGCCTTGGCCTCCCAAAGTGCTGGGAGTACAAGCATGAACCGTGCCCGGCTGTTAATAGGATCTTTTAATTGCTTGACCCTATTAAAGGTAGTTATTTTAAAAGTGTGTTTATAAACCTTGTCCGACCCCATAGATTCCTTAGCCGCCTCTCTCTGTCCCTCTTGGTTGACTCATGCCTGTGAGCCGCCCTTCGGCTCCAGTCTCCGCTGTGATGTCACGCAAGAGAGTTGGAGTATGGCTTCCTGACTGCCTACCAAGGAGCCAGTGACACAGCCTGGAAGGTGTGGCGAGTGTGGGTGTGAATTCCCTGTGGTATGAACGTTCACCACTTTACAAGGAGAGATGAGGGAACTCAGTGTTTTTATTCCTCCCCTTTTTCTTTCCTCCTTGGACTATTTTATGGTGTAGTTTCTTCTTGCAGACCTTCTGGAAAAGCCACATGTGCCTAGTGAATGTGCTGGCTGAACAATTGGTTGTATTTGCAGCTCATTGAGAAGAGGTGGCAGTAACATAGGAGTCAGCACATTTTTTCTATAAAGCACCAGATAGTAAATGTTTATGTGGGCCGTACGTGCTCTTTTATAACAACTCACCTTGGCTATTGTCCTGCGAGAAGCTGCCAGATGTGTATGGCTATATTCCAGGAAAATTTGAATGTCAGATAATTTTCATGTGTTGACATATGATTTTTTTTTTTTTTTTCCTGAGAGGGAGTCTTGCTCTGTTGCCCAGGCTGGAGTGCAGTGGCGCGATCTTGGCTCACTGCAACCTCCACCTCCTGGGTTTAAGCAATTCTCCTGCCTCAGACTCCGGAGTAGCTGGGATTACAGGCGTGTACCATCATTCCTGGCTAATTTTTTTTTTTGTATTTTTAGTAGAGACGGGGTTTCATCATGTTGGCCAGGCTGGTCTTGAACTCCTGACCTCATGATCCGCCCGCCTTGGCCTCCCAAAGTCTGAGATGACAGGTGTGAGCCACCGTGCTTGGCTGACATATGATTCTTTTGATTATGTTGCAACCATTGAAAAATATAAAATCACTTTTTAAATATATGTTTTTCTTTTTTTAGGAAATTAAAGGAAATAAGAATGGCTCCTACATAGGCAGAGTAGGCTAAAATCACACTTAGCTGACTGTGAAGTCATATACTGCATACCGTTGCTTCATTGATCTCCTTGTCTCACTTTCCCACTTCCCTCACCCCATTGTTCCGAGCTGACATCTGCTGAGCAGAGTGTTAACACTTTAGTTCATTCCTCAGGCTCTTCTTTCATGATAGAAGTCTTTATATTTCTGTTTTCAGGATCTACTCTTGGTCTGTTCTGTTGACTTCTATTTTTTTTTTCATTTTTCAATGATGTGGTCTTGTATCTTTGTCATTATTATATTTGCTTGACTTTCAGATATTGTATATGCAATATTGTAGCAATAAGTCGAGGCTCTGGGTAACAATAACTTCCCCCAGAGAGGATGTTCTAGGCAATCCCAGGTCACTGCAGTCCCTTTGGAAATTGAGAGAATGCGAAACTGGGCTGGTTTTCCGTAAAGGCTGGTCTACTTCTAACTCACCTGTATTTCTGGTGTGTGGCCCTTTGAGGTTCCAGCTCAGAGCATGGGGTCTGCCAGGCCTCTTTCTCCTGTGTGAGGGCCCTGGGAGTCTCTCAGAAGCTCCGTTTTGCTTCTCAGTCTCATCCCTGCTTGCTTAGGTTCTCTGGGCCTCTTTCTTCCTCTCGTGGGTCTCAGACTTTAGGAAGACCTCACTATCTTACTGCTTCTAGGATGTCTTCAAATCGACGTACTTAATGTTCCTGTCTGACCTTTCTAATTGTTCTAGGAACCTGTTCTTAACATTTTTTATATGTTGTCCTACGTTCAATAGATGTTTAGTATTTTTCTGTAGGTTTAAGAAAAAAAGCCATATACCTTTACTCATCTGCAAATATTTGAAGATTACTTTTCTGTCAAATTGTAAGGACATGAAAAAGAAACATTTTCTAACCTATACATTAATCAGATATTCATTTGTTATATTATTCAGTTTTGGATTTTATTGCCTGACTCTATAGTTCTGAAGTCACTTTAATAAATGCCTTAACGGGCTGGGTGCGGTGGCTCCCGCCTGTAATCCCAGGCCGAGGCGGGTGGATCACAAGGTCAGGAGGTCGAGACCATCCAGGCTAACACGGTGAAACCCCGTCTCTACTAAAAATACACAAAAAATTAGCCGGGCGTGGTGGCGTGCGCCTGTAGTCCCAGCTACTCGGGAGGCTGAGGCAGGAGAATGGCATGAACCCGGGGAGCCAAGATGGCGCCACTGCACTCCAGCCTGGGCGACAGAGCAAGACTCTGTCTCAAAAAAAAAAAAAAAAAAATGCCTTAACTGTTTGCTTGCCTAGTCCTGATTGGTATTAAAATATTGGTGGCCTATGTATGGGAGCGTGAAGGCTTGCCCTGGCTGCCGTGCTGCAGGTGTGGGTGCATGTTATGGTGTTGGTGGGAAGCGAATAAGCCTTGGAGTTGGGCCTCTTCCCAAATCCCACCTCTCACAGCCTCAGTGTTGTGTGGCCTTTGGTCAAGTCATTGGCCTTCTGAGCTTCAGTTTAGTAACTAACAAAAAGTGAGCCTGTTACTGCCTCTTTTGCTGGGGTCTTTTGACGATGAAAGTGCCTTTACTTGCCATGTCACTTCAGAGGTGTAAGATAGGAATGTGAGATTGGAAAAGATTGGAAAAGAGTTCTCAGCCCAAATAACCTAATTAGAAGCTTCTGGGATCTGAACCAAAAAAGTCAAAAGTTGAAAATCTACTGGGCACGTTTAGGTAAGTCAGCTACTAATAAAAAGCTAATTGGAGACAGTTGTAGAAATAAATACTCTCACTTTACAAATGGAAAGTCCCATTCATTTTTTTCTTTTTCTTTATTTTATTTTATTTTTTTTATGAATAGGGTCTCTGTCACCCAGGTTGGAATGCTGTGGTGTGATCAGAGCTTACTGTAACCTCAAACTCCTGGGTGCAGGTGACCGTCCTGCTGTAGCCTCCTGAGTAGCTGGGATTACAGGCACGTGCCATGCACTTGGGTAATTTTTACATTTCTGTAGAGACACGGTCTTACCATGTTGCCCAGGCTGATCTTGAACTCTTGGCCTCAAGCAGTTCTTCTGTCTTGGCCTCCCAAAGCTCTGGGATTACGGCGTGGGCCACCACGCCCTGCCTGTAGTCTCCATTCTTCTCAGTGCCACGGCTGTCTTCCAGTTGTTCCCAGGCTGCTGCTTCCTCAGTCAGGATCCTGTACTGTCTGTGATCTGGAGAGCTCTTCTCCTGGGCTTCACTTTTGCTTGTTCACAGTCTAACTCTCTGGAGACCTCCTCCAGTGAGGCTTGCTTTATTGCCTTAGTAATGTTCCACCTTTAAGGTGCCCAAATAGTTTTTTGAATGGTGCTTACCATTTATTTGGGTCATCAGTTCCTAGGAGGCTTCCACAGTGCATGTCCTTCCAGGAGTCCAGTGTCTACCTTCCAAAAAAGAATTCCTTGTCACTCAGAAAGACAAGGTCTGGCCTATCCTCTTCCTTCCCAGTGCTACCCAGGTAATAATCGAAAGGTGGTGGTAATTATTCTTGTTTCCATGTAAACTGGGCTTCCTCCTTGGCTTAGTCTTTAAATGTTCCATCTTTTGGCTTTTTTTTTTAAAAATGGTACCTCTGTAACACTAATGTTTCTCAATCTAGGCTGTACCGCAGAACACTGATGTGTGGAGCCCAGCCAGTCTGGGGCGATCTTAGAGTGCTTTCAGGTCTGGGCAGGGGTCTCCCCTCTCTGCTTGGGTGTTGGCATCTTCTCCAGGACATCACCTACAGTCCATTTGTTGACTACTCCCAGATTTGAGTCTCTAGCCCTGAACACTCTGCTAAGATCTGGATCTATATTTACTGAGGGTTGGTGGAGTGGGGAGGAGCTCCATGTTTATGTTCAGTAGTTAGTGCAAATCTTAGTGGTTAAAACGGAACTAATTCTCATTCCTCTTCTGTTCCCTCCCTTATTTTCCCTTTCACATTTGATTTAACTTACGTGATTTGAAATAGTTTCTTTTTTTGTTTTTTAAGTCAGGGTCTCACTCTGTTGCCCAGGCTGGAATGCAGTGGCACCGTCACGGCTCACTGCAGCCTTAACCTCCCCGGGCTCAGGTGATCCTCCCACCTCAGCCCCCTGAGTAGTGGGACTACAGGTGCGTACCACCACGCCTGGTTAATTTTTGTATTTTTTGTAGAGACCGAGTTTCACCGTGTTGCTTTGGCTGGTCTCGAACTCCTGGGCTCAAGCAGTCTGCCCACCTCGGCCTCCCAGACTGCTGGGATTACAAATGTGAGCCACCGTGCCCTGCCTGAAATAATCTTAAAGACTGTACTTCCCTGTCTTGACTTCTACTGTCATCCTTTCTTTTTTGGACCCTTGGTAATAGCCTTTTTTTTTTTTTTTTTTTTTTTTTTTGAGATGCAGTCCCACTCTGTCACCCAGGCTGGAGTGCTGTGGTGCGATCTCCACTCACTGCAACGTCCGCCTCCCAGGTTCAAACAATTCCCTTGCCTCAGCCTCCCGAGTAGCTGGGACTATAGGTGCGTGCCACCTCACCTGGCTAATTTTTTGTATTTTTAGTAGAGATGGGGTTTCGCTGTGTTAGCCGGGATGGTCTTTATCTCCTGACTTCATGATCCACCCGCTTCGGCCTCCCAAAGTGCTGGGATTACAGGCGTCAGCCACCGTGCGTGGCCAGTAATAGCTTCTTAGTTCACCTTCTCTGTTTCTGTTTTCTGAAACACTTTAAGACACGGGTCAAATGTCGTATTCCCTTGAGTGCCTAAAGATAGTCTGAAACTCCTGGAGCACGGCCCACATGGAGCTGTGAGTTCTGACCGCTGTTAGCCTCTTATCATGTGCATTGTGGTAGGGTTTGGACTGAACCCCAGTGCACGTATTCACTGCCCTCCTCTGACTGAAGACTAGAAGAGTCAAACCTTTCCATTCACTAGTTAAACTTCAGGGGCCCTGAATGTTTTCGGCTCACTTTTTAATTTTATTTTTTATATTATTTTAATTTTTTAAATTTAAATTAAAATTTTTTTTTGATAGGGTCTTGCTCTATTGCCCAGGCTGGAGTACAGTGGAGTGATCTCAACTCACTGCAGCCTCTACCTCCTGGTCTCAAGCAGTTCTCCCACCTCAGCCTCCCAAGTAGCTGGGAGTACAGGCGCGCCACCACCTCTGGCTAATTTTTTGTATTTTTGGTAGAAATGTGGTTTTGCCATGTTGTTCAGGCTGGTCTTGTACTCCTGAGCTCAAACAATTCACCTGCCTTGGCCTCCCAAGTGCTGGGATTACAGGTGTGAGCCACCATGCTCAGCTTTCTGGCTAATTTTACAATTTTTTTGTAGAGACGGTCTTGCTATGTTGCCTAGATTGGTTTTAAACTCCTGGGCACAAGTGATTCTCTTGCCTCAGTCTTCCAAGGTGCTGGGATTAGAGATGTGAGTCACTCTACCTGGCTAGGGCTCACTTTTTGGAAGGAGTTTACCTCTCCCCCACCAGCTGATAATTTTTACCAAAAGTCGTATGTTTTGGTTCCAAGTATGTTTATGGCAGTTATCCTGTTAGTGATGTGAACAGAAAAAATAAGAGTGCTGAGAGAAAGCTGTTCCTTCTACAAAAACTGAAGGATGCTGGCTTGGTTTCTGTCGCTACAGAACAAGTTACCAAACACAAATTTGGCAGCTTGTAACAACAAGCATTTACACTCTCACAGTTTCTGTGGGTCAGGAGTCTGGCCATAGCTTAGTTCTATCCTCTACTTCAGGTGTCACAGGCTGTAGTCAAGGTGTTGGCTAGGGCACGCTGTCATCTGGAGCTCAGGTCCTCATTGGTAGAATTGAATCCATTGTGGTTGTGGGACTGAAACCCTGGGCTCTTGGAGGCTGCCCCTCCCCACAGGCAGTTCATTGGCTGCTTGCTTCTTCAAATTGAAGACCATCCCTTCAGGACGGTGCGGGGGGATGGAAAAAGGGAGAGGTAAATGGAAATCACAAAAGAGCATAGTGGTTATATCAGACCAAATAGATTTCAAGACCAAAACTATAAAAGGAGACCAAAAAAGTCATTATGTAATGATAAAGGGGCCAATTCAGCAAGAGGCTATAACTATTATAAATATATGTATATATGCACTCAACACTAGAGCACCCAGATACATAAAACAAATATTACAGCTAAAGAGAGAGATAGGCCTTAACACATTAATAGATGGAGGCTTCAACACTCCACTTTCAGCATTGGACAGATCAGATCATCCAGACAAAATTAACGAAGAAACATCAAACTTAATCTGCACTGTAGACCAAATGGATTTAGTAGATATTTCTAGAACATTTCATCTGATGGCTGCAGAATTTACATTGTTCTCTTTAGCACATGGATCGTCCTCAAGGTTAGACCGTATGTTAGGCCACAAAATAAGTCATTAAAAATTCAAACCTTGATACTAAAAGCAGACAAAGACACATCAAAGAAAGAATACTACAGGCCAATGTCTCTGATGAATATTGATGCAAATATCCTCAACAAAATACTAGCAAACCAAATTCAGCAATACGTTAGAAAGATCGTTCATTGTGACCAAGTGGGGTTTATCCCTGGGGTACAAGGATGGTTCAACATATGCAAATCAATTGATGTGATACATCATGTCAACAGAAGGATAAAAACCATGTGATTATTTCAATCGATGCTGAAAAGGCATTTGATAAAATTCAACATCCTTTCATGATAAAATCTCTTAAAACTGGTTATGGAAGAAACATACCTCAACATAATAAAAGCCGTATATGACAGACCCACAGCTAGTATCATACTGAATGGTGAAAAACTGAAAGTCTTTCCTCTAAGATCTGGAACATGACAAGGATGCTCAGTGTGGCCACTGTTATTCAACATAGTACTGGAAGTTCTTGCTAGAGCAATCAGACAAGAGAAAGAAATAAAAGGCCTCCACATTGGAAAGGAAGAAGTCAAATTATCCTTGTTTGCAGATGATATGATCTTATATTTGGAAAAACCTAAAGACTCCACAAGAAAATGATTAGAGCCGATAAATTCAATACAATTGCAGTATACGAAATCAACATACAAAAATCAGTAGCATTTCTGTGTGCCAACAGTAAACAATATGAAAAAGAAATTAGAAAAGTAATCCCATTTATAGTAGCCACACATGAAATTAAATACCTGGGAAGTAACCAAAGAAGATAATTACAAAGATCTCTGTAATGAAAACTCTAAAACGCTGATGAAAGACATTAAAGAAGACACAAAAGATGGAAAAATATTTCATCTTCATGGATTGGAAGAATCAATATTGTTAAAATGTCCATACTACCCAAAGCAATCTACCGATTCAGTGCAATCCCTAGCAAAATACCAATGACATTCTTCACAGAAACAGAAAAAAAAAAAATCCTAAAATTCATGTTGAACCACAAAAGACCCAGAATAGCCGAAGCTCTCATAATTGAAAAGAAACAAACTGGAGGAATCAGATTACCTGACTTCAAATTATACTACAGAGCTATAGTAACCAAAACAGCATAGTACTAGCATAAAACAGACACAGACCAACGGAACAGAATAGAGAATCCAGAAACAAATCCGCACATCTACGGTGAACTCATTTTCGACAAAGGTACCAAGAACATACACTGGGGAAAAGACAATCTCTTCAATAAATGGTGCTGGGAAAACTTGATATTCATATGCAGAAGAATGAAGCTAGATTCCTCTTTTGCCATATAAAAGTTAAAAAAATTATGTTAAGTATCTTCTCTGATCACATGGACTATAACTAAAAATTGATAACGAGGAATTTTGGAAACTCCACCAACACATGGGAATTAAACAATATGCTCCTGAATGACCAACAGGTCAGTGAAGAAATTAAGAGTGAAATTAAACAGTTTCTTGAAACAAATGGCAATGGCAACACAGCATACGAAATCTGTGGGATATAGTTAAAGCAGTACTAAGAGGAAAATCAAAAAAGTAGAAAAACTTCAAATAAATAACCTAATGATACATCTTAAAGAACTAGAAAAGAAGGAGCTAACCAAACCCATAATTTTAAGGACAGAAATAATAAAAATTAGAGCAGAAATAAAATGGAGTTGAAATGAAGAAAATAATACAAAAGATCAATGAAATGAAAAGTTGGTTTTTCTAAAAGATAAATTGACAAGCCTTCAGGCAGGCTAAGAGAAAAAGAAGACCCAAATCAGAGGTGAAAAAGTAGGCATTACAACTGATATTGCAGAAATTCAAAGGGTCATTAGAGACTATGAACAGCTATATGTCAATAAATTGGGAAACGTGGAAGAAATAGATAAGTTTGCAGGCCGGGCGTGGTGGCTCATGCCTGTAATCCCAGCACTTTGGGAGGCTGAGGCGGGTGGGTCACTTGAGGTCAGGAGTTCGAGACCAGTCTGGCCAACATGGTGAAACTCCAACTCTACTAAAAATACAAAAATTAACCAGGTGTGGTTTTGTGTGCCTGTAATTCCAGCCACTTGGAAGGCTGAGGCACGAGAATCACTTGAGCCTGGGAGGTGGAGGTTGCAGTGTGCTGAGATCATGTTACTGCACTCCAGCCTGGGTGACAGAGTGAGACTGTGTCTTCAAAAAAAGAAGGAAAAAGAAATGGATAATTTCACAGGCACATACAGCCTTCCAAGTTTGAACCATGAAGAAATCCAGAACCTGAACATACCAATAACAGGTAATGAGATTGAAACTGTAATAATAAAAAGTCTTCCAGCAAAGAAAAACCCCAGGACCTGGTGACTTCACTGCTGAATTTTACCAAACATTTAAAGAAGAACTGTTACCAATCCTAGTGAAACTATTCTGAAAAATAGAGGAGGAGGGAATACATCCAAACTTATTGTAGAAGGCCAATATTACCCTGATACCAAAACCAGACAAAGACATAATCAAAAAAACAAAACAGGCCAGTATCCCAGATGAACATTGATGCGGAAATACCCAACAAAATACCAGCAAACCGAATTCAACAACACATTAAAAACATCATTCATCATGACCAAAGTGGGGTTTATCCCAGGGATGCCAGGATGGTTCACCGTATCCAAATCAATCAGTTTGATACATCATATCAATAGAATGAAGGATAAAAAACCATATGATCATTTAAATTCATGCTGAAAAGGCATTTGATAAAATTCAACATCCTTTCATGATAAAAACCCCCAAAAAACTGGTTATAGAAGGAACACACCTCAACGCAATAAAAGCCATATACAGCTGACACACAGCTAGTATCATACTGAAAGGTGAAAAACTGAAAGCCTTTCCTCTAAGATCTGGAACAAGACACGGATGCCCACTGTCACCACTGTTATTCAATATAATAATGGACTAGTTTACAGTCCCACCAACAGTGTAAAAGTGTTCCTATTTCTCCACATCCTCTCCAGCACCTGTTGTTTCCTGACTTTTTAATGATTGCCATTCTAACTGGTGTGAGATGGTATCTCATAGTGGTTTTGATTTGCATTTCTCTGATGGCCAGTGATGATGAGCATTTTTCATGTATTTTTTGGCTGCATAAATGTCTTCTTTTGAGAAGTGTCTGTTCATGTCCTTCGCCCACTTTTTGATGGGGTTGTTTGTTTTTTTCTTGTAAATTTGTTTGAGTTCATTGTAGATTCTGCATATTAGCCCTTTGTCAGATGAGTAGGTTGCGAAAATTTTCTCCCATGTTGTAGGTTGCCTGTTCACTCTGATGGTAGTTTCTTTTGCTGTGCAGAAGCTCTTTAGTTTAATTAGATCCCATTTGTCAATTTTGGCTTTTGTTGCCATTGCTTTTGGTGTTTTGGACATGAAGTCCTTGCCCACGCCTATGTCCTGAATGGTAATGCCTAGGTTTTCTTCTAGGGTTTTTATGGTTTTAGGTCTAACGTTTAAATCTTTAATCCATCTTGAATTGATTTTTGTATAAGGTGTAAGGAAGGGATCCAGTTTCAGCTTTCTACATATGGCTAGCCAGTTTTCCCAGCACCATTTATTAAATAGGGAATCCTTTCCCCATTGCTTGTTTTTCTCAGGTTTGTCAAAGATCAGATAGTTGTAGGTATGCGGCGTTATTTCTGAGGGCTCTGTTCTGTTCCATTGATCTATATGTCTGTTTTGGTACTAGTTCAACCATTGTGGAAGTCAGTGTGGCGATTCCTCAGGGATCTAGAACTAGAAATACCATTTGACCCAGCCATCCCATTACTGGGTATATACCCAAATGACTATAAATCATGCTGCTATAAAGACACATGCACACGTATGTTTATTGCGGCATTATTCACAATAGCAAAGACTTGGAACCAACCCAAATGTCCAACAATGATAGACTGGATTAAGAAAATGTGGCACATATACACCATGGAATACTATGCAGCCATAAAAAATGATGAGTTCATGTCCTTTGTAGGGACATGGATGAAATTGGAAACCATCATTCTTAGTAAACTATCGCAAGAATAAAAAACCGAACACCGCATATTCTCACTCATAGGTGGGAATTGAACAATGAGATCACATGGTCACAGGAAGGGGAATATCACACTCTGGGGACTGTGGTGGGGTGGGGTGGGGGGAGGGGGGAGGGGTAGCATTGGGAGATATACCTAATGCTAGATGACGAGTTAGTGGGTGCAGCACACCAGCATGGCACATGTATACATATGTAATTAACCTGCGCAATGTGCACATGTACCCTAAAACTTAAAGTATAAAAAAAAAAAAAAAAAAAAAAATGGAAGCCCTTGCTAGAGGAGTCAGATAAGAGAGAGAAAGGCCGGGTGCAGTGGCTCACACCTGTAATCCCAGCACTTTGGGAGGCTGAGGTGAGTGGATCACTTGAGGTCAGGAGTTTGAAGCCTGGCCAACACGGTGATACCCTGTCTCTACTAAAAATATAAAAATTAGCTAGGCGTGGTGGCGGGTGTCTGTTGTCCCAGCTACTCGGGAGGCTGAGGCAGGGAAATCACTTGAACCCCGGAGGTGGAGATTGCAGTGAGCTGAGATTGTGCCGCTATATTCCAGCCTGGGCTACAGAGCAAGACTCCATCTCAGGAAAAAAAAAAAAAAAAGAAGAAATAAAGGGCATCCAAATTGGAAATGAAGATGCCAAGTTATTCTTGTTTGCAGATGATTGTTATATTTGGAAAAACCTGAAAACTCCACCAAAAAATGATTAGAACTGATAAATTCAGTAAAATTGCAGGATACTAAATTAACATACAAAAATCTGTAGCATTTCTCTGTTTTTTTTTTTTTTTTTTTTTTTTTTTGAGATGGAGTCTCACTCTGTGGCCCAGGCTGGAAAGCAATGGCGCAATCTCGGCTCACTGCAACCTCTGCCTCCTGGGTTGAAGCGATCCTCCTGCCTTAGCTGCCTGAGTAGCTGGCATTACAGGCGCCTGCCACCAGGCCTGGCTAATTTTTGTATTTTTAGTAGAGACAGGGTTTCACCACATGGGCCAGGCTGGTCTTGAACTCCTGACCTCAGGTGATCCGCCTGCCTTGGCCTCCCAAAGTGCTGGGATTACAGGTATGAGCCACTGTGCCCGGCCAAATCAGTAGCATTTCTGTATGTCAACAGTGAACAATATGAAAAATCAAGAAAAATAATTCCATTTATAATAGCTACAAATAAAGTAAAATACGTAGGAATAAAACTAACCCAAGAAGTGAAAAGATCTCTACCACGAAAACTGTAAAACAGTGATGCAGAAAATTGAAGAAGACACACAAAAAAGGAAAAGATACTCCGTGTTCATGGATTGGAAGAATCAATATTGTTAAAATGTCTGTACTACCCAAAGCAATCTACAGGTTCAATGTAATCCCTATCAAAATACCAATGACATTCTTCACAGAAATAGAAAAAAAAAATCCTGAAATTTGTATGGAATCACAAAAGAGACAGAATAGCCAAAGCCATCCTGAGCAAAAAACAAAACTGGAGAAATTGCATTACCTGACTTAAAATTATACTACAGTCACTTCCTGGTCTTTTTTGGCTTAGATCAAGTGCAAAGTTTACTAGAAAGGTATACCAAAACAGCATGGTACTGGTATAAAAACAGACACCTAGACCAATGGAACAGAATAGAGAACCCAGAAACAGATCTATACATCTACAGTGAACTCACCTTTGACAGAGGTGCCCGGAGGATACGTGAGGGAAAGGATAGCCTCATTGATAAATGGTGCTGGGAAAATGGGACACCCATATGCAGAAAAATGAAACTAGACCGCTATCTCTCACCATATACGAAAATCACATCAAAATGGAGTAAAGACTTAAACCTAAGACTTCAGACTATGAAAGTGCTAAAAGAAAACATTGGGGAGACTCTCCAGGACATTGCACTGGGTAATGATTTCTTGAGTAATACTTCGTAAACACAGGCAACCAAAGCTAAAATGGACAAGTGGGATCACATTGAGTTAAAAAGCTGCACAGCAAAGGAAACAATCAACAAAATGAAGAGACAACCCACAGAATGGGAGAAAATATTTGCAAACTACCCATCTGACAAAGGATTAATAACCAGAATATATAATTAGCTTAAGCACCTCTATAAGAAAAAAATCTAATAATCCAATAAGAATGGGCAAAAGATTTGAATAGACATTTCTCAAAAGAAGATATACAAATGACAAACAGGCAGTACGAACAGGTGCTCAACATGGTTGGTCATCAGAGACATGCAAATCAAAACTATAATGAGATATTATCTCACCCTAATTAAAATGGCTTATATCCAAAAGACAAGAACAAATGCTGGCAAGAATATAGAGAAAAGGGAACCCTTGTGCACTGTTGGTGGGAATGTAAATTAGCACAGCCATTATGGAGATTAGCTTGGAGGTTCCTCAAAAAACTAAAAATAGGACTATCATATGATTCAGCAATCCCACTGGTAGGTATATACCCAGAGGAAAGAATATCAGTATGTTGAAGAAATATGTACACTCTCATGTTTATTGCAGCACTATTCTCAATAGCCAAGATTTGGAAGCAACCTAAGTGTTCCCAGCAGATGAATGGATGAAGAAAATGTGGTATATATACTCAACGGAGTACTATTCAACCATGAAAAAGAATGGGATACTGCCGTTTGCAACAACATGGATAGAACTGGAGGTCGTTACGTTAAGTCAGGAACAGAATGTCATGAGCCAGACCCAGAAAATCGAACTTTGCATGTTCTCACTTATTTGTAGGTGCTAAGCAAATGAAAGTAATTGAACTCATGGAGATAGAGTAGAATGATGGTTATCAGAGACTGGGAAGGATAAAGTGGGGGTGAAGTGCGGATGGTTAATGGGTATAAAAATGGAGTTAGATAGGGCTGGGCACAGTGGCTTACGCCTGTAATCCCAGCTCTTTGGGAGGCCAAGGCAGGTGGATCATGAGGTCAAGAGACCCAGACCATCCTGGCCAACACGGTGAAACCCCATCTCTACCAAAAATACAAAAATTAGCTGGGTGTGGTGGTGTGAGCCTGTAGTCCCAGCTACTCTGGAGGCTGAGGCAGGAGAAACCCTTGAACCCAAAAGGCAAAGGTTGCAGTGAGCTGAGATCGCACAACTGCACTCCAGCTTAGTGCCAGAACGAGATCCGTCTCAAAAAAAAAAAAAAAAAAGTTAGATAGAATATATAACCCATATATATATATATATATATATATATATATATATATATATATATACACATACATACAACTAGTGTGTATCCACAGAAGTTTAAAAAAAAAAAAAGATGGGCAAACATCTGTGTCTCTTTTAATTAAAAATGGCTTTTTTTTTTTTGCCAGACAAGGGAGCTTCTGTCGCATACGCAGTTTTCAGAATGGATGCCTTCCCCCAGTGTCTGAAATGCTCCCTTTTCCTGTTCTGGGAAGCCTTTTCTGACTCACAAATGTTGACAAGCAAAGGCGTTTTTGATTTTGATGCTCACAGTTATTATAATTATTATAAATTTGGTCAGGAGTCCCTATCAGTCTTTGAACAGCTGCTTTTTTTTTTTGTTTGAGGTAAAGTCTTGCTCTGTCACCCAGGCTGGAGTGCAGTGGCATAGTCTTGGCCCACTGCAACCTTGGCCTCCTGGGTTCAGGCTATTCTCCTGCCTCAGCCTCCCAAGTAGCTGGGATTATGGGCGCCTGCCACCATGCCCAGCTAATTTTTGTATTTTTAGAAGAGATGGGGTTTCGGCATGTTGGCTAGGCTGGTCTCGAACTCCTGACCTCAAGTGATCTGCCCGCCTCAGCCTCCCAAAATGCTAGGATTATAGGCGTGAGCCACCGCACCTGGCCATGTTTGAGGAAACAGCTTTTTCTTTGAGGAAACAGGCTCATCTTTGTCTGCCCTGGCCCTTGAATCTACTTATTTTCCCTAGAGCCCTAGCGTCTTTTATTGGGAAATGGTTCTGAGAGACCAAAATCTGGGTGCCGCTGTCAGATTGCCTTTGATTCTAGTCCTTTAAAAAACAGAGTAAGCAAATATATTCAAAAATAAAGTTCATAGATTTCCAATTTAAGTTGTTTTTCAAAATTTCTTTGATTTTTTTTCCTCTTTTCCACTGAAAACCTTAATTTTTTTTTTTTTTTTTTTTTTTTTTTTTTGAGATGGAGTCTCGTTCTGTTTACCCAGGCTGGAGCGCAGTGACATAATCTCGGCTCACTGAAACCTCTGCCTCCTGGGTTCATGCTAGTCTTCTGCTTCAGCCTCCCGAGTGACTGGGATTACAGGCATGCACCAGCACACCCGGCTAATTTTTCATATTTTTAGTAGAGATGGGGTTTCACCATGTTGGCCAGGCTGGTCATGAACTCCTGACCTCAAGTGATTTACCTGCCTTGGCCTGCCAAATGCTGGGATTACGGGTGTGAGCCACCGTGGCCGGCCTAAAACCTTAATTTCTAAGAACATTTAATACTTTATCATAAACATGTTTTATTGTATTTACACTGCTTTATTGTGCAACATGAAGTAGTTCTAAAATTGTGAGAGTGTTATCAATACCGATAAATATTTTATTTTTCATTATAGTATATTATATTAATGATATGTAGTTCAAAAGTCCCTTGACATACTTTTCTTTGTATATGCATGGGTTAATTTGCTTGTTGCCAGTTGTAGGTTTCGCTTTTTTATGATTTAATTTTAATTTTTGAGGATGAAAGTCATGTATGTTTCAGAAGTAAAGACATCTAAAGTATACTCACAATGTTGTTGCTTTTTCTGGTCCTGCTGCCTTTGTCCATGTCCCCTCCCCATTTCCCCGTAGGTAGTCATTGGTACTTGCTTTTGGTTTATCTTTTCAGAGCACATGCACGTGTGTGTGTTTGTGTGTGTGTCTTTTTTTTCTTTTCTTTTCTTTTTTTTTTTTTTTTAACACCGAGTCTCGCTCTTGTCACTCAGGCTGAGTGCAGTGGTGCGATCTTGGCTCACTGCAACCTCTGCCTCCTGGGTTCAAGCAATTCTCCTGCCTCAGCTTCGTGAGTAGCTGGGATTACAGGCGCCCGCCACCACGCCTGGCTAATTTTTTGTATTTTTAGTTGGGACGGGGTTTCACCGTGTTGGCCAGGCTGGTCTCAAATTCCTGATCCCCCGTGATGTGCCCCGCTCGGCCTCCCAAAGTGCTGGGATGACAAGCATGAGCCACCTCGCCCGACCACGTGTCATTTTTCTTGTATGTTACATAAGAGGTAGCATAGTATTTATACTATTATGCACCTTTTCATTTATATTTCTTGGATGACTTTCCTGAAATGTAAAATGATTAAATCACTAATTCAGTAAATCATTGATTTTATTACCAAATGATCGAATACATAAGGGGGATTGAGATTTTTTTCCCATATCATTCTTTAAAAATTGCAATGTGAGTGTGAGCACTCTGTAAGCTTATCTCGTTTATCATTGCCAGCTTGCATTCACAAGAGATGGGCTCTGTGGTCTGTGGAATGAAATGGTTAAAGATGGAGAAATTGTATACACTGGAACAGAATCAACCCAGAACGGAGAGCTCCCTCCTAGAAAAGGTAAGGGCCTTTAACTAGTGTTTTTTATTTGGTAAAGACCATTATAAAATGCATTTTATAGAAATTTTGTAATGTGCTATAGGAACAGGAGCTTTGAGCTTAACTCTTTGAAGTTTTGCTTTTTACTTTGGAGATTGTTGTCTAAAATGGTAGTTAATACAAGCTGCTCGGATTTTATTGTTTTACGTTAATTGAAGGCATTTTTATTGCAAAACCATCTTGCTGCATTTGTGGTGTTCTTTGGGGGTGTATTACACACTTATTGGAAGCCTTTGGCCTGCAAGGAAATGCCATTGAACAATCTTATTTAGCTTTGTAGTTTTGCATGCTCAGTAAGACTATCATTATGTTGTTCATAACAGTGGCTGTGTTTCAGAGTCCCCATTGAGGTTTAAAAAAATGGCTGCTTGTATACACCCTAAACTTGTTGAATCTGAAAAGATCCTTGGTTGAGAACCACTGTTGAAGTTCGTTGGTCCCCCTGCTTGAGAGTCATCAACGTGGATAAAGCTACCACTTTAGAAAGTATTTATTCTAAGTTGAAATAGCTCAGTTGGGAGAGCATTAGTCTGAAGAAAGTATTTCTTCTTCTTCTTTTTTTTGGGGGGGAAGGAGTCTTGCTCTGTTGCTGAGGCTGGAGTACAGTGGCGCGATCTCAGCTCACTGCACGCTCCACCTCCCGGGTTCATGCCATTCTCCTGCCTCAGCCTCCCAAGTAGGTGGGACTACAGGCGCCCGCCACCACGCCCGGCTAATTTTTTGTATTTTTTAGTAGAGACAGGGTTTCACCGTGTTAGCCAGGATGGTCTCGAGCTCCTGACCTCGTGATCCGCCCGCCTCAGCCTCCCAAAGTGCTGGGATTATAGGCGTGAGCCACCGTGCCTGGCAAGTATTTCTTCTTCTTTTGTGGAATGAATGGGGATGGTGTCCACTTGAAAGTACATGGGGATCGGGCGTGGTGGATCATGCCTGTAATTCCAGCACTTTGGGAGGCTGAGGCGGGCAGATCATTTGAGGTTGGGAGTTTGAGACCAGCCTGGCCAACATGGTGAAACCCCGTCTCTACTAAAAAATACAAAAATTAGCCAGGCATAGTGGCGGGCGCCTGTAATCCCAGCTACTTGGGAGGGCACGGCAGGAGAATTGCTTGGAGCCGGGAGGTGGAGGTTGCAGTGAGCAGATATTGTGCTACTGCACTCCAGCCTGGGTGACAGAGTGAGACTCCATCTCAAAAAAAAAAAAAACAAAAAACACAAAACAAACCATGGGAAAAAGTATTAGTCTCCCTTTTCAGTTTCAGTGTCAAGCAGAGTTACCTGTGTTTTTATTTTAATTTATTTTTTATATTTGTTTGAAAATATTCACACACACACACACACACACACACACACACACAATAACTGACAGACGTGTACAGTGAGTGGCTGCAGACCCACCTCCATGTTCTGCCACCGTATTTGGCTCCACATCCTGCTGTCTGTCCATCCACCGTTTGTCTCACCTAGCTCCTTAGACACTCATGTATGTAATTGATTCTAGTTCAACTTTGTTTTTGACTTTCAGGTAAAATTTGTATATAATGAAATGTATCTATTTTGAGTTTACCATTTCACAAGTTTTGACAAATGTAACCCATGTAACCCACATCTTTATCATGACTCTTGCTCAGAAAGTTCTCTGGTGTCCTGCCCCTTCTTCCCAGAGGCAATAGTTGGCCTGATGTTTCTCCAGCATTTGACAAATTGCGCCTGTTCTAGAACTCCATACATGGAATCACGTAGTCGGGTTCTTCTGTGTCTGGCTTCTTTCACTCTGTTTAGTGCTTTTGATTTTCATGTTTTTTTTTTTAAACAACATAATGGGTTTATATTTAATATAGCACTTCTCATCAGGAGGTGTTACTCAGTTAATATAAAGTTTTTTTAACATTAAATCTCTTTTCCATGTCAATGTCTATAGTGTTTTTTTTTTCTTTAACATTAAGTCTTTTCTCCATTTCAGTATTAGATACACTGAATACATTTTTCTAAGTGATTTTTTTTCTTTCCAGAGATAAAAGTTTCCCTTTTTGGCTGACTATTGGATATCTGAATTTGGGAGATGACAAAAGTCTAATAAAAATACAGAGAACAGACTCAGTGATTTAGGAGGCAGTGATTACGACTGAACAGTGGCGATTTCCTAGGATTCTGGGCAAAATCCATTTATGTACCAATTTGTTCCCATTTCATGGAATCAACTCAGAAAGTAAAACTCTCCTACTTAGTAATTCTTGGAAACTTTCAGACACCAAAGCTTACATTTAGTTTCAGTAGCACAAAGGTTTTCAGGGTGAGGTTTCATTCATTAGGCCCTTCAAAGTCACATCTGTTCATTTTTATCTTTCGTGCGTATGCCCGCAAGCAAGTACAAACACCTGTAATACTGAGAACCACACCTTTTAACGAGAGAGCAGTTGCATCACTGGCTTCCACTGCCTTGACAGCAGGCAGCACCAAAAGCAGTGACATAAGGACTAAGGACAATTGTGTTGAAACTGAGGTCATGATGTTGGGATTTTGAGGGCTGAATGTTCCAAGTAAGTGGTATATATAGAATTCTCTCTGACTTGAAATTTTCCCTTTCTGGACCTCTGGATGCTGAGGCTAAGAGTGTCCATATGACAGTGTCTTCCAAGACAGGAATCAGCAACCTTTTTTTTTTTTTTTTTTTATGTATCAGTAATTCATTCTGTATATTTTAAAAAGTTTTAACCTCTTCTTCCTAGCCCTCCAGTATTTGTTTATAAATTAAAATTTTTCCCAAAGTGTTTTCTGTGAAACAATAGTTCTAAAAGGTGCTCTAAGAAAAGCTAAGTACATGGCAAAATCCAAAGTATATGTTTTATTCATTACATTTGATGAATATTTTTTGTGTGTTTTTTCCTCTCGAGAGGGAGTCTTGTTCTGTCGCTCAGGCTGGAGTGTAGCGGCATGATTTTGGCTCACTGCAACCACTGCCTCCCCGGTTCAAGCAGTTCTCTGCCTCAGCCTCCTGAGTAGCTAGGATTACAGGCACCCTCCACCATGCCCAGCTAATTGTTGTATTTTTAATAAAGATGGAGTTTCACCATCTTGGTCAGGCTGGTCTTGAACTCCTGACCTCATGATCTGCCCACCTCGGCCTCCCAAAGTGTGGGGTTTACAGGTGTGAGCCACCATGCCCGGCCCACATTTGATGAATTTTTTTGTCCTTTGTTCTTTTAAAAATCATGATTGGAAAGCAGAGCATAATTGTTTTTTATGTAGATCCCAACTGATTCGGGGTGTTAGGGAGATATTTTGACATTCAATAAATGTTTTTGTTTTCCATTATTAAGACTATGAATATTTTATTTTATTTTCTGAGACAGGGTCTCAGAATTTGTCAAATATGTAAAATTTATAGCCAGATGTAGGGTGGGGGTGGCCTACTTTCTGTAAAGGGCCAGATAGTAAATATTTTAAGGTCTCAGTGGACCCTATGGTCTCTGTCATAGCCATGGGACCTTGCAGCTGTAGTGCCAGAGTAGCCACAGACAGTACTATGTCAGCGGGCAGGGGACGTTCATTCTGTAAACTTTATTTATGGACACGAAAAGATGAAGTCCACAGAATGTTTGCAAGTCACAAAATACTGTTTTTCTTTTGATTATTTTTCAATTATTAAAAACTATAAAATACGGTGGCCGGGCGTGGTGGCTCACACCTGTAATCCCAGCACTTTTGGAGGCCGAGGCAGGCGGATCACCTGAGGTCAGGAGTTCGAGACCAGCCTGGCCAACATGGTGAAACCCCATCTCTACTAAAAACAAAAAATTAGCTGGGCATGGTGATGCACGCCTGTAATCCCAGCTCCTTGGGGGCTGAGGCACGAGAATCACTTGAACTTGGGAGAATCACTTGAACCTGGGAGGCAGAGGTTGTGGTGAGTCAAGACTCTGTCTCAAAAGAACAACAAAAGTAAAATACTTTCCCTGTTTTCAGACCATACACAAAGAGGCTGTGGGCTGGGTTTGTCCTGTGGGCTGTGGTTAGTGACCCCCCCACCGCCTCCCCCCCACTCCCCCCCCCCCACACACATGTAGGACAGAGTCTGGCCTTTAGAAGCAGCACCTGTGTTCTCACCTGAGCTGTGTTCCTGGCTGGGTTCTATTCTGTATTCTGTGACCCAAGGTGTCTACCTTGGTAAACTGGAGGCTGTTTTAGTTTGCATTCCCACTGGCAATCTGTAACATTTCTCTTGGTCTGTGTCTTTGTTAGCACTTGGTGTTATCAGTGTTTTTTAGTTGAGCCATTCTAACAAGTCTAGTGGGATCTCATTGTGGTTTTAATTTGCAATTCTGTAATGGCTAACAATGCTGAATATCATGTTCTTTTTTGCCACTCTTGTATCCTCTGTGAGTTTCTGTTCAGATCTTTTGCACAGAAAAAGCTGTATCATGGAACCAGTAAAATAACCAAGGAGAGGTTGATTAAAGTTCTGTTTATAACCCTAGAAGATTCCTGCCCTAGGGATATGGGATGGCTGAACGTAGGACACTGACACTGGACAGATGAAATAGCAGTTTATTAGTCACGCATGCTCACAGCCCTGGGGGTGGGGGACACCGCATGCCACACGGGGGCTGCACTTGGGAACAGAGTGAACCACGAGGGGCTGTGGGAGGCACATTTTGTAGTAAGAACAGGGTGAGGTGACCTTGCTTCCCATGGGAAGATGTGACTGGCTTGTTTGAATAACTCTGGGCCGGCAGGGATGAGCAGGCTGGGGTCGGGTTTCCGCGATAAGGAGGTTGTTTGGCTTTGGGATCTTATCCGTGAGAGCAGAGCTCAGGGGAGACCTTGTGGTTAGGCTATTTGAGGCCTTCTTGATTTTACCAATGTCAAGGCAGCACGTAATATTTAGTCTTAATTTCAGGCCACACGAGAAATTCTTCTGTATCTACTTTCCGTGGCACTTTTCAAAAGGTTTTGTCCTTAGTGTTTAGCAGTTGATTATGATGTGCCTCGTCATGGCTTCCTTTGGATTTATCTTGTGTGGGCTTTGTGCAGATTCTTCAGTCTGCCTGGGTTTATGTCATTTGCTGAACCTAGGAAGTTTTCAGCCATTAGTTCTTTGGATATTTTTTTCAGCATTCACCTTTTCTCTCCTGTTATTAACCTGTGGGGTCTGTGCTAATTCTAGGTAGTTAGTTTCAGAATTGAATTGCACTGTGGGACACACAGCTGGATGTCGCAGAGAACTGGAGAATTACTTGGTGCAAAAGTCCATGCATTTGGTGTCAGAAATGTTGTAAACAGAGGAACTGTTTCCTTCGAGATTTTTAGATAGTCATTATTTGTAATCTGGATGGGATATCGTGTCTTTCACCGATTGAGATACATTTTTCTAATTATGTTGTTAGACATTTAGTCACAGCCTTCTGTGATGGAACGTGTTTACACTTCAAGGTTAAGGTTAGTTCTCTCTTCTCTTCGCTTACTGTGTAAGGAGTTTTATGACAGTTGTTTTTGACTGAAACTTGACATTGTCAGTGGCCTAAAGTGATTTTTCTCAGCTTTTCCTTTGTTTCCCAGTGCTCTTGAATTATGCTATCAGTCACAGTGCCTCTGCATAGCAGTGCTTCCCAGTTGGCAGTGGAGTAGGGCCTTGTAAAGAGTTAAAAGATTTTTGAATCATACTCCTGTTCTACACCCTCCCTTTTCCCATGGATACACAAGCATTGGGACTCACTGGATAAAAGCAATTGGTGTGAAATTGAAGTAGGTAAATATCAAAGACTTAAGTTTCTCAGTTGAGAAATGTACTAGGAAGTAGATGGAATATCACTTTGGAAGACATGCTTTAAATAATTTGTTATATTGGTTTCTTTTTTTTTTTTTTTTTTTGAGACAGAGTCTCGCTCTGTCACCCAGGCTGGAGTGCAGTGGTGTGATCTCAGCTCACTGCAAGCTCTGCCTCCCGGGTTCACGCCATTCTCCTGCCTCAGCCTCCTGAGTAGCTGGGACTACAGGCGCCCGCCACCACGGCTGGCTAATTTTTTGTATTTTTAGTAGAGATGGGGTTTCACCGTGTTAGCCAGGATGGTCTCGATCTCCTGACCTTGTGATCCACCCGCCATGGCTTCCCAAAGTGCTGGGATTACAGGCGTGAGCCACCACGCCTGGCCGATATATTGGTTTCTTTATGAAAATTATACTGGGTCTGTTACAGGTATGATTGATGTATTTTATTTTTACGTTGTCCAACATTCAGTTAATGATGTGTGTTGTAACTTTTCGGGGAGGGACATTTGCAGAGACTAATGGTATGGCATTCTGAAAAGCGGTGACAGATTAAAAAATTTTTAATTCTGCAGATGATAGTGTCGAACCAAGTGGAACAAAGAAAGAAGATCTGAATGACAAAGAGAAAAAAGATGAAGAAGAAACTCCTGCACCTATATATAGGGCCAAGTCAATTCTGGACAGCTGGGTATGGGGCAAGCAACCAGGTAATCTTGTGAATTTTGGCACTTTGGAAAGGTTGATCTGACGCTCCCTTTCTAAATAACTTGGATGGATTCTTAGTATTTTTTTGGTAACAATTTTAAAAAAAGTAAATAAAAAATTTAAATATTGTGGTAAAATATACATACCATAAAACTTACCGTTTTAACCATTTTTATGTGTAGAGTTCATTGGCATGAAGTATATTCACATTGTTGCCCAGCCATCACGCTTGACTAATTAGAGACAGAATCTCACTGTGTTGCCCAGGCTGGTCTTATACTCCTGGCTTCAAGGGATCTCCCTGCCTCACACTCCTGAGTTGCTGAGATTTCAGGTGTGAGCCATCGCACCTGGCACTACGTGTAACTGTTTGAGGAAGCAGTAAACTGTTTTCCACAGTGGCTACATTGTTTTATATTCTTGCAGCGGTATACTAAGGTTCCCATTTCTCCACACCCTCACCAACACTTTTTGTTTTCTGATGATAGCCATCCTAATTTGTGTGAGTAGGTACAGCATCTCATTGTTTTGATTTGCATTTCCCTGTTGAGTAGTCATGCTGAGCATCTTTTTACATGCTTATTGACCATTTGTATACATTCACTGGAGAAATGTCTATTCAAATACTTTGCCTGGTTTTTTTTTTTTTTTTTTTTTTTGGAGATGGAGTTTGGCTCTTGTTGCCCAGGCTGGAGTGCAGTGGTGCAATCTTGGCTCATTGCAATCTCCACCTCCCAGGTTCAAGTGATTCTCCTGCCTCATCCTCCCGAGTAGCTGGGATTACAGGTGTCCGCCACCATGCCTGGCTAATTTTTTGTATTTTTAGTAGAGACGAAGTTTCACTATGTTAGCCAGGCTGGTCTTGAACTCCTGACCTCAGGTGATCCACCCACCTTGGCCTCCTAAAGTGCTAGTATTACAGGCATGAGCCACTGCACCTGGCCCTTTTGCCTCTTTTTTTTTTTTTTTTTTTTTTTTTTCCTTTGAGACGGAGTCTTGTTCTGTCGCCCAGGCTGGAGTACAGTGGCGTGATCTTGGCTCACTGCAACCTCCGCTTCCCGGGTTCATGCCATTCTCCTGCCTCAGCCTTCCGAGTAGCTGGGACTACAGGCGTGCACCACCACACCCGGCTAATTCCATTTTTTAATTGAGGTTTTTGTTTTGGGTTATAGGAGTTCTTTATCATGGATGGACTTTCATAATCTCTTCCCTTTATCCAGCCCAGTAAAACCCATACATTTATTCTTTGCTTACTTTTTTTTGTGTAATTCAATTTTTTAAATGTCTAATGCATTTTCATTCCAATTAAAAATATACATAGAATATTTCTTATAAAAATGTATAGATTATAAAAGCAGAAATTTCACCTGACTGCCCACCCCAGTTTCAGCTTTCCTCTAAGAGTTAGCCACTATTATCCCTTCGGTGTGGATATTCAGGGTTTTTTTTCCTTGCATGGACATACATATGTAAATGTACATATATAAAAATAATTTGTGACGCCTGCCATGGTATCTCACGCCTGTAATCCCAGCACTTTGGGATGCTGAGGTGAGAGAATTGCTTGAGGCCAGCAGTTTGCGGCTGCAGTGATCTATGATTGTGCCTCTACACTCCAGCCTGGGTGACAGGGTCTCTGTTTCTTAAAAAAAAATTCGTATTTGGGGTTAATAGTAGTACCTACCTCGTAGGTTATTATAGGATCAGCACAGTAGGCCAGACAAAGTGCGTATGCTATTATCTTGCATGTAGTAAGTACCAGCATGTACTACCTGTTATCCAGAAATGTGCTGAAATGTGCCTTGTATTTTCTCTCTTTCCGTTTGGATCAGTCTTCCCAGAAGTTATCAATTTGAGTTTTTTCAAAGAACCAGTTGTTGGTTTTATTGATTTTGTTTTCTTTTTCATTGATTTCTGCTTTACTCTTTATTATTTCCTTTTTTCTGCTGGCTTTGGGTTCCATTTGCTCTTCTGTCTTTCCTAGTTTCTTAAGGCAAAGGCTTAGATCATTGACTTTAGATTTTTTGTCTTTTCTAACAAGTGTTCAAAACTATAATATAAATTTCCCTCTAAGCATTGTTTAGCCACATTTCACAAATTTGGAAATGTTTATTCATTTTCATCTTCATTCAGTTGAAAATATTTTCTAATTTCCCTTTTAATTTCTTCTTTTACCCGCTTATTATTTGGAAATTGTTATTTCATTTCCAAGTATTTGGGGATTTTCAAATATCTCCTGTTAATTTCTAAATTAGTTGTAGTCAGAGAACATATTCTGTGATTTCAATGTTGAGGCTTGTCTGAAGCCCCAGAATATGGTGTATTCTGTGGAATGTTTCATGCACACATAATAAGAATGTAGCTGTGTGTGGTGGCTCATGCCTGTAATCCCAACACTTTGGGAGGCTGAGGTGGGTGGATTACTTGAGGTCAGGAGTTTGAGACCAGCCTGGCCAACATGGTGAAACCCTGTCTCTATGAAACATACAAAAATTAGCTGGGTGTGGTGGTGGGTGCCTGTAATCTTGATTGCACCCCTGCACTTTAGTCTGGGTGACAAAGCGAGACTACATCTCAAAAAAAAAAAGTGTGTTTTGCTGCTCTGTAAAGCTTAATGAGATCAAGTTGATAGTGTTCAGGTATCCTTGACTTGAAATAATTTTCTGCCTACTTGTTCTATTCACTGTTAGGAGAGGAGTTGAACTAACACACAAGGTTGGCTTACTGCATTAGTTTGACATGAATCTCAGAGATCTTACCCGTACCTGATTATTTAGTAACTTTAAAGATACAAGTTATATCCTCACTTGTGTGCTCAGGCAAAGTGGGGAGAGATGTGGGAGAGTCTGTGCAACTCCTGCAGGTCCGTCCTCTTTGAACCCCGCCTGAGAGATGAGACCTCTCACTGAGGTGTGTTGTCCTCTCACTGAGGTGTGTGGTCCTCTCACTTAGGTGTGTAATCCTCTCACTGAGGTGTGTAGTCCTCTCACTGAGGTGTGTCTTCCTCTCAGATGTGTCGTCCTTTCACTGCGGCGTGTCATCCTCTCACTGAGGTGTGTCGTCCTCTCACTGCACAAGGAGCATTAAGGATGTGCAGTGTTTCCCTTTTGTAGTCAGATAGTTTATACACCTTAGGGAACGTTTTCCAGGGAGCCATGTCCCGTAAGTCCATGGATTTTAGGTATGTTTACCAAACACAATCCTAAACTAACCACATCTTGCTAAAAACATTTCATAGATAAGGACACTTCTCTTAGCGAATACCAGTCATTTATTTATAGAGAAGCCAGTCTCAGCGTTCTGGGGAGATCAGCTCCAGCGACTGGCTTTATTTCCCAGGAGTATCTCCATCGTGCTGGGGAGGCATGAAGAGCAGTTTCACTGCTTAGTTCCTCTTTCTTCTGAGGAGGATTGAAATCTCTCATGCTAATTATGGATTATTTTCTCTCAGCTCTGCAGGTTTTGCTTCATGTATTTGAGAATGTTATAAGGTGCATGCACTTTTAGGATTTTTACATCATATTTGTAAATTTGACCCCCTTTATCTCCAGTGACATTCTTTGTTGTGAAGTCACCTTGGTCTGACTACTCTCCTTTCTTCTGATTTGGTGTTTGCGTGGTGTGTTTGCCAAGTTTAGCTTTTTTCACTTTCAACCTTTGTGTATGTGTAAAGTGCATTTCTTTCAGGTATCATATAATTAGGTCTTGCTTCTTTATTCACCCTGGCAACCTCTGTTTTTTATTTGGAATCTTTAGACTACTTGGGTTTAAATCTATCATCTCTGGCGTTTTCAGTTACATCTTTCACTTGTCACTGTCCACTCTCAAATGGTATTACACTGCCTGAGCTGCGGGGCAGTGCTCTGACTGTAGCTTCCTGCTTCTGACATGTTCTTGGTTGGCAGTGTTGCTGTGTCATGTCCAAGTGAAACATGGTATAAACCCCACAATATGATGTTTTTGTTTTTGCTTTAAATAGGCAATTACATTTTTTCCCCTCAAATTTGAAAAGAGAAAAAAAAGTCTTTTTTTTTTTTTTTTGAGATGGAGTTTTGCTGTTGTTGCCCAGACTGGAGTGTAATGGCACAATCTCAGCTCACTGCAACCTCCCCCACGTGGGTTCAAGCGAGTCTCCTGCCTCAGCCTCCCTAGTAGCTGGGATTACAGGCAGGCACCACCGTGCCTGGCTAATGTTTTTGTATTTTTAGTAGAGACAGGGTTTCACTGTGTTTGCCAGGCTCGCCTTGAACTCCTGACCTTAGGTGATCCACGTGCCTCAGCCACCCTTAAGTGCTGGGATTATAGGATTATAGGTGTGAGCCACCACACCTGGCCTCTTTTTTTTTTTTTTTTTGAGTCGGAGTTTTGGTCTTGTTGCCCAGGCTGCCAGGATGGAGTGCAATGGCATGATCTTGGCTCACTGCAGCCTCTGCCTCCCTCCTGGGTTCAAACGATTCTGGCTCAGCCTCCCGAGTAGCTGGGATTACAGGCATACGCCACCACACCTGGCTAATTTTGTATTTTTGAGTAGAGACATGGTTTCGTCATGTTGGTCAGGCTGGTTTCGAACTCCTGACCTCAGGTGATCCACCCACCTCGGCCTCCCAAAGAGCCACCATGGCTGGCCAGAAAAAAGTTTTTTATGTTAACTTACATTTTACCATTATGGGCCCTTAAGGTTTTGTTTCTGTCCCAGCTGCCTTGTGTTATCGTTTTCCTTCAGTTTGAAGATCTCCCTTTACCGTTTCTAGATCTTCTGACAGAGAAGTTTTTCAGTCTGTCTGGGTATCAATTTTGGCTTTATCTCTGACTCTACACAAATCACTTTGTCTCACCTTGGGCCTCTCATGTATAAAGTAGGAATAAGTGGCTGGGAGCAGTGGCTCACGCCTAATCCCAGCACTTTGGGAGGCTGAGGTGGGTGGATCATGATGTCAGGAGATCGAGACCATGCTGGCTAACACGGTGAAACAGCGTCTCTACTAAAGATACAAAAAAATTAGCTGGGCGTGGTGGTGGGCACCTGTAGTCCCAGCTACTCGGGAAGCTCAGGCAGGAGAATGGCGTGAACCCAGGAGGCGGAGCTTGCAGTAAGCCAAGATTGCACCACCACTCTAGCCTGGGTGACAGGGTGAGACTCCATCTCAAACCAAAAAAAAAAAAAAAAAAAGAGGAATAAGTATAATATAATGTAAATAATTAAAATTATATATAAAATAAGTGAAAGTACTTAGAGAGTTGCTGTGCAACTGACATGAAGTAATGCATTTGAAGCTCCTAAGTCAGTGCCTGGCACAAATGTTTGATAAAGATTTGTTGTGATTTTAAAAATCTGTTGTTTTGCCTTTCTCCTTGTTTCCCCTCACCTAGGTATCAAAGTACCTACAGTTATGGGTAGGTAACTAGACCCGAAATACACCTTTCTTGCTCAGATTAAAGCCCAGCTTATTGACTCAGGGTGGCTTTAATGAAGAGGGTTTACTTGGAAGCTCTGCTTGCTCACAGGTACAGAGCTTTCGCAGAACCGACTCTCTACCTGGCAGCCTTGAAGGGGCTTGGATTCAAAGCATATTCTTGAGCCACTCCATCTTTAATCAAACTGCAGGTGGAATTTGTAGCTATTAGAATAGCTCCTATTCCTTTCATTTCTTTTTCTGTTTTTTTGCTCTTCCATCTCAGCCTAAAAAGAAAAACACATTAATTTGAGCCATAGGAATTTAGAATTTGTTTTTTCTTTTGCTTAGATATGTTTGACTAAAGCTTCCTTTTTCACAGGTTTATTTTTTTCCAACGTTTTATTATGAAAAAAATTATACAGAAAAGTTGAAAGAATTTTACAGCGCGCACGCACATATTCACCACCTGAGACTGTGCCGCTGGCATTATCCCACGTGCTTTATCACCGCTCTCTCCACTTTTTTGTCCCTCTATTCATCCATCAGTCCCTCACATTTTTTTTGCAATGTTTCCAAGGAGACCTCTGGACACTTGCTTCTCAACATTGCAGCGTGTAGGCCCTCAGCAGGAGTTCAGAAGTGCACATTTCACAGTGAACCTTCTGAGAGTGTTGACAGATCACAGCTTTTCTTTTTGTCTAATGAAAAGGGCTTGCTGGCCATTGGGTGTTGTAATCTTTTAGGGGAGTAAACTCTTAGTAACTATCTAAATCATTCTTAATGATTCTCTCTGCCGTGTAAATAGGTCTGGGAGGACCCTTTCTGACATTGTTTTTGGCATAGGTTTTAGCTTAAGGTGTTGTAAATGCTGTTTATCAAGATGATGAAGTTCCCGTTTGTTGCTATTTTCTGAGAATTTTTATCATTCATGAGTATTGAATTTTGTCATTTGCTTTTTCTAAATCAATTGATATGTAATTATGTGATTTTTGTTCTTTAGCCTATTAATAGGGTGGGTTACATTGATTTTTGACTGTTGAACCCACTTTACATTCCTGGAATGAAACTACTTGGCAATGATGTGGAATTCTTTTTATATATTGTTTAATTCTACTTGCTAATAATTCGCTGTATATTTTTGTGTCTCTGTATATATATTGTTCTGTACTTTGTACTGTCTTTAGGTACAGTACCTAATATTAGCTTCTTAAAATGTTAATATTAGCTTCTAATATTAGCTTCTTAATATTAGCTTCTATTAGCTTCTAATATTAGCTTCTTAATATTAGCTTCTAATATTAGCTTCTTAATAGTAGCTTCTTAAAATGAATTGGGAAGTTTTTCCTCTTCTAGTTTCCAGAAGAGATTGTTTTGAGTCCGTGTTAATTCTTTTTTAATGTTTGATGGAATTATCCAGTGAGTTCATTTGGGTCTGGTAATTTCTTTTTTTTCGGATTCTTTGAATTATGAATTCAGTTTTCTTGATAGTGGTAGGGCTATTCAAATGATCTATTTTATATTTGGTGAGTTGTGGTAATTTGTATTATTTGAGGAATAAGTCCATTTTGCCCAAGTTGTCAAAGTTACATGTGTAGAGTTGTTCCTAGTAATTCCTAATTATCTTTTTTGGTATCTTTAGAGTCCGTTTCATCACTAATGTTGGTAATTTATGTCTTTTTTTTTTTTTTTTGTCAGTCATGCTTAGAGAGGTTTGTCAGTTTTATTGATCTTATCAAAGAACCAGCTTTTTGCTTTACTGTTTATTGGTTTTCTGTTTTCACTTTGTTTCTACTCTTTCCTTAATTATTTCTTCTTTTCTGCTTACTTTTGGGTTGATTTTGCTATTTTTTTTTTCTTTTAGGTTGTCGAGGCGGGCACTTATATTATTGATTTGTTTCCAAGTTTCTAATATATCATTTATTTAGTGCTGTAAATTTCTCATCACCCACTGTAGCTCTTTCCCATGCATTTTGATGTATTGTACTTGCATTTTCTCTCAGTTCAGAATATATTTTAAAATTTCCCTTGAGACTTCCTCTTTGATCCATGGATTATTTAGAAGTTTATTGTTTAGTTTCTGAGAGTTAGGCAATTTTCCTGTAATTGTTCTCTTGTTGACTTCTAATTTGTTTCCATTGTTTGAGGGAACATATGCTGTGTGATTTTAATTTCAAAAAATTTGTTAGGTTTGTTTTATGCCTCAGAATATGTTCTAACTTAGTATTTGTTTTGTGGATGCTTGAACAGATTATGTATTCTGCTGTTATTGGCTGGAGTGTTCTGTAAATTTTGATTGGATCCAGTTGATTGATGGTGATGTTGAATTCTATATCTTGGCAGCTTTTCTGTCTTCTAATTTTATCAGCTGTAGAGAGAGACTTTGAGGTCTCCAACTATAAAAGTATAAATGTCTTTTTCTCCTTTCAGTTCTATTCATTGTTTCTTTGTTTGTTTGGTGTATGCACGTTTTGAATTGCTGCGTCTTAATGGTGGATTGACCAAGTTCTCATTTTGTAATGTTGCCATCTGTTCCTGGTAATTATCTTTTTTTTTTTTTTTTTTTTTTTTTTTTTTCCGAGACGGAGTTTCGCTCCTTTTGCCCAGGCAGGAGTGAAGTGGCACGATCTCAGCTCACTGCAACCTCCAACCCCACCGGGTTCAAGTGATTCTCCTGCCTCAGCCTCCTGAGTAGCTGGGATTATAGGCATCTGCCATCACACCTAGCTACTTTTTGTATTTTTAGTAGAGATGGGGTTTTGCCATGTTGGCCAGGCTGGTCTCAGACTCCTGAGATCCACCCACCTTGGCCTCCCAAAGTGCTAGGATTACAGGCGTGAGCCACTGTGCCCGGCCTTCCTGGTAATTATCTTTGCTCTGAAGTTTACTTTATTTGATATAAATGTAGCCAACTTCTGCTGTCCTTTCAGTAATGTTTGCATGATCTTTTTTTTTTTCTATACTTCTATTTTCAGTTTGCCTGTTTGAAGTCACTTTCTTATGGACAACATATAGTTGGATCATGTTCTCTAGTCTGCTCTCCTGGTGTCTTTTAATTGATGCATTTAGACTGTTTACATTTAATTTAATGTCATTATTAGTAAACTGAGGCTTAACACTGCCATTTTGTTTTGTATTTTCTATTTCTTCTGTTTTTCATTTTTTCGGTTTGGTTCTTCCTGGCTCTCTGTGGTTTACTTGACCATTTTTAGCATTCTATTTTATCTGTAGTGTTTTAGAGTGTATCTTTTTGTATAGCTTCTTTAGTGGCTTTTCTAGGTAATATGTTACATACAGATTGAGCATCTCTAAACCCAAAATCCAAAATCTGAAATGCCCCAAAATTTGAAACTTTTTGGCACTCCAGCATGATGCCCCCAAATTGAAAATTCCATTCATAAGTACTTAGCACGAACTTTGTTTCATGCACAAAATTATTAAGCATGCTGTATAAAATTACCTTCAGGCTCTGTGTATAAGTTATATATAAAACATAAATGAATGTATTTAGACTTGGGTCCTATCCCCAAAATATCTCATTATTTATATGCAGATATTCCTAAATCTGATACAAATCTGAAATTTGGAACACTTGTGCTCCTGAGCATTTTATAAGGGACACTCAACCTGTGTATATATGAACACTTATCAGATTGTACCTGGTGTTGTCATTTACCAGCTTCAGGGATATAGAAACTACCTCCCTTGACGTTCCTTTATGTTCTCCTGTTCATAACATACTTGCCTTAAATATTTCATTTACTTACATTGATAACCACATATGACAATGTTATAATTTTTGGTTGAACCTTCAGACGTAATTTAGCAAAGTCAAGAGGTGAGGGAAAAGTCTATTGTATTTATGCGTTGGTGTGCTTGTCATCTCCTCCTTCCAGAAGTTCCAGGGTTTTCTTTGATGGTTGCCATTCTGCTTAGAGAACTTCCATTAGCCTTTCTTTTGGTGTGGGTCTTCTGGTGACAAATTCTGTTTCACTTCCTCTGAGAATGTTTTGCTTTCCTTTTCATTCCTGAAGGACATTTTTGCTGGATATAAGAATTCTGGGTTAATGGTTCTTTTCATTGTTTAAAAAATATTTTGTACTTTCAGCTGGGCTCCATGGTTTCTGATGAGAAATTCGCTGTCATTTGACTTGTTAATGCACGATAGTTAAGGCAGTTTTTGTTTAGTGGCTTTTGAAATGTTTTGTCTTTTGTTTTTTGGAGTTTGATTATTGTATGTCTTAGTTTGGATTTCTTTGGGTTCATCCTGTTTAGGGTTTGCTTACCTAAGATCTGTAGATTTATGTCTCTTGCCAAATTTGGGAACTTTTAAGCCATCACTTCGTAGAGTACAGTTTCAACCCCACCTTCTTTCTCCTGTCCCTTCGTGAGTTCAGTGACTGGAGTTGTTATAGTCCCATAGGTCCCCAAGACTGGTTTTTTTTTTTTTTTTTTTTTTTTTTTGCTGGGACATTTCTTTCTCTCTTCCCTTCCCATCCCGTCCCATCCAGTCCCGTCCCGTCCCATCCCTTCCTGTCCCTTCCCATCCCTTCCCGTCCCTTCCCATCTTCGGAGTCTCTCCCTGTTTCCCAGGCTGGAGTGCAGTGGACGTTCTCGGCTCACTGCAACCGCCGCCTCCCTAGTTCGAATGATTCTTCTGTCTCAGCCTCTCGAGTAGCTGGGATTATAGGTGCCCGCCACCATGCCCAGCTCAGTTTTGTATTTTTAATAGAGATGAGGTTTCACCATGTTGGCCAGGCTGGTCTCAAACTCCTGACCTTGTGATCCGCCTGCCTCGGCCTCCGAAAGTGCTGGGATTACAGCTGTGAGCCACCGTGCCCTGCCTTGGGGGCATGTATTTCTTCTGTGTTATTCACATTGGATAACTTCTATCTTCTATGTCACTGATTCTTTGCCCTTTTTCCTCCATTCTACTGCTGTGTCCATTCACTGAGCTTTTTATTTTGGTTATTGTATTTTTCAGTTCTAAACTTTCTATTTGGTTTCTTTTTTTTGTCTTCCTTTTCTTGTCTTAGGCTTTCTATTTTTTCATTTATTTCACATGTGTTTGTAATTGCTTGTTGAAGCCTTTTTATCGTGACCGTTTTTAATTATTTGCCACATTATTCCAACATCTTTCATCGTGGTATTTCTATAACTGTTTAAAATTTGGTTTTAGATCTTCCTGGTTCTTGGTATCATGAGTGACTTTCTCAATAGAACATGTTGTTAGGCGACTCTAGGTCTTACTTAAATCTTCTGTGTAAGTGGTTAAATCTTTCTGTGACCCTGCTCTGGCAGGGATAGGGCGTGCTTCACCTCATCGCTGGCAGCTGGAGACGAAGTCCAGGCTTCCCACTTTGCCTAGAGGCCCCTGGTTACTGTGAGGCAGGGGTAGGAGTTCTGACTCCCCAGTGGTGTCCATGGTTTGTGTATTTTCTCACCCACTGTTTCAGAGTGTACATGACTGATGGACTGGGCAGTCAGGATTGCGACGGAATAAGCAGGAGGGTGTCAGGGAGAAGGGCACGTGGGTGCTCAAGGGCAGAGCTGCCCTCTTGGAGCTTTGGGGTTGTTTCTGGGCTCTGCAGCCAAGCAGAAGGGAGATGTATTATTTAAAAGCGGCAAATGCAGTGACTCTTCAGGAAGGGCTTAGCCCTTGAAGTGCTGGGCCAGCTCCTTGCCTGAAGGGTGGCTCGGTGGGGATGCCCTGAGAAGGGCAGGGGCACTGCTTTACCTTTCAGTCTTTCACTTCTCCATCTTGAGCCCAGTGTGCAATTCAGTATTCTTCATGTCGTTTTAAATAACTATTAGCTCTTAGCTGCAAAGCTCCAGGTCTCACATCCTACTGCTGGTGCTGGGCACAGTGTGCGCCACCCTGTGCCTTTCCAGGGAGTGGTGAGATGTTTCTCTCTACTGCCTTCTAAGGCCCTCCTGTCCCGTGGAGAGCATATCCAGGTAGTGGGTAGCCAGAAAACTGATGTCTTCTGCACAAGGGGAGGCAGCCAGTAGGGGTGTTGCTATTACCTGTGAGGATCCAGGGCTGCGAGGCTGGTGGCTGCTGGCCTCCAGGCTAGTAAGCAGCAGAGAGGCAAGCACAAAAGAGACCAGCTCTCACCTCGCCACTGGGAGCTGTGCTGTTAGAGGGGATTGGTGGGAGGTAACTTACAATTCCCTTATAATGATCTGTGCTCTGAGGCAGACACATGCTTAATTGAAAGACCAGAATCCTTTGAATTATTTTCAGTCCTGTGATTGCCTTCTAGCTACTTACAAAACACTTGTTAGTATGGAAATTTTCAAAGATACATAGAAGAAGAGAGAATAATATAATGAAATATCACTTACTCACTAGTTAGAATGTGTATTCTAACTTGTTACTTTATCTTCCTCTAAAATATGTCCATAAATGTGCTTCATGAGTCATGCATGCTGGGTAATTTTATCAAGACATCGTTTTTATATTGAATTTGGTTTTGTAACATGAAAATAATGGCTAGTGTTTTTCTCTGTTTAGGAGATGTGCTGCTGATAAATATTGACTAATATTGACTTCAAAGTTCTGTGTTAGTAACTTTTTTTTTTGGGAGACAGAGTCTCACTCTGTCACCCAGGCTGGAGTGCAGTGACAAAATCTCAGCTCACTGCAACCTCCTCCTCCTGGGTTCAGGCAATTCTCGTGCCTCAGCCTCCTGAGTAGCTGGAATTCCAGGCGTGCGTCACCACACTCGGCTAATTTTTGTATTTTTTTTTTAGTAGAGAAGGGGTTTCACCATGTTGGCCAGGCTGGTCTCGAACTCCTGACCTCAAGTGATCCACCTGCCTTGGCCTCCCAAAGTGCTGGGATTCCAGGTGTGAGCCACTGTGCCCGGCCAACTTCTTTTGTATGATGTTTCCATAGAGAGAGGCAGTGTGCCATGGTGGCTCAAGAGTCTCTGTCATGTGCCGCACTCCTCTGTGTGGCCTCGGACAAGTTGCTTAACCACTTGGTGCCTCAGTTTCTTCATCCATAAAATGGATGGACAGCACTGCTTGACAGTGCTGGGTGTGAGGGTTGCCTGAGCTCATGTGTGTAAAGTGGTTAAAACCATTATTGCCACATATCATGCCTTCGAGTACTACCTGTCGTCATCATCCATTTTCTCAACATTGCAACAAACTGTGGCCACATTGTCCACAGGTGAGATGTTTTCTTGTCTTATTTTCTAGATGTGAATGAACTGAAGGAGTGTCTTTCTGTGCTGGTTAAAGAGCAGCAGGCCCTGGCCGTCCAGTCAGCCACCACCACCCTCTCAGCCCTGCGACTCAAGCAGAGGCTGGTGATCTTGGAGCGCTATTTCATTGCCTTGAATAGAACCGTTTTTCAGGAGAATGTCAAAGTTAAGTGGAAAAGCAGCGGTATTTCTCTGCCTCCTGTGGACAAAAAAAGGTAACAATAAAGCGAAGAAAGAATCCTGATGCCAGTTAAATATAAAATTCAGACTGTTTTGTTTCAGAAAGTTTAAGGTTTTCAATATAGGCTGTCTTCACCTTCTGAAATTTATTCTTGCTTTCCCTTTTTGTATGTTTTGTATAATCTGGAGAATGGATTTGCCAATTTGCTCATGTAGTAATAGACCATGCTGTGTAATCTGTGCCATTATTTTATTTTATTCAATAAAATTTTTCTTTTCTTTTTTTTGGAGAGACAATGTCTTGCTCTGTCACCCAGGCTGGGGTGCAGTGGTGTAATCATAGCTCATTGTAACCTTGAACTCCAGGGCTCTAGTGATCCTCCCGCCTCAGCCACCTGAGTAGCTGGGACTACAGGCACATGCCACCATGCCTGGCTAAATAAAAACAATTTGTGTGTGTGTGTGTGTGTGTGTGTGTGTGTGTGTGGAGATGGGGTCTTGCTCCTGGCCTCAAGTAATCTTCCTGCTTCAGCCTCTCAGAGTACTGGGATTACAGGCATGAGACACTGCGCCTGGCTCTGTGTCATTATTGTAAAGACATTTTTCTGTCAGTAACTGTGGAAGCCAGCCACAGCTTTAGATCAGCTCAAGTATAAATTGGAAAATGAGTTCTGAACGTTGTATACGTTTTATTTTGTTTTGCTGCTGGGTAGGAGATAGATTGTAATGTTTAATGCCCAACTAGTTTAGATGCTTCATGTTTTTCCTTCCTAATGTGATTTTCTTATTCTTTTATTACAAGAGTTGCTTTTGGGCTGGGTGTGGTGGCTCACGCCTGTAATCCCAGCACTTTGGGAGGCCTGAGGTGGGCGGATCACCTCAGGTCGGGAGTTGGAGATCTGACCAACATGGAGAAACCCCATCTCTACTAAAAATAAAAAAATTAGCCGGGGCTTGGTGGCTCATGCCTGTAATCCCAGCTACTTGGGAGACTGAGGCAGGAGAATTGCTTGATCCCGGGAGGTGGAGGTTGCGGTGAGCGGAGATTGTGCCAGCCTGGGCAACAAGAATGAAATTCTGTCTCAAAAAGAAGCAAAAAAAAGAGATGCTTTTGGGCATATGAGTTTTAATTTGTTGATGCCTGTTAATGTATCACAGATTTCCACTATTTGCTAACAGCCACTAGAATGTTTAAGGCTTATGTAAATTTGTACTTTTCCAAAATGAAGCTATCAGACTTTTGTCCTCAGAAGGTTAAACTACAAGACTGCCAGATGAAACTTATATTTTGTGTTAGGAGTGCTGGCTTTATTTGACTGTGATAGTGACTTTGACTCCCTGGAGAGAGCACATAGAAGGTACGGGAGGCAGAAAGAAACAAGAGCAAAACCCTGATCGTCTTGCTCCCCAGAGACAGGAGCGGTACTTGTAGCTTGTTTCCTTGTTTTCTTATGTTTTAATTTTTGTGTTTGTTTTCCTTTTTTGTTTCCTTATGTTTAAATATAGTTGAAATCACATTACAGTTGGCTCTCTGTGTCTGTGGGTTTCACATCCACAGATTCAACCAACTATGGATCGAAAATATTGGAAGAAAAGCAATAAAAAACAACACAACAATAAAAAAATACAAAGAAAAAACAATACAATATAACATCTAATTCCAGAGCATTTACCTTGTATTGGGTGTTATAGTAATCTAGAGATGATTTTTTTTTGTTTGTTTGTTTTGACATGGGGGTCTCACTGTTGCCCAGGGCAGTGGGGCCATCATGGCTTCCTGCAGCTTTGACCTCCTGGGCTCAAGTGATTCTCCCACCTCAGCCTCCCAAGTAGCTGGGACTGCAGGCGTGTGCCACAATGCCTAGCTAATTTTTGTATTTTTTGTAGAGCTGAGGTCTCACTGTGTTGCCCAGGCTGGCCTCGAGTGATCTGCCTGCCTTGGCCTCCCAAAGTGCTGGGATTACAAGCATGAGCCACCATACCTGGCCAATTTTTTTTTTTTTTTAATTTGTATAGATTGGGTTTTGCCATGTTGCCCGGGCTGGTCTTGAACCCCTGGGCTCAAGCAACCCTCTCGCCTTGACCTCCCAAAGGGTTGGGATTATAGGTGTGAGCCACTGTGCCTGGCTGAGATGATTTAAATTATACTGGAGGATGTGCACAGGTTATATGCAAATACTACACCATTTTATATCAGGGACTTGAGCATCCTAGGGTTTTGGTATGGAGCCAGGGTGGGGCAAGCCTGGTACCAATCCCCTACAGATACCAAGGGACGACTGTACATGTTGTATTTTTGAAAATAGTTTTAGGGTAAATTAAACCAAGAGACAGATGAGATTCCTACCCATTTGGTAATAGGAGTGCCATGGTTCTTTCTTCCTTCCTAACCGGCTGTGATGGTCATGAATCAGTGTTATGTACGGGTCGGCGGTAGGTGCTAAGATTGTCCAAGCACTGTTGTGTGTTTGTCGAATCAAACTGAATTCCCTCAGCTGCAGAAATGGCTGAGAGCCCAGCTGATTTTTCTCTGCTGTTTCCTTTGTGATGACTTAGGGTTGGTGAATTAATTGGAATGTATCTTTCATTAAGTGGAAGAATTCCTAAAATTTTAAAAAAGCCCCTTTTTTTTTTTTTTTAGATAATTGTGGATTCACATACAGTTGTAAGAACCAGTATAGAGATTCCTTGTACTGTTCGTCCCGTTGCCCTCAATGGCAGTTGCAAACTGTGACACAGTCATCACAACGAGGGTGTTAATTTTGATAGCCTGCCTATCTTATTCAGATTTTCCCAGTTTTACATGCTCTCAATTGTGTGTGTATTTCTTTGCAATTTTTTCAGGTGTGGATTTTCTGAGACCACCACTGCAATTGGTACATGGACAAGGGCCCTTTATACCCACATTCACGTCTTCTCTCCCCACCTTAACTGCTGGCAACCACTCATCTGTTCTGTGTGCCTATTATGTGATTTTTTGACATTGGCTTTTAAATTTTTTATTATTGTTATTATTATAATTTTTGGAGACAGGGTCTCACCCTGATGCCCACAAGCTGGAGTGCAGTGATATAATCATAGCTCACTGCAGCCTCAAACTCCTGGACTCAAGCAGTCACCTCATTTCAGCTTCCTGAGTAGCTGGGACTACAGATGCATGACACCACACCCAGCTCATTTTGTATTTGTAGAGACTGGGGTCTTGTTGTGTTTCCCAGGCTTGTCTGGAACTCCTGGCCTCAAGCAATATTGACTTTTTTCACTCAGCACAATCCCCTTAACATTTTCCCAAAGGGGTCATTGCATGTATCATTATTTTATTATGGCTGAGTAGTTTTTTTTTGTTTTTGTTTTTGTTTTTTTTTTGAGACAGAGTCTCGCTTTGTCGCCCAGGCCAGGCTGGAATGCAGTGGTGCGATCTTGGCTTACTGCAACCTCTGCCTCCCAGGTTCAAGCAATTCTGCCTCAGCCTCCCATATAGCTGGGACTATAGGCATGCACCACCACACCCGGCTAATTTTTGTATTTTTAGTAGAGATGGGGTTTTGCCATGTTGGCCAAGCTGGTCTCAAACTCCTGACCTAAAGTGACTGGCCCACCTCCTCTGACCACACTTGGCCCATGTGCTTTCTCTTGTAAGGACTGTGTGTCCTGTTACATGTCTGTGTCTTGTCATGTTCGTATTTCTCATTTAGGAGCAAAGATTTCCATCTTCCAGGTACCCAGTGCCCTTCTCAGAGGTTCTTGTGTTTCCTCTCTGAGCTCCCGGTGCATTATTCAGGCACTTGTGGATAAGCGTGTACTGTTGCCCCTGGCCAGCCGTGTTCTTCATTGCCATTTTTATTACATATTGTATCTTGGGGAGATCCTTCTATAACAACCCTCTTTTTTTTTTTTTTTTTTTTTTTTTGTTTTTTGAGATGGAGTCTTGCTCTGCCTCCCAGGCTGGAGTGCAGAGGTGCGATCTTGGCTCACTGCAACCTTTGTCTCCCAGGTTTAAGTGATTGTCCTGCCTCAGCCTCCGAGTAGCTGGGACTACAGGCACCCGTCACCACACCTGGCTAATTTTTGTATTTTTAGTGGAGACAGGGTTTCGTCATATTGGCCAGGCTGGTCTTGAACTCTGTATCACCTGTTTTTATAGGATTTCCCCTGATCATGAAAGCAAATTTTAGTAAATTTGGAGAATATAGTTTATAGTAGCAATACTGTAATATTAGAAACATGATATAGTATAAAGTATAACATACAATTACTTGCTGTGCATGATTGAGTTGAGATTATATATGCATTTTTATTTTATTTTATTTTATTTTTTTTGAGATGGAGTCTTGCTCTGTCTCGCAGGCTGGAGTGCAGTGGCGCGATCTTGGCTCACTGCAAGCTGCACCCCCCAGGTTCACACCATTCTCCTGCCTCAGCCTCCCCTATATATGCATTTTTGTATTCTAGCCTTTTCTCTCTTGTACAGGATGATTTTTATGGTGTACCATATGCATAACCTTTTAGAACATGCAGAATGAAACTGTGACTTGTGAAATTAACATACACAAGTAGTGAAAAGCTTAAATAGACACAGGAGGGTGATGAGCACCACCGTCAGAAGAGGGCAATGCCCCATAGGGTGGGTCAAGCACGCAGGGCTTCACCCGCGGCCAGGAGCAGACCTCGAGTGGAGGACGCCGGAGCTGGGGCGAGCCAGGCTACCCTCTGCGGCTCTGCTGCTCTTCTTCCAGCTCTTCTCCGGCCTGGTCTCCCATGTGGGGTTTATTCTCCCTCCGTTTATGTATTTATCTCCTTATCGTCTGCTTCCTCCCAGTAGAATCTCACTTTGGGAGGTCATTTCTTGAGCATTTTCCCAAGACATTTAAAATTCCTTATACATTTCTTTGATTCTTAAAGAGAAAACTTTTCCTTTACAAAAGACATTTGATGAAAGTTGTTAAACAACAAAACGAAAAATCCACTTGTGATCCTGTCACTTGAAGAAAACCATTGGTCGGATTTTGGTACACACCCTTTCATAGTATTGATTTTATGTAGTATCTGCACCCTCTGCTGCTGACTGGTTGTATGTTCCGTGTGTGTCGTCTGCAGTTCCCGGCCTGCGGGCAAAGGTGTGGAGGGGCTCGCCAGAGTGGGATCCCGAGCGGCGCTGTCTTTTGCCTTTGCCTTCCTGCGCAGGGCCTGGCGATCAGGTACGGTCCCTGGTGTGGCGCGTTGTTCTGCTTCCCTAATACATCAACAGACTGGGTTTCGAACTCGGTTCAGCCACCATGTGCCCTTTGGCTGATCCCATGTGCTCTCTGTGCCTCAGTTTCCTTGCTTGTGAGATGAGAGGCTGCAGAGGCTGTTTGGCTTTTCACATCTGTGCTTTAAAGAAAAAAAAGAGAGTGTATGCACCCCCACCCCCACGTCAACCACTACCATGGAACACCTGAGTACAGACTTAATTCTAGAAGGACAAGAAGTTAGTGTATTGCTCATGTGACAGCCGTGAAACACAGAATTGACTGGAGCAGCTGCGCTAGATTTTGGCCTGTTGAGTGAGGGATTGGAAAGGTGACAGTGGCGTCATCTCTCGCTGAGGGGTGGGAAGCCCAGCGGGAGAGTGAGGGGAGTGGGGGGGCTCCTCTGACGCGTGTGTGCGCCCAGGCGAGGATGCGGACCTCTGCAGTGAGCTGTTGCAGGAGTCCCTGGACGCCCTGCGAGCACTTCCCGAGGCCTCGCTCTTTGACGAGAGCACCGTGTCCTCTGTGTGGCTGGAGGTGGTGGAGAGAGCGACCAGGTTCCTCAGGTCCGTCGTGACGGGGTGAGTTCTTTCCTTTCTTGCCTTCTGCACGCAGACAGCTGGCCTGCTTGAGGCTGGTTCTTACCACCCTTGCTTTAGAGCTAAGAAGCCTAGTAGGTTGGTTTTTCACCTGTTTTCAGCGGGCTGTCAGTGCTGTGATTCCGGGTCTGGGTTCTCAGCTTTTCAGGCGATTTGATTTATGATACTCTGACTAGACCCAGGAAGCTGTGATACTAAATGAGACGGATGAGAGAGAATGCTTAGAGATTTGGCCATCAGTCATTCGTAGAGGTTTGAGTGCTTACACTGTGTGTCTCTCTGTGATGATTAGGAGCTGCTGTTCTGAGTGCGGAGTGGTGCTTGGTTTGAAGTCTTATAGATAATGTGGGAGTAAACAACTACTCAAGATCAAATTCTTTAGTCCTGTAGCTGATCTTTTTAGTGTAAAAAATTTTGAATAGGAATCATTTGTGTGTAAGAAAAACATGAACTCTGGTCTTGGGTGCTATGCATTTTTGTTAAGGTTTTTAAATTTAAAGAAAATATAAAATTCAACAGGAAGGACAGATGCAGAGGGAAAGTGAGGCCACTCCTCACTCTCCTTGCAGAGGTCAGCACTGTGCCTTCTTGCAGCCAGCAGGAGGCCTTTGGCGTTTGCGTCCCCGGCTCTGAGTCCACTTCCTGAGCCGGCTGGTGAAGGCATCACCACAGAGTTTTAACGCTGGAGGCCCTGAGCATAGGCTTGGAGTTGATTTCACAAATTCAGCTGTAATATTGATACCATAAGATCCTTTCTCTGCAGTCTTAGGATAGAATTTTAGAAAATTTATTATTGAGTAACATAGAAAAGTTAAAAATATTTCATTGATCAGAGATAGAAATTAGTGTTGACATTTTGCCTCCAGATTCTAAGGTGGTTTTAGAAATTGGTTCTTTAATTCTGTAGATAAATGCTGATACTGGTATAGTCTTATACGTCATTGAAACTGGAAAAGATAGCTAGATATTCTTCTACTTATGTTTTTGATAATGAGATAAATTATTTTATGCTTCATATACATGGAGTATGTCATCTACTGTAATATAGTATCTGAGTGAACACTTTAAATAAAATATAGTTGTGTAAGCTAATTGTACACTTATAATCTCTGAATAAATTTGAGTAGCAAGTATCAGAAACTTGATCCTAAATATTAAAAATACATCCTTCCTTTGGAGGGAGCGTGTAGTAAATGTGTTAGTGTGATTGTAAGCATGCTGTCTTTCTGGAGGTTGCTTTGTTCCTGCATCCACTGCTTTCATTTCAGGGATGTTCACGGAACGCCAGCCACCAAAGGGCCAGGAAGCATCCCCCTGCAGGACCAGCACTTGGCCCTGGCCATCCTGCTGGAGCTGGCTGTGCAGAGAGGCACGCTGAGGTGAGGGCTGCCGCAGACGGGAACGCTTTGGGGAAGCGCCTGTGTATGGAAATACCTGTTGCATTGTGTGTGTTTCACTGAATCGTTTGTGACCGCAGCAGATGTGGTACTCTGTACGGAGAACCATGTCCCAGGGCTCTCTCTCTTTACCTTTTCTTCACTTCCTGTTTTATGCTCAGTGTTCTAGCCTGGGAACTGTTCTTTTTTTTTTTCTTTCAGTTTTCTTCATTTATTTATTTTTATTCCATGAATTTAAGATCCTAGAACTTTCATGTAAATGTGCTCTTTGAGCTTCTTAACTGGTCTTTCTTATGAGCAGAAGGCGATGTCTTGTGCTAAAGTCTTGGTGTCAATTCAGTGATTTAATTACCACGGCTTTAGTTTAGTTTCCTTTCAAATCCCAAGTATTTGTTCACTTCTATCCAGCTATTTGCTTTTATTTTTGATCAACTGTGAAGAAAAGAAGTTAATCTGTTTTTACTAGAATAAATATCTTTTCTCCTTTAGCCAAATGTTGTCTGCCATCCTGTTGTTGCTTCAGCTGTGGGACAGCGGGGCACAGGAGACTGACAATGAGCGTTCCGCCCAGGGCACCAGCGCCCCACTTTTGCCCTTGCTGCAAAGGTTCCAGAGCATCATTTGCAGGAAGGATGCACCCCACTCCGAGGGCGACATGCACGTGAGTGTCATGATGGAACTTTGTGTTTAGGTGGCACTCGAGTCTAGTTACTTTTAAAGCAAGACTAGCATGCATGTCAACGGCAGTGTTTTTCTCTGGCGTGTGTGTGTTTGGTGGTAATAGCAGCGAGTCAGATGAGACAGGTGTGGGAGGTCACTTGTTTGTGGAGAAGACTCGGATCAGTGAGCACTGACTTCCTTGTCAGCACAAAACCAAGCTTGAAACATTCACTTTTAAATAAATACCAGAAAAGAACAACGAAAATAGCGGCCTGCTTTGTTGGTCCTTCCTATGTACTGGGCTCTGTGCAGGGCACGTCACCTGAGCTGTCACTCTGTTTGGTACCAGCTCCCGCCTTAACAGGTGTGGACAACAAGCTGAGGGAGGAGCAGGCGTGCGGGGCCCTGGGCCTAAACCTCCAGGACTGCTGGTCTTTACATGTCAAGTACAAGTTGGATTTTGCCAGTCTTTTTGGGAAAGTCTTAGGCATTCCAATATCGTGCTTTGGTTTAATTTTTCTATTATTGGCAGTCTTTTTTTTTTCCTTAGATGGAGTCTTGCTCTGTCGCCCAGGCTGGAGTGCAGTGGCGTGATCTCGGCTCACTGCAAGC
Organism: Homo sapiens; assembly: GCF_000001405.40. Taxonomy (NCBI): domain Eukaryota; kingdom Metazoa; phylum Chordata; class Mammalia; order Primates; family Hominidae; genus Homo; species Homo sapiens. The sequence goes on along the minus strand of NC_000015.10, from coordinate 28,271,603 downwards.
TGGGCCTCCTGGGTTCACACCATTGTCCTGCCTCAGCCTCCCGAGTAGCTGGGACTACAGGCGCCCACCACCAAGCCCAGCTAATATATTTGTATTTTTAGTAAAGATGGGGTTTCACCATGTTACCCAGGATGGTCTCGATCTCTCGACCTTGTGATCCGCCTGCGCCTGCCTGGCCCTCCCAAAGTGCTGGGATTACAGGCGTGAGCCACCATGCCCAGCCTATTATTTGGCAGTCTTTAAACTAATGATAATAGGGCTCTTCTGCCTTTAGAAGAATTAGAACTATGATTTAATTTGCAAATGAAAGTAGGTGTTCTCCAGAGTGGGCAACGTTTAGATTAAAATAAAGGTTTTGGTTTTAGATTTCAAGGCCAGCTTGAGATGCTGTGCTGGGTTCCCACAGAGGTGGTTCTGCCTTTCTCCAGGGGTCCTAGGCCTGTAGGGTGGTTTGGTCATGTTAGTAATCTGTGTGGATCCATCTTACCTGTGGTATCATAAATGTATACATGCGCAGTCAATGTTGTGTATGCGTGTACAGCAAATTTAGACATTTACACAGTCAGTTTATATGCTGCATAAATATATAGATGTATAGTATAACTGTATCATTGACATTGTCATTTGATGGGTCAAATGAGTCAATACCAAAATATAAAGCGTGGGTAAAGGTTAATTGTGTTAACTTTAATTTTTCCCACCATTTCTGAATTTTTGTTTACTTTTCCTTTCTAGCTTTTGTCTGGCCCTCTGAGCCCCAATGAGAGTTTCCTGAGGTACCTCACCCTTCCACAAGACAACGAGCTTGCCATTGATCTGCGACAAACGGCGGTTGTTGTCATGGCCCATTTAGACCGTCTGGCTACGCCCTGTATGCCTCCGCTGTGTAGCTCTCCGACATCTCATAAGGTGTGTGTGCAAGAACCGTGTTCTCCATGTGTTTTGTAGCTAGTACCACTTGTAGGTTCTCATCCTGGGCCCGTGTGGAGACTTGCTTTTTCTGGTATTGGTAGGGGGAGCTGGCCTGTGGTTTTTAAACGCGTTTGCAGTTGAAGGTGTTATCCGTGTTGAGAGTGAGTGATGAGCAAGCTGAGGCGCACAGGCCTGGCGACCCAACCTGGGGGCCCGGGTTCCAGGTTCAGGTGGCACAGCCCCAGAGAGCTCCCCTTTATCCACAGCCCCAGGCCCTCCCACCTTCTGCAGGGGGTTCCACAGCCTTCTTCATACTCTGAACGCGGACTGTCTTAGTATGTAATGCTGGTGATAGTAGTGACAGTATAATTATATGTTATATATTATATATTATATATCTATATTACATGTCTGTCTGTCTGTCTATCTATCTATCTATCTATCTATAAATAAATAAAAAGAGTGGGTTCTATCTATCTATCTATCTATAAATAAATAAAAAGAGTGGGTTCTCCAGCCTGGCCAACTTGGAGAAACCCTGTCTCAACTTAAAAATACAAAAATTAGCTGGGCATGGTGGCATATGCCTGTAATCCCAGCTACTTGGGAGGCTGAGGCAGGAGAATCACTTGAACCCGGGAGGCGGAGGTTGCAGTGAGCCAAGATCGCGCCATTGCACTGCAGCCTGGGCAACAAGCGTGAAACCCCATCTCAACAAACAACAACAACAAAAACAAACACAAATAGTGCTGCAAGGCCTGACCTGGAACATGTGTCCTCCATGTGTGCACGTGTGTGTGCCCGTGCACATGCACAGGTGGGGATGCACCTAGTGTGGGCTGGTTGTCACCAGATTGCTCCCGTACAAGTTGATTTCTCTCACCACCAACATGGATGCTGGTCTCCCAGCCTTGTGTGTGGGCTTTTGGGATTTTGCCTGCTAAAGCACAAAATGGTGACCCTGATATAGTTTGAGCATTTAAAAATATATTAGTATTTAAGGGCCATTTATAGTACTTTTTAATGGGCTCTGTTAAAATGAAATGCAATGGAAATGGAAAAATAACCTGTTCAGTTGCTTCATCTTACCTGTTAAATGAGGTAATACAGGCTGGTATGAGCTATTTTGATGTTTTGAATCAGCATATTTTCTCTTTATTTGCTTTGTTTTTATTTTGTAGTAGCTCAGTGTTACTCCCAGCCTTTTTTTATTGTTGTTGTTGTTAAAGGAAATGTTTACTTTCTTATCTTACAGGGATCATTGCAAGAGGTCATAGGTTGGGGGTTAATAGGATGGAAATACTATGCCAATGTGATTGGTCCAATCCAGTGCGAAGGCCTGGCCAACCTGGGAGTCACACAGATTGCCTGTGCAGAGAAGCGTTTCCTGATTCTGTCACGCAATGGCCGCGTGTACACACAGGCCTATAATAGTGACACGCTGGTGAGTGTTCTGGGCACTGTGCCTGCAGTGTTCCCTTGCGGGGCAGGGTCTGTCCTACAGATGCACAAGCTCTGGTGTTTCTTTAAGGCGTTTGATTTCTGAAGATTGACAAAGTTCTGTTTATTGTATATTATGTTTAATGATCTCAGTTGTAATATTGTCAAGATTTGGGTTGTGAAGATTAGGAAGTCCTTACAGTGAAACTCATTGCTAATCGTGAGATTCCCGTTTGTAAACTCATTTCCACGTGTAAACTCATTTGACGTTGGGGCCAGACAGGTGACAGGTGAGGGAGTTGGGCCTCGTGGGGATAGTGGCAAATTGGGACGTGGCATGTTTTCATTAAAGCGAGGTGTTCCTCCCTGTCGGCTGCGTGTCTCTGTGGCATGGGGCTAGCCTGCCCTGCCCCTGCATCGGCTCTGGTCTTGCTGCAGAGCACTTGGAGGCTGCCCGCTGTTCTGTTGCTGCTGGGTGGGAAGGGCTGGAGAGCCGGCCCCGTAGTTCCCAGAGACTTATGCCCCACTTGGAGTTACAGCAGGCTTTGCTTGGGGATACATGATAACGGAGAGCTGAGCTGGTTTCATTTTCCTTGGACTGATGACTACTTTTCTTCGTATTTTTCCTTCTTTAGGCCCCACAGCTGGTCCAAGGCCTTGCCTCCAGAAACATTGTAAAAATTGCTGCCCATTCTGATGGTCACCACTACCTAGCCTTGGCTGCTACTGGAGAGGTGTACTCCTGGGGCTGTGGGGACGGCGGACGGCTGGGCCATGGGGACACTGTGTATGTATCGCTTATTCCTGTAGGGGACACACTCTCCTTTTATGTTGCCATATCCTAAACAGGATGGAGCGCAGAAGTGTGTCCAGGTGTTTTCCAATTGCCCTGACATGTAGCGCTGGGATGGAGCAGGACACTACGATATGCCTCCTCCTTGGTGATGGCTTAGGAGCTCTGCCCATGTGTGGAGGGCAACGGGAATTGGCCTTTCTGTTCTTCTTGACCCCGTGCAGCCTTGGCCAGCCTTCTATCTACTCAAACTGCATCCCCACTGTGGAGTTTGCCAAAACAAATCCCACACCACTGTTCCTTCATTCACAAACAGTTCACCCTGTCTCTCATAGATAAGGTTGTCACCCTTTTCTTGAACCATATATTATTTTTACAGGAACAAAAGTCAGCAGTTTCTTCCTAATATTATCCTACTCAGTGGAACCTTTTATTGTGAAAGAACAAATGAAACAGAAAGTTGTTATAAATGCCAGGTTGTAAAAATTGGGAGGTCTGCCAGCCCCATGGAGTGATGGGAACCCTCTTGTACTTTGCTGTTGTGCATGGAACTTTGGCATTAGGTTTAAATGAGGGATGTATGTACACACCAACCCAGCAAGCCCATTTCTTGTGGGCTGGAGCCCTGAGCAGGGAGAGGGCAGTGCAGAGCTTGAAATGAGTGAAGTCATGACTGCACTTGTGTCCCTTGAGAGGAGCCTGGGGGGCATGGCCCATGCACACCACAGGGTGGAGTTGAGGGCATCATTGCCGACAGCATCCGCTGGGAAGATCCCAAACTGGGAGAAAAGCAGAGTAATGCGTATCGTGTGGTACATGTATGCCAAGCTCAGAACAGCCCAACCCTGACAGTGTTGTAAGGGATTCAGACAAATCTAAGACGAGTGAAAAAGAAAAGATTGATCTCCATGGAATTTATAGCTGTTACTCTCACACTGGATTGTAAAGGCTGGGATTGACATGGGGTACACGGGACTTGAAAGGCATCGAGGTACAGGACAGGGTGGTATGTCTGCTTACTTCCTTTATGGTATTTATAACTGACTTTCTATAAAATATTTCATAGTAAAACAATTCTCAGTGGAGAGTAAGTGCTGGGATGAGTAACTTACGCCTTATTCTAGGACTTCAAGGAAGGAAGAGAGATGAGTGCAGATGGCAGAAGCTGGAGATAACCTTTTGGGGAAATTGAAACTTAAGCTGAATAAGGGATAGTTTGTACTGGAGTAGAGTCATTGGGCTGTCCCTGTGAGCACCTGTGCCACTGTGTGTATTTTGCAAACTAGTAGGTCACAAAGTGAGTAAAGGAGAGGCCTGGCTTCTGTAGATTTTCAAGAAAATGTCATCCATCATAGGAACATATTCTGGATCCTAAGAATAGGGTATTTTGCTAACTTTGAAATTTCTTCAACTAGTAAGACTTCTCTACCCTAATCCCCACTGCCTCATACTTTTCATTTGTAAAGTATAGATTGCAGAGTGCTGGCTTCATTCCATCCACATTCATTTAACAAATACATATAAATGTCGGTCAGCTTTATGAGGCTTCCATACAACCAGATGACTGAGTTTCAGATGTAGAGTTGGATGGGTTTTGACAAGTGCACGCAGTTGGGTCACCACCATCAAGACATGGGGCGCTCCCATCGCTTCCAGGGCCCTCTTTGTACCCTTTGAGTTGATGCCCCCTTCCTACCTCCAGTTCCTGACAACCTCTGATCTGCCCTCTGTTGTTATTATTTTGTCTTTTCCATAATTTAATATAACAAAGCCATACAGTGTATGGTATTTTGTTTCTGGCATCTTTGACTTAGCAGATGTCTTGAGATCCAGCCATGTTGGGTTGGGTGTATGGGTAATTCATTCCTTCTGTTGCAGATGGACCATGGTTTTGGGACATTGTGAATAAAGCTGCAGTGGACTTTACAAGTCTCTTTTTTTTTGAGATGGAGTTTTGTTCTTGTTACCCAAGGTGGAGTGCAATGGGGCGATCTCACCTCACTGCAACCTCCTCCTCCCAGGTTCAAGCGATTCTCCTGCCTCAGCCTCCCAAGTAGCTGGGATTACAGACACCCTCCACTATGCCCACCTAATTTTGTATTTTTAGTAGAGACGGGATTTCACCATGTTAGCCAGGCTGGTCTCGAACTCGTGACCTCAGGTGATCTGCCCACCTCGGCCTCCCAAAGTGGTGGGATTACAGGTGTGAGCCACCGCGCCTAGCCTATTGTACAATTCTTTAACAAACACTATTTTTATATTTCTACTGGGTACCATGTTTGGCATCGGGTTCCAACTGAACAAAAAGTCATGGAGGTGTTAGGTGTTGGAATTCTCTCTTCCTTCTTTCACAAGGTACCTGGAAGGTGAAACTGGCCTGATGCTATGCTGGTCTAAATTTGGATAGTGAATTTCCTTTGTTAACATTAATAAGAAATAACACCAAGAAGAAGGGCATTCATGTTTGTTCCCTTTCTCCCCAAGGCCTTTGGAGGAGCCTAAGGTGATCTCCGCCTTCTCTGGAAAGCAGGCCGGGAAGCACGTGGTGCACATCGCTTGCGGGAGCACTTACAGTGCGGCCATCACTGCCGAGGGGGAGCTGTACACCTGGGGCCGCGGGAACTACGGCCGGCTGGGCCATGGTACGTCTGCTCTGCATGAGTGGGAGCATGCAGCAGGAGGTGGCCTCTTACAGGACTTAGTAACCGCCGTCCTATCTGTTTGAAGGCTCCAGTGAGGACGAGGCCATTCCGATGCTGGTAGCCGGGCTTAAAGGACTGAAGGTCATCGATGTGGCGTGTGGGAGTGGGGATGCTCAAACCCTGGCTGTCACTGAGAACGGTACGTAGAGCTCTCGCCACCCTGGACAGGCCCACGAGGACACGCATGGCAGCTTCCCTGGAGGAAGTGAGATGAGTACAGTGGGCCTCACGAGGCCACCCACCCTGTCGCCCAGTGGGTGTGGGGCTCAGTGGCATTGGGGAAGAGGCCCGGGTGGTTACTGGGCTTGTTTGCCTGAGGCCTCTCAGCTGGTTAGCAGCTGCCGCCGTTCCTGTGTGGGCATTTTATTTTTTAAGAATGAGAGTTGAAATGGGATGATTGACACTCTGAATTGTCTCTGGTTAGTATTATTACATTTCTTAACGTTCGGCCACTCTTGATTCCCTGTGGTAATTCCTGCTAAGTCTTTCTGTGTTCTGTAGTCTGATGCTACGGTATCTGCTTGCTTTGAATTTTGGTTTTATGTTTGTGTTCCTAAGTGAGATCATCCTTTTTTCAAGGGTACCTGATGAGGTTTGATGGTTAAAGTCATGTTAATATTTTAGAAATGACTCGTCTTTCAGTATTGTGGTGGTCTGTCCTTGGCATCTTGTGTGTCTCTGGCGTTGTGGAGTCTTTCCGTTATAATCAGCAGGGGTACCTGTCAGCTTGCTTTCTCTCCTGCAGAAGTTGAATGGCAGATTGGTAATTGAGTGACTTTTGGGCATTTCTTAGGTGAAAGATGAAAAATCATTTTAGATACTTCCCTGTATGTCGGTCCTGCTGCCATTGACGGGACAGACCTTGTCAGAGCCGTGTTGTTTCTGCTTTTGTGAGTCCTAGAGCAAAGATGGCCTCATCTGAAAGGCTCCTGCTGTCAAGGAGCTTTCAGTTTGACATCTCGTCATTTTAAAATATCTATTATTGAGTGAGTTGCAGACCTTAAAATATTTCCCGGTTAAAAGTTTTGTAAGGTCTAAGCTGTGTTAGGAGATTAGCCTTGCATTCTTTATGTGTAGTTGCTACTTTAGTTAAAGTTTGCGATGATATGTTGAGTAAACTGCCTTGAGTAGGGCTGCAGACATTGTCTTCCTCACACTGGTGTTTCTTTGGTGCAGATCTTGTAGGGAAGTGTCCCTGCTGTGCTGCTATATATTTTCTGAGGCGACTGTTACAGTAGAAGTATCCTACCCTGCAGTCTGGCCTTGGGGGACAGTGGGAAATAGCCAGGTGGGCTATGTGAACAGCATAATTTTCAGCACAGCATATGGAAATGCATGCTCCGATCTCTGTGTTCAGGTCTGCTGTGCCGCTTTCATTGACCATGTAATAGTGCGTCATCTCCAGTTTCCATTTTGCTTGGGGTTGGCCTGTTTTTGCAGGTAGAGTTGTATTGGCATGCAGGCATGCCACTCATTTACGTACTGTCTGTGGCTGCTTTCCTGTGACAGTGGCACAGCTGGGTAGTTGGGACAGAAAGCCCACAGAGGCTAAAAATATTTACCATCTGATCGTTGAGGAAAATATTTGCCTATCTTTAGTTATTATAAAATAGAGTGTGGGAACTTGTGGAGCAATCTGATATCTTCTCTGGTTTCTTTTTCCTGATCTTTTACAGTTTTCACCTTTACGTAATTTCACTTTTTTTTGTTTTTGTTTGTTTTTTTTTTTTTTTTTTGTAAGACAAAGTTTTGCTCTGTCACCCAGGCTGGTGTGCAGTGGTGCAATCTCGGCTCGCCGCAAACTCCACCTCCCGGGGTCAAGCAATTCTCATGCCTCAGCTGGATTATAGATATTCACCACCATGCCTGGCTAATTTCTGTATTTTTAGTACAGACAGGGTTTTGCCATGTTGCCCAGGCTGGTCTCGAACTCCTGGGCTCAAGTGATCCGCCCGCCTTGGCCTCCCAAAGTTCTGGGATTACAGGTGTGAGCTACCATGCCCAGCCTAACAATTCTGTTTTTTAGCAATTCACTTTAAGTTTTTGCAAAGTTTTCAGCTTAGTTTTCACCATAAAAATAAAAATATTTACTTTTGCAATTGCATTTTATCCCTTTATGTAATATTTAATCAACTTACATAATTATGCTGATATGCAGTTGGGAACACATACAGTGGTACAGTTGACCACCGGTCAGCATGGTGGCAACAGAAGCAGGCAGGCAAACGGGAGGGTGGTCCGCAAGCATCTGCAATGTGCCAGGCCCCAGTTACTGTGTGTTATGGAGGCAGTGGGCCTTTGGTTCTGTGAAGCAGTTAACATTGAGCCCAGGCTAGTAAGAGTCAGGACTTTGTTTTTCATGGAATGAAAACAAAAAGAAAACTCAGCTTTCCCTTTCTTTATTGCTTCTATGTCAACCTCAAGTGTCACCTAGATTTCGTTTGCTCAGTAGCCACCCTTGTAGTGTTAACTATGTACCTGAGTGGTCTAGATTAGTGTGCGTTTTTCATTATATTATTTGCAGTCATTTAAAATTTTTCGTTAAAATGCAGAGTTGTTGTTATTTAAATGCATTTGTATTTTTTAGGGCAAGTGTGGTCTTGGGGAGATGGTGACTATGGGAAATTGGGCAGAGGTGGTAGTGATGGCTGCAAAACCCCAAAGCTGATTGAAAAGCTTCAAGACTTGGATGTGGTCAAAGTCCGCTGTGGAAGTCAGTTTTCCATTGCTTTGACGAAAGATGGCCAAGTTTATTCATGGGGAAAAGGTGACAACCAGAGACTTGGACATGGAACAGAGGAACATGTTCGTTATCCAAAACTCTTAGAAGGCTTGCAAGGTGAGTGCAAATGTAAACTTTTAAAACCCTTCAGGACAGTTTCTTTAGTAATGTTTTAAAGTTAGCAGGTTTTATGTTCTTAACCTGACATTCCATGAGTTAGCAGGTTTTATGTTCTTAACCTGACATTCCATGAATGGACTGTCATTAGAAACTTTTACTGCCTGCTTGGTATAGGTATTGATACTAATTGGAAAGTGGGTGTCTATTACAAAATGACTGAAATGTAATTTAAACCTGTTGAGTTGACTTTCTGTGGCAGGCACCCATTAATCACTCAGCAGGCTGGACTCAGTAAGGGTTCCCTCTGTGTGGTGAGGTCACCTGTACTTGTACTGCAGGCACACTGAGACCATGAGTGTGCATTGTGCTGTGGAGCCACATTGGGAGGTGGGATTGGGTCCACTTGGGACACCCTCATGTGAACTCATCCTTGGTGGGTGATTCCTGCTTGCTCAGTTGCAAAGGTGTCCAGCATGCATTGTAGTTGGAGGCAAGAGATGGAAGCCAAGGTATGTAGATAAGAGTGCCGGCGCCTTCAGTGTGGGCTGCCGGTGCAGGCAGAGAGGATGGGAGTCTCTGCAAGAAGACCCTGAGATTCTTCTGTGGTGTTCTTACTAGGGATGTTATGCTGCAGGAAGTTGGGGTGGGGGCCATCAAAACTATGATGTTGGAGGGATCTTTCTAAGGTAAAACAGGACTTTTCCGTACCACCTGGCCTAGTGGTTGGGAGATAGTCTTCATCCTAATCGAGAACTGTTGAAGGGCAGACAAATTGACAAGAAAGTAGGAAGAAGGGAAAAGGCAGTGTGAGAGGTACATCAGATGGACTCTTTAGGGTTCTCTTCTCTCAGGGGTGGGCAGCCTTTTTCTTAAAGGACCAGATTGTATTTGAAGTAGGTGGACCTGGCAGTGTTCCAACACCAGTGTCTTCACAGAAGCAGGCCTTGGGCTGCGTTGTGTGTGGGGGCTGTAGTTCGTTGGGTCCTGGTACTACATACATTCTTTGTGTGTTTGGTTCTTTACCAAGTGGGTTTGGAAGTGGGACTTTTAAGTGAGACTTGCCAGTTCCCTTCTCCATTAGTTTTATTTTAAAGCAGGTTAATATTTTGATGACTGAGAGTTTTGTGCGCCCATATGGTGTTTATTGTTTTCTAAGCTTCTGAGATAAGTTGCAGAGTAAGAAGTTTACTCTGTGTCATTGAATGGTATTTGAATTTCATTTGCCTTCTTGTTTATATTCCCCTCCATTAGTATAGGAAAGCTACGACAATCATTAGTATAGAAATCATTTACTTTGAGGGTATTTAAATTACTGTTGAGAAACACCTTTTTTGTTGCTGATGTTAACTTATGGTAAGTTCCTAGGATAGAATTTTTCCCCTTACTGCAGTGTGGTTTTTCAGCTGAATTATTTTATATACTGACATTTCTGCGAAACACCCTTTGTGTTGGCCATGTTAGATTTACCAGGAAGGAAAAATAGAATATTTTGCTAAGTGTTTAAATAGAAACAATGTTTTAAATATCAGTTATATCTAACTGAGAGAACAATAGATTTCTTCTTAGGAAACCTTCCTCACTGAAGAGTGTGCTATGCATTGTTAAATCTCGGATGGGAGAATATGATCTAATAGTTAATTAAAAGCACCTTGTTTCTTTCTGACTGAAAATCTGAATGAGGAGGAGAAAAAAAAACAGATCCTTTTTGTATCCTAGTATTATGATCTTTGTAGACTGTGGGTCCTAACGAATTGTAGCTGACAAAATACAGCAGTTTTAATAACACACCCAAAGCAAATGAATTGTGCTTAATATTAAAGCAAAGCAGATTATCCTCAAGAAGTTAATGTTAAAAGCTGTCTGACCTGAATGGCCTAGGAAATATCTTTCTTGCAGCGGAAGTCATAGGCTTGAAGCTGCATCTGCATCCCTCTTCCCTTGTAGGGAAGAAGGTGATTGATGTGGCTGCAGGCTCCACCCACTGCCTGGCTCTGACTGAGGACAGCGAGGTCCACAGCTGGGGGAGCAACGACCAGTGCCAGCACTTTGACACCTTGCGCGTGACCAAGCCAGAACCTGCAGCATTGCCAGGACTGGACACCAAACACATAGTGGGAATTGCCTGTGGGCCTGCCCAGGTACTGAATATAGAGCTTGATTTGGTATTTTGGAGGATTTTGGTTTCCAGTTGTTCATTACCAGTATGTAGAAAATACCACTGAGTTTTGTTTGTTGTTCTTGTGTCCTGCAGTTGTGCTAAACTCATTTATTATGAGCTTCACTGTAGTTTCCTTGGGTTTTCTTCATGGACAATTAAATGCTATCTGTATAGAGGGGCAGTTTCATTTCTTCCTTTCCAGTCTGCTCGCCTTTTATGTCTTTTCCCGGCCTGATTGCCCTGGCCAGGACTTGCAGTGTGAAGCTGAATAGGAGAGGTGACAGTGGGCACCCTGCCTTGATCCTGACTGTAGGGGAAGGCAGTTCAGTCTTTCACCATCAACTGTGATGTTAGCTGTGGGTATTTATGTAGATGCCTTATTATCAGATTAAGGGAGTGTCTTTAATTCCCCGTTTTAGAAGCTTCTAAAAAATCCTGACTGGATGTTAAAATTTGTTAAATGCTTTTAATCTTCTCAAATGAAATGGTCATGCAGTTTTCCTTCTTTAGTGTGTTAGTATGGTGTATTACATGATGCTTTTTACTTTTCTTTTTCTTAAACATTTTTTTTTTTTCTTTTTTGGAGATACGGTTTCACTATGTTGCCCAGGCTGGTCTCGAACTCCTGAGCTCTAGCGATCTGCCTGCCTTGGCCTCCCAAAGTGCTGGGATTACAGGTGTGAGGCACTGCACCAGCCTGATTTTTAAATACTGATCAAGCCTTGTGTTACTTGGATAGGCATCACTTGGCCACAATTTACTACTCTTTTTTTTTTTTTTTTTTTTTGCCAGATGGAGTCTCACTCTGTCACCCAGACTGGAGTGCATTGGTGCAATCTCAGCTCTCTGCAACCTGTGCCTCCTGGGTTCACGCAATTCTCCTGCGTCAGCCTCCTGAGTAGCTGGGATTATAGGTGTGCACTACCATGCCTGGCTAATTTTTGTATTTTTTTTTTTTCTTTTTAGTGGAGATGGGGTTTCACCATGTTGGCCAGCCTGGTCTCCAACTCCTGACCTCAAGTGATCCATCCTCCTTGGCATCCCAAAGTGCTGGGATTACAGGTGTGAGCCACTGTGCCTGGCCCTATTCTGTTTCTGTATTGCAAAATTTGACTTGCTAACAGGTTGTTGAGGATTTTTCTGTTGATGCTCATTAGAGATGTTGGTTTGTGGTTTTCTTTCTTTGTGTTATACTATCTTGTCTGACTTTCTATCAGGGGAAAGCTGACCTTATACAAAATATTGGCATGTGTTCCGTCCTTTTTCATTTTCTATAAGGGATTGTGTAGAATTAGTGTTATTTCTTCTTTAAATGTTTTTGAATCCCATCTGAGTCTGGAGATTGCTTTCTAAAAGATTTTACGCCAGACACAGTGGCTCACGCCTGTAATCCCAGCACGTTGGGAGGCCGAGATGGGTGGATCACCTGAGGTCAGGAGTTTGAGACCAGCCTGGCTAACATGGTGAAACCTGTTTCTACTAAAAATACAAAAATTTCGTCGAGCTTGGTGATGTGCGCCTGTAATCCCAGCTACTCAGGAGGCTAAGGCAGGAGAATCGCTTGAATCTGGGAGGCAGAAATTGCAGTGAGCCGGGATGGCGCCATTGCACTCCAGCTTGGGCAACAAGAGCGAAACTCCGTCTCAAAAAAACAAAAACAAACAAAAAAAAGATTTTGCAACTTCAATTTCTTTAACAGATATAGAAGTATTCAGGTGACCTGTTTGTTTCTAGGAGGATTTTCCTGATTTTTGGCCCTCAGATGTGCTTTACTTCATCTACGTTGTCTGATTTTTACGTGTCAAGTTTTCCTTAGTATTCTCTTGCTGTCTGAAGTCTGTGGGGCCTGCGGTGATGTCCCTTCATTCATTCTTGATTCTGATAATTTGTATCTTTTCTGTTTTTTTCTTTGTCAGTTTTCCTAGAGTTTTTCAATTTTGTTGATCTTTTCAAAGAACAATCTTTTCGTTTCATTAATTTTTCCCTTTTGTTTTGCTTTCAATCTCATTGATTTCTGCTTTTGTCTTGTCATTTGTCCCTTTGGCTTGTTTTGCGTTCACTTTGTTCTTTTTCTAGTTTCTTAAGGCGGAAACTTAGATTGCTGATTTAGACCTATCTTTTTTTTGTAATAGATAATGATTTGATGCTATAAATTTTCCTGTTTAGCAGTGCTTTAATTAAACCTACAAATTTTGGCGCATTTTCATGTATGTTCAAAATATTTTATAATTTCTCTTGAGAATTGTTTTTTTGACCCATGGATGATTATTATTATTATTATTTTGAGATGGAGTTTTGGTCTTATTGCCCAGGCCGGAGTGCAATGACATGATCTCAGCTCACGGCAACCTCTGTCTCCCGGGTTCAAGCAATTCTCCTGCCTCAGCTTCCTGATTAGCTGGGACTACCGGCATGCACCAGCATGCTTGGCTAATTTTTTTGTATTTTCAGTAGAGATGGGGTTTCTCCATGTTGGCCAGGTTGTCTTGAAATCCTGACCTCAGGTGATCCCCGCCGCCTTGGCCTCCCAAAGTGTTTGGATTACAGGCGTGAGCCACTGCGCCCGGCCTGACCCATGGATTATTAAGTATGTTGTTTAATTTTGAAGTGTTTGTAGATTGTTCTGTTCATGATTTCTAGTTTAATACCATTGTGATTGGAGAACAAACTGTATATGATTTCATTTCTTTTAAATTTGTTAAGATTTGTTTTATGTCTCAGGATATGTTCTCTCTTAGTGAACATTCTGTATGTGCTTAAAAAGTATATGTATGGCCAGGTGCGGTGGCTCACGCTTGTAATTCCAGCACTTTGGGAGGCTGAGGCGGGCAGATCATGAGGTCAGGTGATGGAGACCATCCTGACTAACACCATGAAACCCTGTCTCTACTGAAAATACAAAAAAAAAATTAGCCAGGCTTGGTGGCGGGCACCTGTAGTCCCAGCTACTTGGGAGGCTGAGGCTCCAGTCTGGGTGACAGAGTGAGACTCTGTCTCAAAAAAAAAAAAAAGTATATGTATTTTGTTGTTGTTGGGTGAAATGTTCTATAAATTAGATCCAGTTTATTCATAGTGTTCCACCGTTCTCTTAGATCCTTGCCGATTACTTGTTATTTCACTGTGAAAGGTTGTGTGTGTGTCATATGCATCTAACAATTCGTTGTCTAGTTAGAGTTGCTATTATACCACTTCAAGTGGATGGAGATCCTCACTGCCATCCATTAATGTCATTAATCGTTTTGAGAGTGAAAAGATTGTTAAAAATGCTTTTACTTTTTTAGGTATGGCCAAATGAGATGGGCTAGTGAAATGGGTGGGAAAATCGGAAGCTGATAGTGTGTGAGCTAGACATCCATGAATGCCTTTGGACTGGGCAGTTCGAGGGATGATAGGTAATAGTATAAGGCAGCTCCATCACACACGCTGGTGACTCCTGTGGAGCAGACCAGCAGCTGCATTTGGAGATTCATTTTAGATTGTTGCGTTTCCTCTTAGAGCTTTGCTTGGTCATCATGTTCTGAGTGGTCCATTGGCCTCCGTGTCCCTTTTGTGGTGGACATCTGCTCAATGACTTTTGAGCAGCTGGATCTCCTGCTTCGGCAGGTGAGTGAGGGGATGGATGGTTCCGCGGACTGGCCCCCGCCCCAGGAGAAAGAGTGTGTGGCCGTGGCAACGCTGAATCTTCTACGACTTCAGGTATTCATGATTTCCCTTCTTCTTCCTCCTTTTGTAAGTGTCTTAGGGATTTGTAAGAAGGTTTATGTATTTTGAAGGGCATGGGTTTTAGCCTGTTCGGTGAAATATTTTAAAGTAAGATTGTAATGCACTAATAATGGACGCGAGTCTTAAAAAACATGATCTGGGCTGGGCGCGGTGGCTCACGCCTGTAATCCCAGCACTTTTGGGAGGCCTGGGCGGGTGGATCACGAGGTCAGGAGATCGAGACCATCCCGGCTAACATGGTGAAACCCCGTCTCTACTAAAAATACAAAAAATTAGCCAGTTGTGGTGGCGGGCGCCTGTAGTTCCAGCTACTCGGGAGGCTGAGTCAGGAAAATGGCATGAACTGGGGAGGCAGAGCTTGCAGTGAGCCGAGATTGCACCTGTGGCAGCTTTTTTGGTTGAGTTGTAGCTGTTATTTCTGTGTTTGGTGCAGATTGTTGGCGCGGGGTGGAGGTTGCTGTTGCTAGTTGTTTAGCTCTTCTGCTGATCTTGAGCTTTCCATAAACATGTTCATAGTGGGGTTAAAAAGATTCCTCTAGCAAATACCTCAACTATTGTGGGTAAGAGTTTTTTTAGTCCAGTTTTTAAAAATACATAAACTGAGAAATTGTCTATTTAAATAATACTTGAAATTGACTTTTATTCAGTGTTTAATAAGACTTTGAAATTCACTCATTTTTAGGGGTTCTAAGTGAAAATTGTTTTTCTCCTTTCAGTTGCATGCTGCCATTAGTCACCAGGTTGACCCGGAATTCCTTGGTTTAGGTCTGGGCAGCATCCTCCTGAACAGCCTGAAGCAGACGGTGGTGACCCTGGCCAGCAGTGCGGGCGTGCTGAGCACCGTGCAGTCGGCCGCCCAGGCCGTGCTGCAGAGTGGCTGGTCCGTGCTGCTGCCCACCGCGGAGGAGCGGGCCCGGGCACTCTCTGCTCTCCTGCCCTGCGCAGGTGGGCCTGGGGAAGGAACAGGAGAGGGCATGGGTCAGGGTGTTGGGAGGGAATGGCGTTTCACTCAAATTGGCACACACTTTCTATTTCAGTTTCAGGCAATGAAGTGAACATAAGTCCAGGTCGTCGATTCATGATTGATCT
Source organism: Homo sapiens (assembly GCF_000001405.40). Classification (NCBI taxonomy): domain Eukaryota; kingdom Metazoa; phylum Chordata; class Mammalia; order Primates; family Hominidae; genus Homo; species Homo sapiens. The sequence goes on along the minus strand of NC_000015.10, from coordinate 28,255,944 downwards.
TCTGGTGGGCAGCTTGATGGCTGATGGAGGGTTGGAGTCAGCCTTACACGCAGCCATTACTGCAGAGATCCAGGTATGGCTTTGGAGGCACACGTGACCTGGTGGTGCACTGAGATCAGAAATACCACACTCACACACGTGAAGAATAACTGAAAACAGTAAAACTCTAAACTTTTATCATATCCAAGTATTTTTTAAATTAAAATTCTTTTATGTGCCAATTTACAAAATTATTGAGATATGATTTAATTGTGATAAAATACTGCATGTTGTCTGTTTCAGTGAAGTTAACAGGTAACCTGTTCCTCATGTAGACCATTCCCGTTACCCGGAAAGATCCCTGTGCCCTTGGCACTTGCAGCCAGGATACTCCCCTGCCCTGAGATTAGATTCATTTTTCCTGCTCTGAGTGTCGCAGCAATATAACTATATAGTATGCACTCTTTCTTGCTTTGCCTTGGAGAATGATTTTCAGATTCACTCACTGTTGTGTGTATTGTGACTTCTTTTTTATTATTGGGAAGTATTCCATTTTATAGGTGTAGTACTGTTTGTTCATTCTCCTATTGAAGGACGTTTAATTGCTTTTGGTTTTTGTTTTCTTTTTTTTTGAGACAGCGTCTTGCTCTGTCACCGAGGCTGGATGCAGTGACCTGATGTTGGCTCACTGCAGCCTTGTCCTCCTAGGCTCAAATGATCCTGCCACCTCAGCCTCCTGTTTTGCAGGGACCACAGACATGTCACCATGCCCGGCTAGTTTTGTGATTTTTTTGTAGAGACAAGGTGTTACTATGTTGCACAGGCTGGTCTCGAACTCCTGGGCTCCAGTGATCCCCCCACCTTGTCCTCCCAAAGTGTTGGGATTACAAGCATGAGCGACCACGCCCAGGCTTTCTGGTTTTTGGCCATGTAGAGCTGCCACGGTTGTGCTGTGTACAAGTACTTTAGTGAACATATGTTCTCCTTTTGGGTAAACACTTGGAGTGGAATTTGTTAGGTCCTGGGGCAGGTGCGTGTTCATAGTTTCCCCAAGTGGCTTTGCCATTTACATTTGAACAAGTATGTGAGAATTCCAGCTTCTTCTTGTCCTTACAAAGCAGCTGGATGTTGCATGTGTGGGGCACATCACATTGGGTTTTGTGAGAGCCAGTAGCAGGGTTAAGGATTTTAGGGACTTCACAGAAGGATGCTGGAGAGCATCAGCAGAGGCAGCCTGGACCTTGATTCTGTAAAAAGAAGACACTGTTTGAAACTGCACAACTGAGTTAGGGTTTCCAACAAGGCAGATGGGGGCCTGTGGGTAGGTGTGTGCATTAGCCACAGAGGCTGGGATAGCTTGGCACTGGGGTTAGGGCTCAGCCAGCCTGTGTGTCTTCACACCTGGTAATGAGATCACTTGTAAACAATTTCTTTTTATGAATTACAGGATATTGAAGCCAAAAAAGAAGCACAGAAGGAAAAAGAAATTGATGAACAGGAAGCGAATGCCTCAACATTTCATAGAAGCAGGACTCCACTGGATAAAGACCTTATTAATACGGGGATCTGTGAGTCTTCTGGCAAACAGTGTTTGCCTCTGGTTCAGCTCATACAACAGCTTCTTAGGTAAATCGTAGTAGCTGTATTGTATTATATGTTATTTATTTACTTTTTTTTGTGTGTGTGACAGAGTTCGCTCTTGTTGCCCAGGCCGGAGTGCTATGGCGCCATCTTGGCTCACTGCAAGCTCCGCCTCCCAGGTTCAAGTGATTCTCTTGCCTCAGCCTCTCACACAGCTGGGATTACAGGTGTGTGCCACCACACCCGACTAATCTTGTAGTTTTAGTAGAGACGGGGTTTCTTCATGGTGGTCAGGCTTGTCTTGAACTCCTGACCTCAGGTGATCCGCCCGCCTTGGCCTCCCAAAGTGTTGGGATTACAGGCATCACCCACCACTCCCGGTCTATTTATGTACTTATTATTTTTTTTTAATATTTATTTTTTAAGACGGAATCTCGCTCTATTGCCCAGGCTGGAGTGCAGTGTCATGATCTTGGCTCACTGCAACCTCTGCCTCCTGGGTTCTAGCAATTCTCCTGCCTCAGCCTCCCAAGTAGCTGGGACTACAGGCGTCCGCAACCACACCTGGCTGATTTTTGTATTTTTAGTAGAGACGGGGTTTCAAAATATTGGTCAGGCTGGTCTCAAACTCCTGACCTCAGGTGATCTACCCGCCTTGGCCTCTGAAAGTGTTGGGATTTCAGGCGTAAGCCACTGTTCCCGGCCTGTATTGTATTTTAGTAGGTGATTATTGGTTTTCATATTAAGATAGTGAAATCTAGCACAAGGATCTCAAAAATTTGTTTGGTGGTTGAAGGAATATTCTGAAAATTACCTAGTATAGATGTTAGAATAAAGAGCAGACCCTTTTCAATATAGGTGAGAGGAGAAGTTGGAGGGTGTGATGATACTCAGAAGTTTTTCACTGAAGAGAAATTGCGGTGTGCAGTAAACATGTAAAAAGATTCTTACTAATAAGCAGGTGGATGCAAATGAAAATCATCATGGAAAGGTTATTTTTAAAACTGGTTCTATCATTGCCTCACTTTACATATTACAGAGTTGTACATACTACTTTGTAAGGTAACTTTTCTTTTCAAAACTAAAGTCAATGTGAAAGAATGGTGAGCATTATTTTGGAAGGCCAGACTAGGAGGAGGTGGGAAGAAGAAGTCAGAGTCAGCCTGTGAACAGAGGCTAACCTTGGCAGAAGCCAAAACGGTCAGTGTTGTGTAAAAATGATCACCCAAGAAGAGCGAAAAAGCAAGGTGATTTGTGAAAGAGATTAGAAAGTGAAACACATTTGTACCTCTATGTAATAAAAATCTGCTTTTTGTAAACTTGGGCTCCTGGTTTTAGTTTCTACACATAGAGAAAGCAAAGCACTGGCAGGTTGGGTCAGGCAGCCGAGCACAGAGCAGGGAGCCCTGGGCAGTGGCCACAGCTCTCAGCTGGCCTATTCATGGGACCATGGTGGGTCTGTGGTGTGGGTTGGGCCTGTGGCGTGGGGTGGGCCTGCTGTCCACAACCAGAAAAACGAACTTAGTAGACGCACAGTGAAATTTTGAAACAGGAAGTTTTAGAGCTAGTTTCTATCATAGATTTTAGTAAATTCTATTTTGCAAAACCTTTTTCTGATGTTTGTTTTGTTTTTCTAATCTGATAATGCATATTTCATACATTCTGGTCTTTAACCAATGGAAATAAAGAGAACTAAACTTCATATAGTTTGTGTTAATGGAAAGAGCTTGGAATTTGTTCTCATAAAATTTCAGTTGCAACAGCTTGTTCACATAGATGAACTTCCAACACAGTAACTATAGGAATAAGAATAAAAGCCGTGTTTACTTTCATGGAGTTAATTAAGAATCAATGAGAACATGGAAGTTAAAACCTTTGTAATTAAAATGTAAAGTTCCACGCAAAGTTTTAAAGTGAGCATTTTCCAGAGGTGCTTTTCTAAGTTCTTGAATGCCCCTCCCTTTTCTGAGGAGGCTGCTTCATGGGCTATTGGTGTCTTTGGCAGGGGGTGAGTCTAGGGTTCCTGTTGTGGGTCCTTTGTTCTCACGAGGGCAGTGCCCGTTTTCCCCGTCTCCTGCTTGCCCAGAATGTTCCCGTGCACCGAGACTGGCCTGTTTGACCTGCAACTATGCTGTTTGAGCTGCAGCTGTGTAGCCTGCGCTGGCCCGTCTGGCTACACTCAACACCGTTTGCTGATCAGCACTTGAAGTGTATCCATCATAGCTGAGACACTGAATATTTTATCTGTTTAATTTTTATTAATTAAAATGCAGGTTTAAAAACTTGATTCCGTTATTAGGAAGCACTTAAGTATGTTTAGAATCACTTGGCCATGTGAGTCTACTTCGTCAACTGTGTATTTTATGAGTCTAGGGCAGATCAGATATTTTCAATGCAAATATCACTGTCCAAATTGAAATGTGCTACATATGTAAGCTACCCTGATGGTTTTTGAGGATTTAATATGAAATAACCTATGTAAAATATCTCAATAATTTTTCTTATAGTGATATCATGTTGAAATGGTAATATTTTCAATCTGTTGGGATAAGTATGACACATTATTAAAATTATTTTTATTTTTTGAGATGGAGTCTTGCTCTGTTGCCCAGGCTGGAGTGCGGTTGCATAATCTTGGCTCACTGTAACCTCTGCCTCTTGGCTTCAAGTGATTCTCCTGCCTCAGCCTCCCGAGCAGCTGGGACCACAGGCGTACACCACCACGCCTTGCTGATTTTTGTATTTTTGTAGAGACAGGGTTTCACCATGTTGGCCAGGCTGGTCTCGAACTCCTGACCTCAAGTAATCTGCCCGCCTTGGCCTCCCAAAGTGCTGGGATTGCAGGCGTGAGCCACCGCGCCTGGCCATTATTAAAATTAGTTTTATGTGTTTTTTTGTTTTTTTTTTTTACTTAATGTGACTAAGGACAATTTTTTTCCCCCGAGATGGAGCCTCACTCTGTTGCCCAGACTGGAGTGCAGTGGCACGATCTCAGCTCACTGCAGCCTCTGCCTCCTGGGTTCAAATGATTCTCCTGCCTCAGCCTCCTGAGTGGCTGGGACTACAGGTGCATGCCACCATACCTGACTAATTTTTGTATTTTTAGTAGAGATGGGGTTTCCCCATGTTGGCTGGGGTGGTCTTGAACTCCCAACCTGAGGTAATCTGCCCGCCTTGGCCTCCAAAAGTGTTGGGATTACAGGTGTGAGCCACTGCACCTGGCCACATTTATTAATACAACCAAGAACATTTTGAATTGCACCTGTAGCTCCATTGGTGTCCTCGGCAGGTGGCTCTGTGCTGTCCACACAGGTTGTCTCCTGTGTCTTCATCCTTGCTGCATGTGACTTTTTGGTTCCTGTGGCACGTGGGGTCCTGTATGGGACATTGGTTCTACAGCAGATTTGTAATAAGGATGTACGTACTTAAAAAATACAAAATAAAAAGAATAGACACAAACATAGTTATCACCTCACAAAAATTTTGGAAAGTAGAAAAAGAAAAATGCATTCGCAGCTTTCCAGTAGCCGATATCCAGGCTGTCTTCATAAGCATGGATCATGTGTCCCTCTCCTGCATGGGTAGACACTGTTTTCTCACCTTAAGTGTTTGTGAGTGAAGGATTCTTGATGTGTTGACTTGGCAGATGCAGTTGTTGAACAGTAGTTTATCTAAAGATCGTAAGAGACTTTTGGAGACATTTCATGTCCTTTTTTCCCTTGGAAAACGTGAGTTGGAGAAATCGCTGCTTGCCAAAAATAAGCCGTGAAACGTATTTCAGAGTAGATCGTTATTTACATGCTGGCGAGGAGCCACAGAATACCATTTACATTTGAAAATAGAGCGCTGTGAAGTTTTTATAAGTAGTGAACCCCATCAGAATTACACGTTTTGATTATGGCTCTAAATTTTATATTAAATAAACTAAAAATTTCATTGTATTGTATTACCGTCTCTTGCTCCTTCAGGTGTAGCATACATGTTAGATTCTAGACCTGTTTCTTGTGTTACAGTGGTGTTATCCAGGCAGGGTATCAGGTAGTGAAGGTGATGTCTGGTGGTGGTGAGCCCAGTGAGGGCGCATCCTTGCCGTGTGTGATGAGGGCCTGTGGGTTGCTATGGGATTCCCCAACCCTGGCTCCTCTGTCTCCTGCTTCTGTCCTTACTCATGCTGCTGGTAGTTTTTTCTGGTGTGAGCCACGGGGGCAAGTGGGATTGACAAGCCTGCTGTCACATTAGGAACCTGAGTTAAAGTGGAGCTGAAAGCATGTCCTCACTCTTGGTGTTGTGCAGAGAGCCACCTGTGCTCCTGGCTCAACGGGGCGGGTGGGGTGGGTCTGGAACCAGGCTCTGGTTGGGCTCTCCTCCCCTCCGTGTTCCCATGTCCTGTCTGATTTGCTTTCACATTGACATAAGAGTTAGTTTCCTTAGGCCGGGCGTGGTGGCTCACGCCTGTAATCCCAGCACTTTGGGAGGCTGAGGCGGGTGAATCACGAGGTCGGGAAATCGAGACCATCCTGGGTTTACATAGTGAAAGCCCGTCTCCACTTAAAAAAAAAAAAAAAAAAAGTTAGCTTGGCGTGGTGGCGTGTGCCTGTAATTCCCAGCTACTCGGGAGGCTGAGGCAGGAGAATCGCTTTAACCCGGGAGGCGGAGGTTGCAGTGAGCTGAGATCATGTCACTGCACTCCAGCCTGGCAACAAAGCTAGACTCTGTCTCAAAAAAAAGAGTTACTTTCCTTAAACACACAGAAGGTGTTATTTTCCTATCATAACCTTGGTGGGTTGGCATTGCAGACTCTGGTCCCACAGCCTGACATTCCATTACCTGCACTGTCTCTCCCTTGCTTCCTTGTGTTGTTCTCCTGCCCTTGTTTCTTGGTGTTCTGCTGAGGAACCAGAAACATTCACTGCTCTCCTAACTTTACCTTCTGGGAACATATGTTTCTTCTCTTTTCTTGTCATCTTCCAATGGCTCATGGCTCAAGTCACATCACAGTGTTGGAACTGGAGCCTCTTCTACTTTCTTCGCTGCCGTGCTCTTTGGGCACCTGCTTTGGTCTTCCTTCCTGGACTCCCTGAGCCCTCGGCACCTGCTGCATGGCCCACCCCAGTGCTGCTTGCGAGTAAGGGCTCAAGGTGGACTTGCAAGGCAGATGTGGCAATGCAGGCGAGTCTTGTCTTGAAGAGTAGTATCACATTGCTGTTTGAAATGCAGCTTTGGACAAAAAATAATGACACTGTGTTTGTTCTTTCTAGAGGGTCAGATATTTCTATATTAGCCTCATCAGTATTTTAAATTTCGTTGTCTTAATGTTTACATTCCTTAAACATTGGGAATGTGGAAGTATTCCTTTGGAAGCAAGATCTTCTGCAGTTTGGACCACTGCGCGCAGCTCCATAGGCGCACATTAGTGAAGCACGAGGGCATCATTATCTCTTTTGAGCCTTCCGTGCCCTTCTGCTCCGTTTTGGCTGAGGTTGCGCTTGTTGCAGATACATTGGACACACTTGGGGAGGGAAGCCAGCTGCAGGTCATCATGTATGATCTGTGTTTGTGATATTAATTTGTCATGATTTACCCCATCCCATTTTCTTTTTAGTAGAAATATCTTGTTTAATTTTGTAATCCTCTTCTTTCCTGTATAGAAACATTGCTTCTCAGACTGTAGCCAGATTGAAAGATGTTGCCCGTCGGATTTCATCATGTCTGGACTTTGAGCAACACAGTCGTGAAAGATCTGCTTCATTGGATTTGTTACTGCGTTTTCAACGTTTGCTTATTAGTAAACTTTATCCAGGAGAAAGTATTGGTCAGACCTCAGATATTTCTAGTAAGTTGCTTAAAATGTGAAAGTGTCTTGTATGTGATCGGGGCTCGTTACTTTAGGCTTTTCGACGTGTCCATCCTATATGCCCAGATGTGTAGTTGTTATACTACTAAATGCACCAATTTTGGGGCTTCATTTTGCATCCACTTTTTTGAGTTGGACCTTTCTATAATAGCCTCGTTAATATTTTTAATTTTGTTGCCTTAATATTTAAATTCTTTAGACATCAGTAATAGCATCCTGTATGTTCAGTTTAGTCTTACAGAAGATTTATCAGATTTGTTCCATGTGCTATGGAATGCTGGAGACTGGCATGATGTAGGAAGTAAACAGTGACAGCCTATTCATATGTCACATGGGGGAGCCAGCTGGGTGGAATGGGAAGAACTGTTGGAGAAAGCCTGGGTTTCAGTTACAGCTCGGCTTAATAGTTTAGACATTAGACCAAGTCTAATGGGGCCAAAGACTTCTCACCTGCAGACTTGGGATAATCCCTGAGGCAGCCTGTGAGAATCAGAACAGAATGGTGTGTAAGTGCTCAGTGCTGTGCACTGTTGAGGGAATGGTTCCCCTTCTTCAGCATCCAGGGCAGCGGCTGGCCCTCCATCATGAGGCTTTCTCTGTCAAGGATGGAAAGCTCTGCTGCTTCCATTAGTAATTTTGTAGCTGTTTTTTTCCCAAAGTAACTTAATTACTTTCTGAAGAGTTAGGCTCTTGTCAGTAATGGAAACTTTCAGGTTTCAGTAGGTGAGCTGATAGTTTGAAAGAGGTGACCATCTTAAAGACAAAGTCACAAGGACTGAAAAGCTATTAAGAACCATGTAGGAGGCTGGGTGTGGTGGCTCACGCCTGTAATCCCAGCACTTTGGGAGGCCAAGGTGGGCGGATCACAAGGTCAGGAGTTCAAGACCAGCCTGACCAACATAGTGAAACCCCGTCTCTACTAAAAATACAAAAAATTAGCTGGGCATAGTGGCAGGTGCCTGTAATCCCAGCTACTCCGGAGGCTGAGGCAGGAGAATCGCTTGAACCCAGGAGGCGGAGGTTGCAGTGAGCCGAGATCAGACCATTGCATTCCAGCCTGGGCGACAAGAGTGAAACTCGGTCTCAAAAAAAAAAAAAAAAAAAAAAAAGAACCATGTAGACAGAAAAACTGAAGATTTTATGGAGCAGAAAAGTGCCTAACTTTGTTTTTTGGGAATAATTTACAAGCTTTTAGGAAACATTTGTGTACTAGATATAAAATTTTAAAAATTTAGAGCTGGGTGTGGTAGTGCATGCCTGTAGATCTAACTACTCAGGAGGCTGAGGCAGGAGGATCACTTGAGCCCAGGGGTTCGAGTCCAATCTGGGCAACATGGTGAGACCCCCGTCTGTTAAAAAAAAAAATCTTTAAATTAAATTATGACTTTAGTGTTCATACACCCAAAATTTCTAGGTACTCTGTAGTGCAGGGTATAAAACTTGACATAAAAACCCTGTCCCTCCAGTCACATGATACAGAAAGAGCGCAAGGACAAGGGTTAACAGGCTTCTGTTTGAGAAAATTATTATGGGTAAAAGATGTGTAGATGAGAATAGCATCATGGAGCAGTTAGTTTGTTTACAAAGAAAAATTTTAGTAGTGAAAATGAAAATTTCTCAATCCTTCTTCAAGGTCCAGAGCTAATGGGTGTTGGTTCCTTGCTGAAGAAGTACACAGCCCTCCTGTGCACGCACATTGGAGATATACTGCCTGTGGCCGCCAGCATTGCTTCTACCAGCTGGCGGCACTTCGCGGAGGTGGCTTACATTGTGGAAGGGGACTTTACTGGTACCTTTTGTTTCCTGCTTGTGTACATGTTTATTTTAGGAGATAGATGAAAGCTAAAGTGTCTTCTTTGCTGATCAGCATGCCTGCATTTACTCTCTAAATTTTCTGGGCCTCCTGCCCTTTCACCTTTGTTTTTTTTTTTTAGTTACTGACAGTTCTGTTGTTAAGCCAGCTGGTATGGGACTCATATCACTTTAAATGTAATTGGTAATTTAGATTTATACTTCCATTATTGACATTTCAATAATGAGGTCAAAGGTAATTGTCTAATTTTATTTTGACAGCATAATAAAAATTAGGTACCTATTTAAGGATCTTAAAAATTCTGATATTACCTGGTATGTTTTAACTTTTTGAGGTTAGAGCATTATTTTTTAGTGTTTTTTCCCTGATGATAAACATATCAATAAACATTTAATTTTCTGAATAGAAGACTCTTAGTTCATAGTTCTGTGATTGAAATACAGTGTTTTGGAAAATATTTTTGTAATTTAAAGGGTTCTGTTTAATAGCTATGCCTGTCTCAATATAAAATATAAGATAATTCTTTAGAAATATGCTAAAGGACAAACATTTCTTATTTTGTGACTTAGCAGAATTTAAACACAGAACAAGTTTACAAATAGCTTTTATAGGATAAATACTTATTTAAATCTTATTATTTCTTAAATGTAGGTGTTCTCCTTCCAGAACTAGTAGTTTCTATAGTGCTTCTGCTCAGTAAAAATGCTGGTCTCATGCAAGAGGCTGGAGCTGTACCTCTGCTGGGTGGCCTGTTGGAACATCTGGATCGGTTCAACCATCTGGCACCAGGAAAGGAACGGGATGATCATGAAGAGTTAGCCTGGCCTGGCATAATGGGTACGGCGTCTTAAAGGAGTTTTACTGAGGAAAGTTTTATTGTCCTTGTCTAACCTATTCTTGCCTTTCAATTTGAAAGAATACTTTACAAAGGAAGATTTGCCATTTCTACTGATGGTAGTATAAGTAAAAAATGGAGATAATCCAAATCAGAAGAAATTTGGGTCATATATGTATATATTAACCAAATATATGTGTGTTTATGTATGTGTGTGTGTGTATATATGAGTGTGTATATATATGTGTGTACATATATGTGTGTGTATATATATATCTGTGTGTGTGTGTGTGTGTGTGTGTGTGTGTGTGTGTGTATATATTTTTTTTTTTTTTTGACACTACATCTTGCTCTGTTGCCCAGGCTGGAGTGCGGTGTCATGATCTCAGCTCACTGCAACCTCTGCCTCCTGGGCTCAAGTGATTCTCTTGCCTCAGCCTCCTGAGTAGCTGGCACCACAGGTGCACACCACCATGCCCAGCTTACTTTTGTATTTTTAGTAGAGATGGGGTTTCACCATGTTGTCCAGGATGGTCTCGAACTCCTGACCTCAAGTGATCCACCCGCCTCTGCCTCCCAAAGCGCTGGGATTACAGGAATGAGCCACTGCGCCCGGCTATATTTCGGTTATATTTAAGGAAGATTTTTCCATTAGTAATCCTTGTTAAGTACTGAAATGAAATTTTACAAAGTCCTGGTGCCTCCAGAAGGTGCAGTTGGGGTGGTTATCTGTGGTCCAGCTCAGGAGGCAGAGATTGATAATGGGAAGACTCTCCAGAGTCCTCTGGTTGTTTGATGTTAGTGAGATGCAGAATTCCTGGAGTCACCTGAGCACTTCTTACAGGCATTGCCTTGTAGTGCATCCCAAATTGGAATGAGACTTATCTTCTCAATGTTTTGAGTTTTGGGTTTTTGAATCTAAGTCACCATGCTTTCTATGGTTCTAGCTTCCTGGACTCAGAATCAATCAAAATCAGGGTTAAACTTTGATTTATATGAAATCTCAAGCTGGATGGGCTTTTTTTCTTCTCGTGTTTTAGACCATCATCCCCCTAACATGGGAGCTTAAAACAAGAGGTAGCAGTTGTCCTGAGGAAAACAGCCCCAGGACATTGAACATGGTTTTTTATTTTTAAAACAGTCAATACTTTGAGCACCATTCTTCCCCTTTTGTTAAGGAGTGAGCTTAGTCCTGTGTTATTTTGTCTCTCTACTATCATACTGTTGAGGGGCATTCATTTGATCAGATCAGCAGCTTACTCACTGTAAAGCCTCTTGAAATTGTGATAAGTAACACATACACAAAAGTACCTAGTAGATACCTGTAATTGATCATAGAGAGAACTGTGTCACAGCCATTCAAACCTTAGCCTGGATGGTGGCAGGACCCTCCCAAACTCGGACTCATTTCTCTGAAAAGTGCCCTTCCCCAGGCTGTGTGGTCATCGCCACCTTACTTCTGATCATCTTATACTAAGTTCTTGTCCCTACCCAACATCATTTTAATTCTGTCTGTTCTCGGACTTCATATAAGTGGAACTAGACGGTACGTACCTTTTGGTTTCTGAGCTTCACCCCGTTATTGAGTTCTTTCATTTTTATTGCCATATGTAGTATACTTTTGTTTGAATATACAACAACCTATTCATTCTACTTGTTGATGGAAATGTAAGTTGTTTCCAGGTTTAGGTTAAAGTAAATATGTTACCTTTTTTTTTGAGGCAAGGGTCTTGCTGTGTCATCCAGGCTGGAATGCAATGGTGCAATCATGGCTCACTGTAGCCTTGACCTCCCCGGCTCAAGCAGATCCTTCCACCTGCGTGGGACTGCAAGCATGCGCCACCATGCCTGGCTAATTTTTAAATTTTTTGTAGAGACACGGTCTCCCTCTGTTGCCCAGGCTGGTCTCAAACTCCTAGGCTCAAGTGATCCTCCCACAGTGCTGACATAAGAGGCATGAGCCAGCGCTCCTGCCAATACGTTAACATTCTTACATCTGTTTCTTTAATCATTCTTTCTGTTTCTTGGTGGGACTCTTGGTTTGTAGAGGATGCCTTTAATACAGAATGCCAGTTTTCCACGGTGATTGTGCTGCTACTCATCTCCACTGCAAAGTGAGAATTCTCAGTGTTCCACTTCCATGCCAAGACCTAGCATTGCTAGCACTCCCTGTTTGACCCATTCTGGTGGGTGTACACTGGTATCTCATTGTGGTTTCAATTAGCATTTTCTAGATTATTAGTGAGGTTTGATACCTTTTCCTGTGTGCATTAATCAGTTGGAAATTCTCTTTTGTGAAGTGCCAATTCAAGTTTTGTGCGCATTTTTCTATCTGGTTGTCTTTTTTTCTTTTTAGTCATTCATGTGAGTGTTACTGTGTATTTGGGATATGAACTTTTGGCTCTATTTCTGATGGAGCTTTTTCTCTCACTCAGGCCTGTGTAGTCACTTAAAAGTGTTTTCTGATGAACAGAAGTAATATTCGTGAAATCCAGTTTGTTTCTGTTTTAATGGTTGTTCATTTTGGGCCTTAAGAAATCTTTTTCTTACCCAGATTTTCTTTTACACCTTAAAAGTTTTATTGCCTTAACTTTCATGTTTAGAGCTATAGTGCACTTGGACTTGATTTTCATGCATGTTATGAGAAAGGGGTCACATGTCACTTTTTTTCCATGGGCATTTTGTCCATAGTGTCTTTGTGCCAGCACCTTTGGGTGAAAAGACTGTCCTTGGTCACTCTTCTGGGATGTCACCTTTGTCTGAACCAAGTGATTGTCTATGCTTGTGTCTGGTCTGATCTTGCAGCTTTTCCCCTAGTGACTTATTGCACTTGCTAGGACCTGTAGTGCATTGTGGAGTAGAAATGGTGACAGTGTACCTCCTTGCCTTTTTCTTAGTAGCAGAGAAAAAGCTTTCCAGATTTCACACACAAAGTATGATGTTTGTTTTAGGAGTCTCTTTGTAAGTACTTTTGAATCTTAAGGATGTTTTCTTCTGTTGCTGCTTTGTGATGCAGTTTTAACTATGATTGGGTGTTAAGTTTCATCACATGCTTTTCCTGCATTACTTGATCATATAATTTTTATTTTTTTTATTAATGTGTGAATTACTGACTTTTCAAATGTTGACTCAACCTTCCGTTTCTGGAATAAAACTACTTTGCTCATGATATTGGTCATATGGATAGATATTTCTGGTCTTGGTTTGCTATTTTTTAAAGACAATTTTGCATCTGTAGTTGTAATTTTTCTAGATTTTGCATCTCATTTTCCTTGTAATTTTTTCAGTGACCTGTAATTTTATTTTCTTGTAATGCCCTGCAACTTATTGTTATTGATAACCACCACCCCTTTACTAATAAAGAAGCTATAATTCAGGAAGAAGATAGGTCCCATGCAACCCGTTAGTTTCCATCTATCCACCAGAGAACGTTAGTTTGTCGAGGGAAACACTGGCTGATGGATCCAGTAGTAGGAAAACATAATAGACATTCAGGTTTTGGTAACCAAAGTTGTGCTAATCTTGTAGAGTGAGTAGGAGAATGTTCCTGCCTATTCTTTTCTTGGAAGGGTGTGTATAAGATTGGTAAAATTTGCCATTTAAGTGTACCATTTAGTGGCATTAATACATTCACATTGTTTAATAGCCATCACCGCCACTCATCTCTAGAGCTTTTCATTTTTCTCAACTGAAACTATGCATCTATTAAACACCAATTTTCCCTAGCACCTGGCAACTACCATTCTACTTTCTGTGTCTGAATTTGACTACTCCAGGTACTTCATATACATGGAACCATACAGTATTTATCCTTTTGGGATTGGCTTATTTCACTTAGCATGTCTTCAAGGTTCATCCATGTTGTGCAAAGTGTCTGAATGTCCTTACATTTTAAGGTGAAATCATATTCTGTTATATGAGTATATCACATTTTGCTGTCCATCCATCAGTTGATGACATTTGGGTTGTTTCCATCTTTTGGCTATTGTGAATAATGCTGCTATGAATGTGGGTGTGTATATCCATTTGCGTCCCTTCTTTTTTTTATTTGTTTATTTTTTTTGAGACAGAGTCTTGCTCTGTCGCCCAGGTTGGAGTGCAGTGGTGTGATCTCGGCTCACTGCAACCTCTGTCTCCCAGGTTCAAGCAATTCCCCTGCCTCAGCCCCCTGAGTAGCTGGGACTACAGGCGTGCGCCACCATGCCCAGCTAATTTTTTGTATTTTAGTAGAGATGGGGTTTCACCATGTTGGCCAGGATGGTCTTGATCTCCTTACCTTGTGATCTGCCCACCTCGGCCTCCCAAAGTGATGGGATTACGGGAGGGAGCCACTGCGCCCGGCCTGCTTTTACTTCTTTTGGGTATATAGCCAGAGGTAGAATTGGTAGATTATATGGTAATTTTATATTTAATTTTTTTGAGGGGTTGCCATAGTGTTTTTCGGAGTGGCTGCACCATTTTATGTTCCTGTCAGTAGTGTGCAGGAGTTCCAGTTTCTCCACATCCTCACCAACACTTTTTTTTTTTGATAGTAGCCATCAATGGGTGTGAAGTGGTATCTCATTGTGGTTTTGATTTGTGTGTCCCTAATGATTAGTGATGTCAAGCATCTTTTCATGTGCTTATTGACCATTTGCATACCTTTTTTGGAGAAATGCATATTCAAGTCTTTTGCCCGTGTTTTAATTGGGTTTTTTGTCTTGTTGGGTTTTAGGAGTTAATTATATATTCTGCATAGATATTATTTGCAATCTGTTTTGCATTCTTTCGGTTGCTGTTTCACTCTTGATAGCCTCCTTTGATGCACAGAAGTATTCGATTTTGATCAAGTCCAACTTACCTATTTTTTTCCTTTTGTTGCCTGCACTGCTTTTGGTGTCCTATTCAAGACACGTCACCAAATTCAGTGTCATGAAGATTTTCCACAGTGTTTTCTTCTAAGAATTTTATAGTTTTAGCACTTATTTTTAGGTCTTTTATCCATTTTGAGTTAGTTTTTGTGTGTGGCGTAAGGTAAGGGTCTACCTCCGTTCTTTACATGTGCATGTCTGGATTTCCCAGTACCATGCATTGAAAAGGCTCTTCTTTCCCCATTGAGTGGTCTTGGCTCCCATGTCAAAAATCGTATGACCAAATACGTGATGGATTGTTTTTGGGGTCTCCATTCTATTCCATTTTTCTGTATGTTTGTCTGTCCAGTGCCATACTCTTTATTATTGCCTTCTTCTTTCTTAGGGTTTAATCTGCTATTTTTCTTGCTTTTTGAGAAATGAATACTTATTAGCACTGTGATGTTTTTGTAATCTGTTTATTATGAAAATTTTCTAACATAGATAAAAGTAGAAAAATAGTAAAATGAATCTAGTTTTAACAGGTGAGTATGTTCCCCTCTCATACTTCTCTGTATTTTTGATTGATTGGATTATTTTTATTTTATTTTATTTTATTTTTTTAATTTTTGTTTTTAGACGGAGTCTCGCTCTTTCGCCCAGGCGGGAGTGTAGTGACGTGATCTCAGCTCACTGCAAGCTCTGTCTCCCAGGTTCATGCCATTCTCCTGCCTCAGCCTCCCGAGTAGCTGGGACTACAGGCGCCTGCCACCACGCCCGGCTAATTTTTTGTATTTTTAGTAGAGATGGGGTTTCACCGTGTTAGCCAGGATGGTCTCCATCTCCTGACCTTGTGATCTGCCCACCTTGGCCTCCCAAAGTGCTGGGATTACAGGCGTGAGCCACTGCGCCCTCTGATTGGATTATTTTAAAGCATAATTCTGTCTTTAAAACATTTTAAGGCATTTTACCTCTTAATGATAAGGATTTAAAAAAAAACCCTACAATATCATTATCTTGTCTATAAGATTAACAGTGATTCCTTAATCTAACATGCAATCCATGTTACATTTTCCTGGACTATCTCAAAAATGCCTTTTTTAGGTGGTAATTTTGAATTAGGACCTGAGCATGTTCTCTGTGTTGACATTGCTTGACATGTGCTTTCAGTCTTTCTCCCAACAACATGGCTCCAGGCCCTCCTCTCCCTGTGATCATACCGTTTTCTTTTTCAAAGAAGCAGGTTGGTTATTTTGGAGAACTTCACATTTTCTGAACTTGGTTGATTGCATTCTCTTATTCTAGACCAACATGTTCTTCTGTTAGTTACATTAATCTGCTGGTTAGATCTAGAGGTTTGGTTGGATTTGAATTCAGTCTCGTTGGGGCGGTGTTATGTCTGGGGTCATGCTGCATGCTTTCTGTTGGCTCAGGAGGCCTGTAATGCTCGGTGGCTCCCCGCTTTAGTTCTGTGAAGCTAGACCAGGGAATTCATGTGTTGCGTATCCTCTATAAAATCCCCTACCAACCTTGCCCTCTGCTGTCTGGTTAGCAGGAGGTACAATTTGTACAGGAAGGACATAATCTAAGCTTGACTTCTTGAACTGCCACCTCCCTTTAACTATTTTTCATAATATTGAGTTGGTATCCTAGCACTTGCATAGGTGACCACCACTCAGGTTTTCTTTTTTTGAGTATTTTTATGAACTAATAGACTTTTATTGATTTGGTGTTTTTCTTTTTTAGCTTTTTCCCTCTAATATACACATTTAAAGGCATAAATGCCCTCAAGCATGCATTTAGTTGTATGTCACCAATTTCGATCTGCAGTATTTTGATTATTAATTGAACACATTTTCTAATTTTCATAGTCATTTTTTTCTTAGAATTTTGGGTTACTTATAAGTGTATTTTATAATTTTCAAATATGTGGATGAATTTTTTATTTATTTTGAATGAATTTTTGAAAACCTATTTCTAATTTAACTGCATTGTAGTCAGCACACATGCTCTATAAGTTTATTTCTTTGAAATCTGTTGAGATTTGCTCTGTGGCCTGGCATGGCCCAATTTGGTATTCATGCTGCCTAGATTTTTTTTTAAAGCATTCTATATTTAACAGAATTTGTATGTGTGGTATTAGTTTCAGAGCTAGGTATGTATTTCTCCCATTGTGATTGTGGGTTTGTTTATTTCTGCTTGTAGTTCTTTCACACAGTTTGTTCTTTTCATTTTACCTGTTGATTGATCAATGGACTGATTCTGGTTTCTGTATATACAGAGTCATTTTTTACAGGTCAGAACTGTAGAAATAATGAGGAAGTGACACTTATACGCAAAGCTGATTTGGAGAACCATAATAAAGATGGAGGCTTCTGGACTGTGATTGACGGGAAGGTGTATGATATAAAGGACTTCCAGACACAGTCGTTAACAGGAAATAGTATTCTTGGTAAGATTACACTTGTTATTTCCTGGTTAAAAGTTACAACCTATATCATTTTAAGCAGAGTATTTGGCTTATAAATGATTTCTTTAGTTTTGTGCCAGCCCCCACATATTTTAATGTATCTGTGGCTTCGATGTCTGTCTTATCAACAAATTCAGCACATTTGAAGAATTTCCTTTGATTATGCATTTTTTGTTTTAATACTTGGAACTCATTTCAAGTTCTGAGTTGGCCCAGGCAACCCTGGGAGACAGTAGAAGGTCATTATACTCTGGTAACCCTCACTTTTGAGTTAAGCGCCTAACTTATTTCCTATTCACTGTTTCTCCTATATCTCTTCAGGCAAGCTGAATTGAACTCATGTTGCTTTTTCCCTTTTTGTTTCAGCTCAGTTTGCAGGGGAAGACCCAGTGGTAGCTTTGGAAGCTGCTTTGCAGTTTGAAGACACCCGGGAATCCATGCACGCGTTTTGTGTTGGCCAGTATTTGGAGGTGAGGCTGTATGCCTTGAGTGATGCAGAGGATGGCAGGGGATACCCTCTGTGTGTTTGTGATAGGAATATTTGGATCTAGAAGTACTGATATCTGGGTCTTTTGTGGGGCATTAGGGATAAATATAAAGATCCTTTAGAAGTTTTGTCATAAATGAATTTACATTTATTCATGTTAAGATCTGTGATGTACTGGTCTTGAAAAATTGTTTTTTAAATGATCAATTTGTGAGAAATATAGACAGTGTTCCACAAGAAAAGAGGTTAAACTTTGGTCTTATGTAGAAATTTGGAATGGCTTATAATCTTGAGGTAGTATTTTTTGGGAAGAACTATGTAGAAGTGTAATTCTTTACAGTAGAAATATGTCCTTCCTATGTATTCACGAACACATAGAATTTATATATTGGGATTAGCTTTCCAGGTATCGACAAGTAATAAGATGTATTAAATGCCATTAGGGCAGGGCTTAAAACAGTTTATGAAGGGGAGAATTAACTTTGCTGTAAATATCTTCTGTGACTGGAAAAGATGAACTCTTACTTTTTTCAGAGTTTGATTTTTGTTAGAATAAATTTCATTTCCTCTACATGTGTGGTCACAGTCCACTAATACTTGTCATCGAATACTTGTCATAGTTTTGTTGCCCAGTGGGTTCTTTATGCATGTAACAATTCATTATACTTTCTGAAGCATGGTGTACAGTCACTTTGGAAACTGATTCCTAAGGAATATTCTAGCCAAATCATGTATCTGTGGTTTAGTTTTTCTACAGTAGGGCTGTGCAGTTGCTGCCTGCTTTACTGGGCATGTGGGTTTATGTGGTATCTGCTGTTACTTGGGCACAGCAGCATCAACTCATTACAGGATGGAGGGGCAGAATGCCCAGAGCACCCCTGGGCTCACGTGCGGTTACAGCTGCAGGAGAGAGCTGTCCTTTTGGTTTTATGTTTTTAATTAATTCTGTTTCCTCAGATTGATGATGAAATTTATTTTTCCAGCCTGACCAAGAAATCGTCACCATACCAGATCTGGGGAGTCTCTCTTCACCTCTGATAGACACAGAGAGGAATCTGGGCCTGCTTCTCGGATTACACGCTTCGTATTTGGCAATGAGCACACCGCTGTCTCCTGTCGAGATTGAATGTGCCAGTAAGAAAATCTTTGCTTTTTGCTGATCAGCAGATTATTTTTTTTGAACTGTAAGTGCCATTAAGAGTGGGAGAGGGCCAGGCACAGTGGTTCATGCCTGTAATCCCAGCAGTTTGGGAGGTTGTGGCACGTGGATTGCTTGAGGTCAAGAGTTTGAGACCAGCCTGGGCAACATGGCAAAACCCCATCTCTACAAAAAACACAAAAATTAGCCAGGCATGTTGGCACGTATTTGTAGTCCCAGATACTCAGGAGGCTGAGGTAGGAGGATCGCTTGAGCCTGGGAGGTTGAGGCTGCAGTGAGTCATGATCATACCACTGCACTCCAGCCTGGGTGACAGAGCAAGACTCTCTCTTTAAAAAAAGTAGGAGATAGCCAGGCAGTGGCTCATGCCTGTAATCCCAGCACTTTGGGAGGCTGAGGCGGGTGGATCACCTGAGGTCAGGAGTTCAAGACCAGCCTGGCCAATGTGGTGAAACCCCATGTCTACTAAAAATGCAAAAATTAGCTGGGCGTGGTGACGGGTGCCTGTAATCCCAGTTACTCGGGAGGCTGAGGTAGGAGAATTGCTTGAACCCAGGAGACGGAGGTTGCAGTGAGCCGAGATCGCGCCACTGCACTCCAGCCTTGGTGACAAGAGCGAGACTCCGTCTCAAAAGGAGAGGCGGATTCAACACAGCTGATGATGATAAAAATAATAATAATAAGGATAGTGAGACTCAATCAGGTAGAAACAGCTGTGAGTGGTTGTCATTTGCCCTCATGGTCTGTTGCTGCAGAGGAAGCTAAAAAGTGTGCAGGAATCTCTACCCGTCTACCCTGTGGTGGTCTCACGTATTGCAGCCTCTGCCTGATGGGCCCAGCATGGCTTTTGTCTCCCTGCATGCCCAGAAATTGCACAGAATGTGGATCAGCTGTCCTCTCAGGGAACAGCATTCTACTTGAGGACTGTGTTTTTACCAGACCAGGCTCAAGTCAGTTATATTTCAGGATGGCAGCCTTTGTAACCACCTAAAATAATAAGTTTCTTCCTGTCTCCTAAGATGGGTTTACATTTTCTTTCATATAGTTGTGCATTTCCCATCTGTCTGTCTGTCCATCCGTGTGAGCAGCTTCTGTTGAACAGTTGCCTGGTGCAGTTACCATGCGAGGTGTTCAGGATGCAGTGATGGGTAGGACACGCCTCTGCTTTCAGCTGCTTCTTGTTGATGAGCCAGCATTCTAAGCAGGTCATGTTACAAGGTGGTGAATGGTGAAATGGAGACGTTCATACGTGGTTTTGGGAGAAGAAAGGCTTCACACTGGCAGCAGTCCTGAAATTGCATGAGGGAGCATTCGGGGCAGAAAACACAGGAGTGTCAAGGGCAATGCTGAGAGGAGCAGGGCTCTCCTGCTGCTTTCGAGAGTGGGTGTCGCAGAAGGCTTGCGGGGAAGGAGGATCTTGGTGTCCATACAGCCCCCCGTTGGGTGGACCTTTGTGCAGTGCTGGGTGCTGGGCTGCCTGTGGTGCCCTCTGAGGTATCTGCTTCCTTCCCTCCTCCTCAAGGCTCATTGCTTGCCAGAAGATGGGCTTTGTTTAAATTGGCAAGGAGGGCAGGGCTGGCGAGTTCCAGGGCAGAGGGTGCCATGGGCCCTGGCAGGTGGGTCCAATCCACAGGAGGATCAGAGGCTTATCTTGGAGCAGTAAGGAGGGGCTGTCCTGTGCTTAAAGAGAGGGGGCCAGAGAGAGTCGGCATTGGATTAGTGTTTCAGAAGAACGAATGTGGTGGGTTGTGGAATGCTCCTGAGTGCTCTAAAATCTAAATGTCCAGTAAAAGAACACTAAGTGCATCCCGCTTTGATTGCTTGGATTTGGAGCAGTATTTGATAACACAGATCGTTAATAGAGATCTGTAGTGGTGCACTCCCTCAAGTTGCCATAAGCAGTTGTAATTAACGTTCGCACTGGTTGATCCCATGCCTTGCACCACGCACAGGTCTCCTTTCCAGTCCATCGGCCCTCCCATCTCCAAGGATCTATCCTTCATTACAGATTGTGTGTTTCTTAAATATTTTCTCCTTTTCATTCCTTTATAAGTGCTCTAGGAATACATAGCCTACCCTGAGGATGTAATTCTTTGTAGAAACCCTTCAGATGTGCTGTTCCCTGCCTGGATACTCAGCGTCTGGGTCTTATTCCTCATCTTAGCTCAGTTGTTGCTTCCACAAGTCCCTCACTGACCCTCAGAATAGCGGTGGTCTGTCTTCCAGTCTCCCTGGTACCCCCATAGTCATCTGTTGCACAGTTTCGGACTTGAAATCCTGTGATTAATTGTGTCAGCGGTGCCCTTTGCTGCCTTCCCTGTTAGAATGTGCACCTCAGTCTTCACACGGTACCTGTGGAACCAGGCAGCTGCAGGCAGAGCACAGGTATCCAGAGAATGTTGGACTGGAACTACGATCCTGAGTTCTGATGCCATGCCTGAGGCGTGTGGAATCACCAGAAAGTGTGTTCACGTAGATAGAGGAATTATAAGTCAACCTGTGTAAACATGTTAGGTGGAGCTCTTTCATATGAATGATGCTGAATTTCACCTTCTAAATTGAGTGTTCAGTTGAGCATCTTTTTTTTTTTTTAGTATTTATTTTGAGTTGTGCACTTGAGTTTCTCTTTCATGTTTGCGTGTGCATTTTCCAGAATGGCTTCAGTCATCCATCTTCTCTGGAGGCCTGCAGACCAGCCAGATCCACTACAGCTACAACGAGGAGAAAGACGAGGACCACTGCAGCTCCCCAGGGGGCACACCTGCCAGCAAATCTCGACTCTGCTCCCACAGACGGGCCCTGGGGGACCATTCCCAGGCATTTCTGCAAGCCATTGCAGACAACAACATTCAGGATCACAACGTGAAGGTGAGCTAGGCCTGCCCCCACTGCCACCTCAGTGCTCTGTTTATCTGAGGACTTTGACATAGGAATACTTATGTGCTCTTTGGTTAACACAGCACAGACTTTGTTTCATGTATTATTTGGAGGGTTTTGAGGTGAGAACCTGATTGTGTTAACATGCTAGCGAGGCTTCAGAAGCATTAGTGATTGCAAGTGCGTCAGAAGCTGTGGCATGTTTAAGATTTGTGAAGACTCACTGGGTGGCTCTGAAGTTACTTCCAGCTGTTTCTGTTGCAGGACTTTTTGTGTCAAATAGAAAGGTACTGTAGGCAGTGCCATTTGACCACACCGATCATGTTTCCCCCCGAGCATCCCGTGGAAGAGGTCGGTCGCTTGTTGTTATGTTGCCTCTTAAAACATGAAGATTTAGGTAAGGAGCTCGATATCTGTGTACTTTAGGTACACTGCAGATTCCTCGACTAACCTGAGGTACATATTCATCCCTGCCCTTCTTTTAAATGTCTTTTTACAGGTCATGTGGCATTATCTTTAGTTCATGCAGGTGCACTTGGTATTGAGCAAGTAAAGCACAGAACGTTGCCTAAGTCAGTGGTGGATGTTTGTAGAGTTGTCTACCAAGCAAAATGTTCGCTCATTAAGGTGATAGATTTTAATTCTTTTTATTCTGTGCTTTGCAGACAGTTGCTGAAATATTTGTTGTTAAAGTTGTCTTTTCCTGGTTAACTTTGCAGACTCATCAAGAACAGGGCCGTTCTTACAAGGAGGTCTGCGCTCCTGTCATCGAACGTTTGAGATTCCTCTTTAATGAATTGAGACCTGCTGTTTGTAATGACCTCTCTATAATGTCTAAGTTTAAATTGTTAAGTTCTTTGCCCCGTTGGAGGAGGATAGCTCAAAAGATAATTCGAGAACGAAGGAAAAAGAGAGGTAAGAATGTAAAAGGACAGAAGATACTATTAAAGCTTGTGCTTCACCCTGCCACATTGGATCTGTGATTTCAGAGTGAAGTTTCTCTACTGTTGATTCCATGTGACATTTCTACCTGCTGCCATCATTTTTATTACAGTTACGATTAAATACAGAAATCTCGCTTGTTTTTCCAAGTAATCAGACAATGAGACAGTTTAGGAATTGAGTGTGGTATGATTTGATTACTAGTAAATTGATGTTGAAAACATAAATAATCTTTACTAAATTGATGGGAACAAGGAAGTATTTTTATTTTATTAGTTATCCTGGTAATGAGATATAATGGGAACATTTAAACTTATTGCCATTCTTCTAAAGAAATGTTTTTTGTTTGGAAATATTGAGTATTCTGATACATGGAGAATTATAAAGGCAAGCTAAAAGAGTTACATTTTCCTGGAAGTAGCTGTGTAAAGGTACAGAAAAGTCTTTTTGCATTAAATCCAAATTTGAATAAAAATGCTTAGAAATTATAAAATAGTTTAGAATTTAGTCACTTGTGATTATAAATAAACTACAGAAATTTCTGATTATATTCTTTTTTTTTTTTTTCTTTGAGATGGAATCTTGCTTTGTCGCCAGGCTGGAGTGCAGTGGTGCGATCTCAGCTCACTGCAACCTCCGCCTCCCAGGTTCAAACGATTCCCCTGCCTCAGCCTTCCAAGTAGCTGGGATTATAGGCACTACAGGCACCCGCCACCACTCCTGGCTAATTTTTGTATTTTAGTAGAGACGGAGTTTCACCATGTTGGCCAAGATGGTCTTGATCTCCTGACCTCGTGATCTGCCTGCCTCGGCCTCCCAAAGTGCTGGGATTACAGGCGTGAGCCACCGCGCCTGGCCTCTGATCATATTCTTATGACTTATACTGATTTACTCACAAACCTGCTTATTGACCAGTATTGATTACTGAGTTTCCGATGGGCATTTTGAACAATAAGCTTATGAAAGACTAAAGTGTGTTAGAAGCCATCCTAATTTGATTGTTCCTGAACAAACCCTACACCATAACAGCCTGTCTGAATGCGAGGGGTGCTCTGGATCCGGAAGTCACAGCAGTCACACTGCTGCGATTCCTTTAACCCAGGCATGCAGGAACTCAGCCTGGGCCCAGGAGACAGGCTGCCTCGGCATGAGGGAGAGAGACTCCACATTTGCCATCTCATATCCGTGGGTTCTGAGCCCACACTGTCACTTTTAGAGTTTCCTGTGGGTTTATAGATTTATTGTGTGTTGTTTCAAGCTGGTTTTCTTTTTTTTTTTTTGGAAATTAAGTAACTTGAAAAGATTAAGTGATTAATATTCCTGTTGCTGTGTCAGGGATCCCCGAGCCTTCTCTCAGGCTTGATGATTCACTAAAAGGACTCAGAAGAGCTGTTATAGTCACAGCTGTGTTTTTTTACTGCAAAAAGGATACAGATTAAAATTAGCAGAGGGAAGGGTGCATGGAGGGAAGTCCAGAGGAAACTAGGCACACGCTTTGGTGTCTCTCCCCAGTGGCGTCACGTGGATGTGCTTAGCTCTCCCAGCAACAGTGTCATATCATGTGTGAAGAATTGTTAACCAGGCCAGCGCACCTGAGCGAGTCTAGAGATTTTGTTGGGGGCCAGTCACATACGCAGGCAGTGCCCATGTGACTGACCTCACTCAGACTCCAGTGCCCCAATGCAAAAACAAGTGGTCCCTCGCAAGTCCCATCATTAGCATAAACTACCTGGCCAGACCACTGCCACAAGGTCCTGGGTGTCAGGTATACCAAAAAACTTCTCAGGCAGGATGTTCCAAGGGCTCAGAGCTCAGCTCCTAGAAGAAGGACCAATCCTGAAGGGACAGACCTTCCTTGGGAATTTGCAGGGTTTGAGCAACCCCGGCCTGCTATGTTAGCTCTTTACTGCCCAGGTGTATTATCATGTTGCTTATTTTTTATATTATATGCTGAGGAGATTTAGACCAAAAATTTTAAAAGAGATAAAGTATAGGGAGGAAATTCCACATATCGCAGTGAATTCAGTTGATTCAGTTACACAGTAACAGAACCACTGAACTGGACCAGGGTGGACAAGCCAGGAACTATGGGCCAAATTCTACCTCTTGCTTGCTTTGTGTTGCCCATGGACTAAGACCTTTTTTTTTTTCAGTTTGAAATTGTTTTTTAAAAATTAAAAGAAGTATATTATTTTGGCACATGAAAATTACATGAAGCTAAAATTGTAGCACCATAAATAAAGTTTTACAGGAGCACAGCCACACCTGTTGCTTTATCTGTGGTTACTTTTTGTGCTACAGCAGCAGAGTTGAGTATTTGCGACAGACTGCATGGCCTGAAAGACTCAAATGTTCACTCTCTGGCACTTGAGGAAGAGCTTGCTGGCTGCCGGGCTTCCCGTGCTTCGGGGCTTCTCCCCTCGTCGCACTCTCACTTTGTCTTTTTGTTCTGCCAGGGTGATCATTTCACTCTTGTTGTTGAGCATTGCAATTTATAATGTTGTTCAGATGTTTATTTGAATGAGATATTTGTCCTTCATGTAAATCTAAGTATTTCTTAATTTAAAATTAATATTTAAGTGTATGATTTTTATAGTGAATGATGTTTTAAAACACAGTTCCTAAGAAGCCAGAATCTACGGATGATGAAGAAAAAATTGGAAACGAAGAGAGTGATTTAGAAGAAGCTTGCATTTTGCCTCATAGTCCAATAAATGTGGACAAGAGACCCATTGCAATTAAATCACCCAAGGTGCAGTATTTTCTGTGATTCTGAGGTTGGCTGAATAGAATCATAGCATGTAGCACAGGAATCCACAGTCTTGTCCTGAGCATCTGGAGGGAGGGACGGGCGGTTGTTAGAAACATGGCCCCAGTGATGCTTCATGAACTTGGCTTATGATGTCCTGGTCAGAGCTGTAGCTGGAGAAGGGTTTCCTTTTATTTTTGGTATTAGATTGTATCATTAATTATTCACCATTCATTCCTTAAATATATTCTTTGTTCCAGAAACAGTGCTGGGCCCTGTGGCTATTAATATGAACCATAACTTAGCTTTGTATGCCAAGCTAGCCTGTTCCAACATATATTAGTATAGAGATTATAAAATCACTTATAAGTATATTTATAGCATAGTTTTAAAACCATGTATTACTAAATTTAACCAATTTAAACCTATGAGCATTATTTATATTTTACTTGAATAACTTTTAGAGCACAGTTTATTATTAAATAGGGTAGACTAATGATGAAAATTGTTTTCCTTTGTTAGGACAAATGGCAGCCGCTGTTGAGTACTGTTACAGGTGTTCACAAATACAAGTGGTTGAAGCAGAATGTGCAGGGTCTTTATCCGCAGTCTCCACTCCTCAGTACAATTGCTGAATTTGCCCTTAAAGAAGAGCCAGTGGATGTGGAAAAAATGAGAAAGTGCCTACTAAAACAGGTAACATTTGATGAGAAATGCTTCTCTGCATTGGGTAATATACATAACACTTAACTGTATGCATTGATATTTTGCAGTTGGAGAGAGCAGAGGTTCGCCTGGAAGGGATAGATACAATTTTAAAACTGGCGAGCAAGAATTTCTTACTTCCATCTGTGCAGTATGCGATGTTTTGTGGATGGCAAAGACTTATTCCTGAGGGAATCGATATAGGGTAAAACGTTAGCATATTTTTTTCTTAATTAAGGTAGCTATGGCAACAAAATGTTGTTCTGTAACAGAAGTCTGGCAGTGTCCCAAGTCAAATTCTTTATCTTTATTTGAAAGGGAACCTCTTACTGATTGTTTAAAGGATGTTGATTTGATCCCGCCTTTTAATCGGATGCTGCTGGAAGTCACCTTTGGCAAGCTGTACGCTTGGGCTGTACAGAACATTCGAAATGTTTTGATGGATGCCAGTGCCAAATTTAAAGAGCTTGGTGAGTCAATAATTGTATCAATGTTATTTTATAGTTTGCCTTTAATTATATGTTGTGGAAACTTGCAAATGCCAATTTTTGCTTTTGAGAAGATTTTAATTAAAGTTTGTACTTTGTACTTGTATAATCTATGCTGCTGTCAGCTTTCTCAGATTTTAAACAAAACTTCAAAATTTAGCAGGAGACACAATGTTGAAGTACTCTAGTATAACATTTTTACATTTTGATGTGTATCACCACATATCCTAAAGTGTCTGTGTCCTATATTAATATTTATTTCCTGGATAGTTTGAGCATCTACAGAGAGTTGATTGGATTGGTTTTGTGGAGGAAAAGTGAGACATAACTTTTATATTCGAAATGGAAGGAATGGAATAGGGCACCAGAGTATTCAGAGAGCAACATGCTAAGTCCTGTAGACAGATGGAACAACCTGTGCATAGAATGCAGGGGGTAGGCCCATCGTGCAGCATGACAGAGCTGCCCACTCTGTGGAAACCCCTGGAAAATAGTTAGATGTTTAAAGTAATTGCCCGTGCTTTCTGCATTACGTTTATTCTTGTATCCATGCACAAGAAATGTAGGTGGGTGTCAATGCTTATTAGTCAGATGTTTAGAGTAATCGCCCGTGCTTTCTGCGTTACGTTTATTCTTGCATCCATGCAGAAGAAATGTCAGTGGGTTTCAAAATAGTCAGATGTTTAGAGTAATCGCCCGTGCTTTCTGCGTTACGTTTATTCTTGTATCCATCACAAGAAATGTCAGTAGGTGCCAATGCTCATTAGGTATCCAGCCGGTTCCCCTGCAAACCATCACCAATGAGAACCCGTCAGGACCGAGCCTGGGGACCATCCCGCAAGCCCGCTTCCTCCTGGTGATGCTCAGCATGCTCACCCTGCAGCACGGCGCAAACAACCTCGACCTTCTGCTCAATTCCGGCATGCTGGCCCTCACGCAGACGGCACTGCGCCTGATTGGTAGGTCTGCACCCGCTTGAGCGCCTTTGGGAAAATGTCAAGATTTTGCTTTGATTTCTTTTCTTTTCTTTTCTTTTTTTTTTTTTTTAAAGCTTTTTGTAAATTATGGTAAGACACAAATAGGAAGTGTACCATTTTAACGTCACAATTCAGCGGTATCAAATACATTTACGATTTTCTAGAGTCATCACCACTGTCTAGTTGTAGAACTTTTTCATCACTATAAATGCACACCATTTAGCCATCAGTCCTCACTCCTCTGCCCTCCAGCCCCTGGTAGTCACAAATCTGCTTTCCCTGTCTATGGATTTGCATATCCTGGATATTTCATATAAATGGAATCATACCATTTGTGGCCTTTGTGTCTGGGTTATTTCATTTGGTATATATCAGTACTTTATTTTTATGGCTGAAAAAGATTTCATTGTATGAATATATAACATTTTGTTCATTTATCTGTTGATGGACATTTGGGTTGGTTTTGCCTTTTGACTTTTGTGAATAGTGCTGCTAGGAACATTTATATACAAATACTTGTTTGAATGCTTGTTTCTAGTTCTTTTGATTATACACCTAGGACTGGAATTACAGGGTCATATGGTACAACTATGTGTAACTTACTGAGAAACTACCAAAGTTTTCCACAGTGCCATATCATTTTTACATTCCCACCACCAGTGGGCAGGATTCCAGGGTTCCAGTTTCTCTGCTTCCCTGCCAACACTATTTTTTGTGTTTTTTTTTTTTTTCTTTTTTTTTTTGGATGAAGGCCATCGTAGTGGGTGTGAAGTGGTGTCTCATTGTGATTTTGATTTGCATTTCACTAATGATGAATGACATTGAGCTTCTTTACATGTTTGTGCTTGTTGGCCATTTGTGTATCTTCTTTGGAGAAGTGTCTATTCAAGTCCCTTTCTCTTTATTGTTTATTTTACTTTTTTTTGAGACGGAGTCTCACTCCGTCGCCTAGGCTGGAGCACAGTGGCACGATCTCAGCTCACTGCAACCTCCGCCTCCCGGGTTCAAGCGCTTCTCATGCCTCAGCCTCCCGAGTAGCTGGGATTACAGTCACACACCACCACACCTGGCTAATTTTTATATTTTTAGTAGAGATGGGGTTTAGCCATGTTGGCCAGGCTGGTCTGGAACTCCTGACCTCAGGTGATCTGCCTGCCTTGGCCTCCCAAAGTACTGGGATAACAGGCGTGAGCCACTGCGCCCAGCCCGTTTCTCCTTTTTAAATAGGGTTGTCATCACCTTGTTGTTGTACCAATAAATGCACTATATAAGTGTACCAAACCTTTAAAGAAGAATTAACACCAGTCCTCAGACTCTTTAAAAATTTCGTGTATACTAGACCTTCACAGATCTGTAGACCTTTATCAGGTATATCATTTGAGGGTATTTTCTCCTGTTCTCTGGATTGTATTTCCTTTGATAGAGAAGTTTTTTATTTTGATGAAGTTCAATTTATCTGTTTCTCTTTTGTCGTCTATGCTTTTGATATCGTATCCAAAAAGCCATTTCCAAATACAAGGTTGATGAAGATTATCCTCATGTTTTCTTCTGTAAGTTTTATAGTTTCAGCTCTTGTATTTAGATCTTTGGTCCATTTTTAGGTAATTTCTTTTACACAGTGTGAGGTAAGAGTCCAACCTGTTTTTTTTGATGATCTGATTGTTTCAATACCACTTGTTGAGGACTGTTCTTTCCCTGAAGTTCTGGGTACCCTTGGCAAAAATCAGTTGGCTGTGGATATTTAGGTTTATTTCTGGACTCTCAATTACATTATCACATTCTATATGTTGATAATTGTGCAGGTACCCCCTGTTTTGAACATTGTAGTTTTGTACTGTTTTAAAATTGAGAAGTGTGTTTTCTTTCTCAAGATGATTTTGGCTACTTTGGGTCCCTTGCATTTTCACATGAACTTCAAGGCTGGCTTTTCCATATCTGCAAAAAAGACCATTGGGATTTTTGCTAGGGATTGAATCTGTAGATTGTTTTGGGGAATAGTGCCATCTTAACAATGTTAACATCCATTCTCTGAATGTGGAATGTCTTTCCATTTATTTCTGTCCTCTTTAATTTCTTTCAGCAGTATTTTATTGTTTTACAGTTATCAGGGTAATAATGGCCTCATAGAATGAACTGGGTAGTGTTCCCATATATTCTGTTTTTAGAAGAGTTTGAGGATTGGTGTCAATTCTGCTTTAAATCTTTGGTAGAGTTGACCAGCTAAGCTTTTCTTTGTTGAAAGATTTTTAATTACTGATTCAATCTCTTTACTTGTTACGGGTCTATTCAGATTTTCTATTTCTTCTTGAGTCAGTTCGGGTAATTTATGTTTTTAGGAATGTGTCCATTTTATCTAGGCTATTTTATTTGTTGGCATACAGTAGTTCACAGTGTTCTTTTATAATCTTTTTTATTTTAAGTTGGTAGTACTGTCTCCACTTACATTTCTGATGTTAGTTATTTGCATCTTCTTTTTTTTCTTTCTTTTTTTTTTTTTTTTTTTGAGACGGAGTCTTGCTCTCTTGCCAGGCCAGAGTGCAGTGGCACAGTCTCGGCTCACTGTAACCTCTGCCTCCCGGGTTCAAGTGATTCTCCTGCCTCAGCCTCCCGAGTAGCTGGGACTACAGGCACGCGCCACCACGCCCAGCTAATTTTTTTGTATTTTTAGTGGAGACGGGGTTTCACCGTGTTGACCAGGATGGTCTCGATCTCTTGACCTCGCGATCCGCCCACCTCAGCTCCCCAAAGTGCTGGGATTACAGGCGTGAGCCACCTTGACTGGCCTCTTTTTTTCTTAATTTACCAAAAATTTGTCAGATTTTTTGTTCTTGTCAGAAACCAAACTTTTGGTTTTGTTATTTTTCTATTCTCTATTTAATTTATGGCTGCTCTAATCTCTATCGTTTCCTTCTTTCTGCTTTGTATTTTTTTGTTTTTGTCTTTGTTTTGAGACAGGGTCTTACTTTTCCTTCAGGCCGAAGTACAGTGGCACAGTCATGGCTCACTGCAGCCTCAACCTCCTGGGCTCAAGTTATCCACCTGCCTCAGCCTCCCAAAGTGCTGGGATTACAGGTGTGAGGCACCACACCTGGCCTAACTTTGGTTTTTATTGTGTTATTTTTTAGTTCTTCCAGATGTAGAGTTAAGTTATTGATTTGAGATCATCTTTTGTAAATGCAGACTTTCATAGTATAATTGCCCCTTCATCCCTGCTTTTGGCGCAGCACAGAAGTTTTGGTAGTTGTGTTTTCATTCATCTCATAGTATTTTCTAATTTCCCTTGTGATTTCTTCTTTGACCCACTGGTTGTTTACTGTGTGTTGTTTAATTTTCATATACTTGTAAATTTTCCACTTTTCTTTTTTTTATTTCTCATTTCATTTTGGTTGGAGAAGGTAATTTGTATGATTTTAGTCTGTTTAAATTTAAGACTTTGTGGCCTAACATATGGTCTGGTCAGTCTAAGAGAGTGTTCTGTGGTATACTTGAGAAGAATGTGTATTCTGCTCTTTTTGGTGAGATGTTCTGTATATGTCTATTAGATCTGATTGGTTTATGGTGGTGTTCTTTGGCTAAAACTGAGATGCTGCAGGGCCAGTTATCAAAGTCACAGTGAAAAAGCAAGGTTTTCCCAAGCTCTTTTAATCACATCAGTCTTAGAGTTCACATTAATCCATTCAAAAATATGTATCAGGCCAGGCTGTAATCCTAGCACTTTGGGCGGCTGAGGCGG
Organism: Homo sapiens; assembly: GCF_000001405.40. Lineage (NCBI taxonomy): Eukaryota > Metazoa > Chordata > Mammalia > Primates > Hominidae > Homo > Homo sapiens. Next base: position 28,224,466 of record NC_000015.10, on the reverse strand, counting down.
GTGGGTCGCTTGAGCTCAGGAGTTTGAGACCAACTTGGGCAACATAGAGAAACCCTGTCTCTACAAAAAATACGAAAACTAGCTGGGCATAGTGGTGTGTGCCTATGGTCCCAGCTACCTGGGAGGCTGAGGTGGGAGGATTGCTTGAGCCCGGGAGGCAGAGGTTGCAGTGAGCGGAGATAAAGCCACTGCACTCCAGCCTGGGCTCCAGCCTGGGCGACAAAGTGAAATCCTGTCTTGGGGGTGGGGGGAATCTTTCTATCTATCTGTCTGTCTGTCTGTCTGTTTCTCTCTCTCTCTGTGTGTGTGTGTGTGTGGGTGTGTGTGTGTGTATAATTTTTTAATTTATATATTTATATGTTGTGTTAAATATATATTTTAATATGTGTATTACAGCTGAAAATAATAATCTAGTAAGGGTTATATCTGATTTCTTGAGGCCTCATTAGCAACCAAAAGTTGCATTTAAAAATTACAAAAGCATATCTCCATCGAGAAATGGCCTTTTTATGTTGTCTACTTTTTTCCCAGAGGTTCCAATAAGTAACAATCACAGCACAAATCATTAAGTATGGGGACTTGTTCTGTTGATAGTATTCATGTGTTTAAATTTCATCTGGCCCACTGGCTGCAAAAAGCAAGGAAGTTGTGTCTCATGAATATCTGTCTATATTTGCGGCCTGCCCTGATCAGGGTATCCTTCTTGTCATTTAAGAAATCATAAGCATATAATATTTTATACCAGCTTAATGTATACATCCACATGTAACAGCCAGAAAACATAAAGCTATGCAAAATGAAAAATTCCCCCAGTTTTGCTTGCAAATTTATTCAAGTCCTTAGCAATACATTCAGTCTTTACAGAGTTAACAGTATAGCTGCCCAGGGGATCCTGGGAGATCCACCTAGAATGCAACTCCTGTCCCTTCCTTGGGGCCCCTTCCTGGGGGCCCTAAAGTAGCGGCTAGGCTAAAGGAAAGGCTGTTTCCCCTGCTAGTTTATCTAAAGTTTTGCTCCAGCCCTGGGAATTGAATATCCTTTGTTGCTCTCTTGGAAGAGAGAGAAACACAAACTTTTTACATTTTTTGGTCCGCCCAAGCCCACCTTTGGGACTGTTTGGGTCTTTTTCCCGCCCACCTGGAGGAGAAAACTAAAATCAAGGGAGTTACCAGAACCACACTCCTACCCCCTCTCAGTTTAGCAAGTGGGAAAAGGGGGGTTAAAAATCTAGCCTACTCTCCTGGGGTTAGCGCTCCTATTTTCAAATCCATTGGGAAGTTTTACTGCTCTCAGGTGACAGCAGCTCGGCTTCTGTTTTGTGCTATGGATGACTCTGTAGCCACCCAGGGCACCAATTGTCAGGGGTCTCCAAGACCACCCCCAGGTTTGATGGTTGGCCAGGAGGACTCACAAGACTCAGCATGTAGTTGAACTCAGGGCTATAGTTTATTACAGTGAAGGCACACAGAGCAAAATCATGAAAAAAGGACATGGGTAAAGTCCAGAGGAAAGCAGGTACAAGCTTCCACAGGATCCACACAGGACGAGCTTAACTGCCCTGGCACTGAGCTGTGTCAGGTGCTGTCTGCCGGGAAGCTGGATAGAGACTCCAGGCCCAGGGTTTCCATTAGGGCTGATCACACGGGCACCCCCTTCCTGGCGCATACGAAGTTCCAGAACAAGGAAAGCAGGTTTCAGCACAGACCACATTGTTTGTACAGACAGTTCAGGCACAGGGAACCACACCTACTACCTAGGGAATGGGAGAGCCCTCCTGAGATCCAGACTCCAGCCGAGGGCCAGCCTGCAGCAACCCTGTCTGAGGTTGTATCTCGGGCCAGCTGTTAGCTGTCTTCTGCACAGAACCATGATTAAAGTTTGTTAGTTTCCCACTGTTAGATATTTAGGTAGTTATCTTTGTTTTTCTATTAATAAAAAATATGATGAATATCTTTCTAACTTAGTTATTTTGCTTTTTTGGGGGGAGTAATTCCTAGAAGTAGAGAGAGTAGCTTTACTGAGCATTTTAATATCTTTTATATCTTCCTAGGATATTTATGTATTTCATCCTTCCGTTTATCTTCTTTTTATCCTATATCAGTAAAATATTCATAATATTATATTGATAAAACATATAGTATGGATTGTTCAAAATTACGATCTTCATTAGTACTTTGTGAATGTTTTGTGTGTATTAAGGGGACACTGTAGCTACTTGTTGGCTCAGCTATTGTTTTTGACGCTCCATCAGGCCCCAGTTGTGACAACGTTGAGGAAGATATGAATGCTTCTGCTCAAGGTGCTTCTGCCACAGTTTTGGAAGAAACAAGGAAGGAAACGGCTCCTGTGCAGCTCCCTGTTTCAGGACCAGAACTGGCTGCCATGATGAAGATTGGAACAAGGGTCATGAGAGGTGTGGACTGGAAATGGGGCGATCAGGTACTCAGAGATTTGATGTGAACACATTAGCCACACATTAGTTATCTTCTGCACAGTTCTGTACGATATTGGTGGGTGGAAATTGGAATAATCCAGGATGTGTCAGTTGATTGATGACACAGGTGTTGGTTCCCGAGCAGCCGAAGGGAGTGAACACAAGTAGGGAATCATAAGTAGGGCATCTGAGCAGAATCAAGTCTGGAAAGAGAGGCAGCTCTTTTCAGGAAACTCACTGGCATGAGGCTCAGTTTGATGGGTCACTGGAACAAGAGTGTGAGAGTGAGCAAGAGAGTAAATCTCATTCTGAAAGTTGGTGTAGTGAAGGCTCTGAGGCAGGAAGCCCAGATGCTGCCCCTGTGGGCTGATGGCCATGTGCTGCGAAGTGCCCTGAAGCCAGTAGTTAGGGATCTACTTCATGGGCCTGTGGCCACGTTTCCATCTTCCCTCATTGCAGGTCTCTTCTAAATCTCTGCCAGGTGCCCCCAGGTGGAAGTCACTTACCACAGCCCTAGCTAAGTTAGGGCAGTGTTCACCTTCCCATGGTCTGTCTGGCTTTTCTCAGCCACGCTGGTAAGCCCCGGCTTTGTCACAGTCATCTTAGAAATAGCAGTGTCTGGAGACAGCATCCATCCTAGAAACAGCTTTCTCCTGCAGAAGTGAGAGACAGAGCTTCCCCCTGGGGCCCAGGGGAAACTGAAGCAAAGGGAATGTGGAGGTGCTGGTGCTTGTTTCAGGTTTCCGCTCTTGCAAGGCCCGTGAGGGATTGTGGGGTCAGGACTTGCTGCAAAGCCCTGTCTCTGCATTGACTCAGAGGATCCTCATTGAGATGAGATTTCCCCGACTTCCTTGGTAAAGCAGCATGAGCACGTTATTTTATGCCATTTAATTTAAAATGATGCAAGCACACATTTTGTAGGAGAGGTGAAATCTGTGTCTGGGGACAGCCCCTGACAGACAGGGTGGCATATGGCGACATCTGTGTGGCAGGTCTGGTGGGAGCCATGGAAGGACCAGGGCAGGGCACGCACCCTCCTAACTGAGGTCTGGTGGGAGCCATGGAAGGACCAGGGCAGGGCACGCACCCTCCTAACAGGTCTGGTGGGAGCCATGGAAGGACCAGGGCAGGGCATGCACCCTCCTAACTGAGGTCTGGTGGGAGCCATGGAAGGACCAGGGCAGGGCACGCACCCTCCTAACTGAGGTCTGGTGGGAGCTATGGAAGGACCAGGGCAGGGCACACACCCTCCTAACTGAGGTCTGCTGGGAGCCATGGAAGGACCAGGGCAGGGCATGCACCCTCCTAACTGAGGTCTGCTGGGAGCCATGGAAGGACCAGGGCAGGTTACGCACCCTCCTAACTGATCTCTACTTTGGCTTTCTCAGGATGGGCCTCCTCCAGGCCTAGGCCGCGTGATTGGTGAGCTGGGAGAGGACGGATGGATAAGAGTCCAGTGGGACACAGGCAGCACCAACTCCTACAGGATGGGGAAAGAAGGAAAATACGACCTCAAGCTGGCAGAGCTGCCGGCTGCTGCACAGCCCTCAGCAGAGGATTCGGACACAGAGGATGACTCTGGTGGGTGACTCAGGAAGGTGTTTAGTCCAAGGCAGCCCACAAACTGTCCAGGTGCTGGCTGCCACCACTGTCATCTGGGCCTTAGAATGGGATGTCAGGACGCACCTGCAGCTGGCGCTCTGTCCTCGGAGCCTGCAATTTAAATAAGCTCCCAGGCACCTCCGATGCAGGTGTGTGGAGTGGCTGTGGGATCCGGCGATCTGGCTGGAACTGACTTTCTGCATTTTACTCTCATGTGTGCACCCGCCCCTCTTTGAGAATGTGGTGGCCAGGCCGGGGCAGCTGCACCACCAGTGAGTCTCATGTGGTTGGCGCTGAGCCTGTGTCTGAGCGAGTGAGCCGAGGCCTGGTGGAATTGCCCTGTGGTCTCGGTCCATTGCCTCCTCCTCCAGTGAGAGCCCCTGCCCAAGCACACCCCACCTGCCACCTGCCTTTACCTTTCCTCTGTGGTCCCTGACTCTGAACTCTTCATGTAATGTGGAGTTAGTCAGCACTTTATCGCTTCTAGGGAAGCAGAGGTGAGAATTTAGGGGTGGACCAAGAAAGCTAGATCCTATCTGTGGAGATCCAGGTTGCGGGAGGAGGTTTCGTGACATTTCTTAGCTGTTCCTAAAAGACATGTGAAGCTTCACATGGCTGGGTTTGGTAATACCATCCAAGAGGCTGGGGCTGCCTCCGGAAGCACCGCAGTGCCCCCCATGGCTACAGTGTCATCAGGCTCAGAAATGGCTATTTCAGTGAGCACGAGATCTTAGAAGGTGTACTCACTAGAGAGCAGGTGGTATGGGGGCTGGAAGAGGCTATGCCATAGCGCACCGTCTGGGCTCGGGGCACACAGCTCAGATCCTGATACCACCATCTTTGACACGTCACTTCTGGGGCCTGGGTCCCTCAGGTGTGAGCAGAAGTGTTCCCTACTGCGTAGGCCTGTTAGGAGCGATGTATATGGCACCTGGAACCCTGTCCCTGAGGGCGGATGTGGTGCTGGCCGCCAGCATCCAGCCTATAGCATGCTGCCTGACACCAGTCGCTGCTTCCTCCCTCAGCCTCCCTTGCCTGCAGGAAGCAGGCCTGGCTCCCTGCCTGGGGCCTTTCCCCACAGAGGCATCAGAGCCTGGGCAGGGGTGGCCCCACGGCAGAGGGTGGCCTCATTTGCCACACATCTCCTCATCCCAAAGCCAGCCAAGCGGGCTGCATGAGCGTCTGGTCGCCCCACTCCACAGATGCCGGTGCTTTGTCCTCATCTAGGACACAGCCAGCTCATCAGAAACCAGCGCTTGACATTTGATAAGTTGTGTTTCTAAAGAAGTGAAACCTTGGAATCATTTATTGCTTCTGAGTTATATGCTAATGTTGTTTCGAGAATTATTATTTAAAAGATTCTTGAGGAAGATGGGAACAGAAAATGATCAGGGTGCACGTTTAGTGCATCCTGAGTTCCATCTTTTCTTCTTGTAAAGATCTGTTTCCCTTTCCAAAGCAGAAAAGATGACAGTTTGGGAGGTCGAGGTGGGAGGACTGCTTACCCTGCGAGGTCAAAGCTGCAGTGAGCTATGATCATGCCGTTGCACTCTAGCTTGGGAGACAGAGCCTGTCTCAAAGGAAAAAAGAACACAAAAATAAATCTCTGTACTTTCAATTTTGCGTGAACCTAAAACTGCACTAAAATTCAAGTCTTCAATAAAACAAGAATGTAATATTAAAGCTGTTGAATTATATGCAGGACTATCTTCCAGTTTTACTTGGGAATATAATTTGTAATTTTGATTATTTTTTTTAGAAGCCGAACAAACTGAAAGGAACATTCACCCCACTGCAATGATGTTTACCAGCACTATTAACTTACTGCAGACTCTTTGTCTGTCTGCTGGAGTTCATGCTGAGATCATGCAGAGCGAAGCCACCAAGACTTTATGCGGACTGCTGCGAATGTTAGTGGAAAGCGGAACGACGGACAAGACATGTATGGAATGAGAGATCGAGGGCCCAGGGAGTCAGCGCTGGGGGCCGCACGCTTGTGTCTGGGTGTTCATGTGGGTGGGTGTGGATGTGTGTGGATTCCTTTCCTGTGGCTGCTGTAACAAAGTATACAAACTTGGGGGCTTACACAGTAGAAATTCTCACGGTTCTGGCGGCTGGAAGGCTGAGATCAAGGGTGGTTCCTTCTGGGGCTGTGAGGGGGAAGCTGCTTGAGGGCTCTGCCCCAGCTTCTGGAGTTTACTGGTCTCTTTAGCGTTCCTCGGCTTGTAGAGGTGTCACCCCTATCTCTGCCGTCATCTTCACATGGCATTCTCCCTGTGTGTGAGTCGCCTCCAAATCTCCCCTTTTCATAAGGACATCATTCAACCTCATCAAACTGATTACAGCTGCAGCGACCCTATTTCCAAACAAGGTCACCTGCCGAGGTACGATAGGGGTTAGGGCTTCAACATACGAATTTTGCAATTCTGAATTCAACCCATAACACTGGCCTCAAACAACAAATTTGTTCTCTCAGAGTTCTGGAGACCAGAAGTCCCAAATCCAGGTGCGGGCAGGGCCATGCTTCTTCCACAGGCTCTAGGGGAAGGTCCTTCCTTACTTTGTCCAGCTTCTGGGAGCTCCAGGCTTCCTTGGTGTTGGGACGCATTGTGCCAGTCTCTGCCTGCGTCTTCACATGGCCCCTGCCCCTGTGTTCTGCATGTCCTTTTCTGTCTCTGAAAGGACTCTTTGAGTTTCTTTGACTCTAATCCAACATGATGTCACCTAAATTCTTACCTTAATGACGTCTACAGAGACCTCATTAAATAAGATCATATTCTGAGGTTCCGAATGTATGTGAAGTTGGGGGACAGGCACAGTTTAATCCATAAAGTGTTTGTGTGGAGAGTAAGTATGAGAAATGTGAGCTGAGGGAGTGGGGTGAGTGTGCATGTGACTGCGAGTGAGCACATGTGAGTGTGGGTGGGTATGTGGGCGTCCTCCAGTGTGTGTGAGAGCATGCGTGTATTAGTGGTGTGCTGGAGCGTCCGCACATATTGATGAGAGTGAGTGTGTTAGCGGTCGATGGGCAAGTGGCTGAGCGTTTGTGTTGCAAGTGTGATGGTGTGTTGGTAGCATGTGGTTGTGTGGGTGTGTGTCCATGAGAGCATGTAAGTGGGCAGGTGACTACATTCAGGTGAAGTGGGAGTGAAAGCGTCAGTGCATTGAGCCAGTGTGTGTGTGAGGGTGAGCATGAGGGAGGCATGAGTGAGTGTGAGGGGATTACTGGGTGTGCGAATGAGACACCCAGTGTAAGTGTAAGTCAGTGTAAGTCAGTGAGGGTTGGTGAGTGTGAGGAAGTATGAGTGGGTGGCAGCACAAGTGTGTAAGTGTGCGATTGAGTGCGAGCATTTGTGTAAATGTGTATGAGTGCCTTGTGTCAGTGTGAGCACGAGTGATGTTATTGTGAATGCGTGTGAGTGAATGTGAGCATTTTGCTTGTGTCAGTGAATGGGAGGTTATAACAGTATAGGTGTGAGTGCAAAGTGAGAAAGTGTGTGGGTAAAGGTGTGAGTGGGTGAGTAATCGGTCGTTACTAGTGTTGAGGAGTGTGAGTGCATATGTGAGTTTTTGTATGCATTGGGAGGGGTAAGTGTATGTGAGAGTGCATGGGAGTGTGTGTCAGCTTGCATCTGTTTGTGCATACGTGTGACTGGGATTGTGTGTGTGTTAGTGATTGCGACAGTGGTGTGAGTGCACCTGAAAGTGTGAGGGTGGGTGTATGAGTGCCCATGAGTGTGTCTGAATAACTTAGTATCAGTGTGAGTGTGAGGATGCATATGAGGGTGTGAGAGTGAGTGTGTGTGTGTGAGCGCATGTGAGTGTGCTGAAGGAAGGCAGGTGTCCTCATAAGCTTGGATAGCTGAGGGCAGGGTGGGGGAGGTGGGAGGGAGAGCAGGTCCTGTGGGGCTGTGGGCGGGGTCCCTCAGGGGGCCCAGCCTCCAAGCCTCAGCCTCCATTCAGGGAGTAGTGGAGTCCTGGAGCCAGGCGGAGCAGAGGTGGGCCCACTGGTGCTAGAATCCAGTGGTGTAAACCTAGTGAAAAACTCATTTTGTTAATGCAGATGTATTAAACTTGGATTGGAAACTGTCTCTACTAAAAATACAAAAAAAAAAAATATTTAAGTGGTGCAGATTAAATATAAGCAAGATTGTGGAGATATTTAAAACACGAAATTAAAAATATAATAGATGCACTGTTGCAAAGTACTGTTATTTGAATTATAGATGGTTTTCCTATTGCCTAGAAACAATGCATAGCTAAAATTCCCTAACTACTTTTACTACACATACTTAGAAGGTTTTAAAAATGCCCGTAGTCCCAGCTATTTGGCAGGGCAAGGCAGGAGAATCACTTGAACCCAGGAGTTTTAGACCAGCCTGGGAAACACAGTGAGAGCCCTTCTCTAAAAAAAAAAAGAAAAATTGAGAAATGTTTCTTGAACTAACTTAAAAGCTGCCTTCCACTTCTCACTTTGAATTAGTTTGAATTAATTTACAAACTGCAATATATTTGTAAAGGAGCTTATTTTAGAAAAATAAAATAAGTTGATAAAAAAATAAGGATATATCTTTAGGGATTTGTCTTTAGGGACTTGTTACCAAGCATGTCTATTTTCCCTCCTGCAGCTTCTCCAAACAGGCTGGTGTACAGGGAGCAACACCGGAGCTGGTGCACGCTGGGGTTTGTGCGGAGCATCGCTCTCACGCCGCAGGTATGCGGCGCCCTCAGCTCCCCGCAGTGGATCACGCTGCTCATGAAGGTCGTGGAAGGGCACGCACCCTTCACTGCCACCTCGCTGCAGAGGCAGGTAATGTGCTGCCAGGCAAAACCAGTTCCCTGAGAGAGGCCTCCATGTACTGAAGTTCCCTGCCTTCAGAGTCAGGGGCCTTTATTCAGTAACGAGTGCAGAAAGGGTCTAGAAGTGACAGGGTAGATTTTCTGGAGGCAAGGGGCAGAGGTCCTTGATAATTGGTAAGTTGCTAACCTTCAGTTTACCTGCTTTTCTCTTAAGTGGTAAATCCTGCAACTACTCACTCATCTGCTTCACAGAATTTGTAGTGTAATTGTCTTAAGAATTAAACTAAAAATAATTCTTTTTAAATTAAACACATGCATCTGTAATGTTGCTTTTTTTAAAGTTCCTGACAATCCTAATCACTAATCAACTTGAGTGTAATTACCTGGCTGTAAAATAATGAATCTCAAAATTTTCACTTGATTACTTGCGTTATGAGAACAGAAAATAAAGAGAGGCCGGGCGCAGTGGCTCATGCCTGTAATCCCAGCACTTTGGGAGGCCGAGGCAGGTGGATAATGAGGTCAGGAGTTTGAGACCAGCCTGGCCAACATAGTGAAATTCTGTCTCTACCAAAAATCCAAAAAAAAATGAGCCGGGCTTGGTGGTGGGTGCCTGTAATCCCTGCTACTCAGGAAGCTGAAGCAAGGAGAATCGTTTGAACCTGGGAGGTGGGAGTTTGTAGTGAGCCGAGACCGTGCCACTGCACTCCAGCCCGGGTGACAGTGTGAGACTCTGTCTCAAAAAAATAAAAAATAAAAAAATAACAATCTGTAGTTTCCTCATCAGATTTTTTTTAATGCTTGTCGTTATAAATTTTCTTTTATCAGATCTTAGCTGTGCATTTGTTGCAAGCAGTCCTTCCATCATGGGACAAGACCGAAAGGGCGAGGGACATGAAATGCCTCGTGGAGAAGCTGTTTGACTTCTTGGGAAGCTTGCTCACTACCTGCTCCTCTGACGTGCCATTACTCAGAGGTGGGTGGCCGTCTACCTTCCCTGTGCCCTGGTGAAGAGCGGCGCAGTGCCGTCACTCAGGTGGGTGGCCGTTTCCCTTCCCTGTGCCCTGGTGAAGAGCGGCGCAGTGCCGTCACTCAGAGGTGGGTGGCCGTCTCCCTTCCCTGTGCCCTGGTGAAGAGCGGTGTACTGCCGTCACTCAGAGGTGCGTGGCCGTCTCCCTTCCCTGTGCCCTGGTGAAGAGCGGCGCAGTGCCGTCACTCAGAGGTGCATGGCCGTCTCCCTTCCCTGTGCCCTGGTGAAGAGCGGCGCAGTGCCGTCACTTAGAGGTGGGTAGCCGTCTCCTTTCCCTGTGCCCTGGTGAAGAGCGGTGCAGCAGCTTCTCCCCTGGTTTCCTCCTCAGAGTCCACGCTGAGGCGGCGCAGGGTGCGCCCGCAGGCCTCGCTGACTGCCACCCACAGCAGCACACTGGCGGAGGAGGTGGTGGCACTGCTGCGCACGCTGCACTCCCTGACTCAGTGGAATGGGCTCATCAACAAGTACATCAACTCCCAGCTCCGCTCCATCACCCACAGCTTTGTGGGAAGGCCTTCCGAAGGGGTGGGTTTGTGTTCTCAGAATTAATTTAGTTCAACGGTGAACCTGTAGGGATTGGGCAGCTCCGTGAGTGTCTCTGTCGAGCTCGCTGTTTGGTCTGCACTAGGCCCAGTTAGAGGACTACTTCCCCGACTCCGAGAACCCTGAAGTGGGGGGCCTCATGGCAGTCCTGGCTGTGATTGGAGGCATCGATGGTCGCCTGCGCCTGGGCGGTCAAGTTATGCACGATGAGTTTGGAGAAGGCACTGTGACTCGCATCACCCCAAAGGGCAAAATCACCGTGCAGTTCTCTGACATGCGGACGTGTCGCGTTTGCCCATTGAATCAGCTGAAACCAGTAGGTGAACTTGTGCTTAGTTACTGCATGATAAGGGAAATTGACTTTACACTAGAACCGAGCACCAGCATCAGCACTTGAAAGAACTTGATTCTGGTACTTGAAGTTTGCCTTCCAGGAAGCTGTGTGAGCTTGTGCTTCTGTGGTAAGCAGGGCCTGTCTCACAGGGCACTTAAAGCAGTGGTTCGTGTGTATTTCAGCCTCAGAGACACGAAGAGGGCTTTAGCAACCTAGAAGGTACCGTGCATCTATGAGGTAGTTCTAATTATTTTAAAATGTGAATTTATGAAGTTTACTTTTTATTCAACAACTCAAGTTTTAAAAAAACAAACATGTTTAAACACCTTTAAAAAAACAGCCTTTCTTCATGTAGAAAATGCTTAGTAGTTTTGAGTGACGTGACTTAATGTAGCAGCTACTGTCATCTTAATCTGTGAATCAAGGATGCACAGGGAGAAGGAGCCATTTACATTATTTTGATGTAGCCCAAGTGCAATCTTACTATATATTCTTTTTCTTTTTTATTTTGAGATGGAGTCTTGCTCTTGTCACCCAGGCTGGAGTGCAATGGCACAATGTTGTCGGCCCTCTGCAACCTTTGCCTCCCGGGTTCAAGCGATTCTCCTGCCTCAGCCTCCTGAGTGTCTGGGATTACGGTGTGTGCCACCACGCCTGGCTAATTTTGTATTTTTAGTAGAGATGGGGTTTCACTATGTTGGCCGGGCTGGTCTCAAACTCCTGACCTCAGGTGATCCGCCCGCCTCGGCCTCCCAAAGTGCTGGGATTACAGGCGTGAGCCACCGTGCCTGGCCTGACTATATTTTCTATAAAGTACTCTTTTTTATTATTATAGGAATATATACACGTTGTAGAAAACTTGAAGTATATAGAAAATATCTGAGAAGATAGTAACCACCACACTGATGTAATTATTGTTGACAGGTTTGTAAAGAAAAATTAATATAGATTATACTTATTATATGTGTAAATCTCTATCCTGCCTTTAATGTCATTTTAAAAAATGATTATTCTCAGCTATAAAAGGCTTACGGGTATGTGTGGCATTTCAGGATTAAGCCCATGGTTTTGATGACTTTCAGAACGTTTCATTTGTTAGTCGTATTGGCCACACTCTGACAGCTTCTGTGTCCTCTCCAGCTCCCTGCCGTGGCCTTTAATGTGAACAACCTGCCCTTCACAGAGCCCATGCTGTCTGTCTGGGCTCAGTTGGTGAACCTCGCTGGAAGCAAGTTAGAAAAGCACAAAATAAAGAAATCGACTAAACAGGCCTTTGCAGGTCAGTACATGGTGCTTCTTGATGAAATAGCTGCCGTCTTAAACTCGTGTCGTTTGTACAGTGTTCTTTTATGAGTGAATTCACGGACGTACTAAAGTCCTGGGGTTCACGTGGGCTCACCATTTGTTGAGTTGCGGTTGGGAATGTAACCCTGTGTTCGTGGTAATGAGTATTTTCGAGTCAGCTTTTGTCGCCATGTTCGGAGCCACACTTGAAGAACCCCATGGCTCACACCCTCTTCTCCGTGTCACCCTTTATCCCGGAAGAGAAGTCTGTGTTCACCTCTTCCCTCCTCCTCTCCATCCCAGGGCCCTGTGGCCCAGTCACCCTGTTGGACCATGGCTCACAGCCTGTTCTCTGCCGGATCCAGGGGCCTCTGTCCCGGAAGCGCCTGGCTTGCCTGTGACATTCAGGATGGCTAAGACTGTGACTGTAGCCTGGCTTGGCTTTGCCTTCCTTCGGTTGTAGAATGCGGCTCTCCTGAGTTTGTTTCCATGTTTCTAGGGAGCTCTTCTCTCTGCTCATTCTTTATGTCCTGGAAGTCTGTGTGGCTTCACCCGTAACTATGGCGTATTCTGCCCACTCTTCTTGAGTTTTCTCCCCTCTTGCTCCCACAGACCTACGATTGCTGCTTCAGCATTTATGATGTAAGCACTTTCAACTCTGGATCTCCCATTCACATGTCTGGTTGGAGGTGCAGTGCATGCAAATCACCACATGTCCGAAATTCAGCTGGCTTTCTCTAGTAGCTGCCGTTTCCCATCGTGGTGAATAAACCTGTCTGCCAGTTAGTTGAGCCAGTGTCCGAGCGGCACCTGCGGCCCTCCTTCCTTCCCACCCCATGCTCTCTGTGCTGCTTCTGCGGCCTCTGCTATCAGATAAGCCTTGGGCATTGCTGCCATCTTCATCAGTTAAAGAGCTAGTGGGGCTGACAGATTCTCTCAGAGGAGTCTTAGAAGAAGAGTGAAAGCGGCTGAAACTTCAGCAACTTGGGGAACATTTGATCATATTAATAGTAGCTAACATGGTTCTAACCGTGTTAAACCCATTGAATCCTGCGTCCTATCAAGTTAGGTGCCTGGAGAGCAGGGAAGGAAGACCCAGGAGGCAGAAGATGCTTACCCAGAAGCACCGAGTGTAACTCTGGGAAAGGCAAGCCCTTCGTCACGGACAGTGTGTGCGGTCGGCAGATTCCTGAAGGGCAGAGCGTTACTCGTCGCCATGTGGCGGAGGCTTGCTGCTGGCGAGGAGGGAGTCTGAGCAGGGCACGCCCTTCTCACTGAGTCTTTCCTTCCGCAGGACAAGTGGACCTGGACCTGCTGCGGTGCCAGCAGTTGAAGCTATACATCCTGAAAGCAGGTCGGGCGCTGCTCTCCCACCAGGATAAACTGCGGCAGATCCTGTCTCAGCCAGCTGTTCAGGAGACTGGAACTGTTCACACAGGTGTCTTTTTAAAAAGTTCTTAAATCTTTATAAGAAGGGCAGTAGAAAGTAGACAAAGGAAGTGAATAATCAGTTCATAAAAATGGACATAGGTGGCTTATAAATGTACAAGACAGACATGTGGCCTGCCCAGCAACCACCAACTGTGAATAAAATTGTCATCGTCATCTTATAAGACAAGACTGAGGGCATCTGGTGGGTGGGGAGGGAAAAAGGTATTTTCATGCCTTCCCATTTAAAGTGTGCTGCATGGGTCAGCAAGATTGGTGGCACGCAGGTATGTGTTAGAAATGCAGACTCCCAGGCCGCACCCCAGACCAAAGAAATAGAGCCTGTATTGTAACAAGTAGAACCTAAGCTGGTTCTTCAAATGCGCGTAAAGCCGCACTCCATGAACAGGCTGCTGCTGGGAATTTCAGTTGGTGTAGCCATCTAATGGGCGTCTGAGGAAATGAGTTGGTCTTTGACATGCATAGATGTATGTATGTATTTATATACTTTGGCCCAGCAAGTCATTCCGTGGGACTTTATCACACGAAAAGGCATGTAAAGATAATGTATTCACCAGCCGGGCACAATGGCTCATGCCTGTAATCCCTGCACTTTGGGAGGCCGAGGCGGGCGGCGGATCACGAGGTCAGGAGCTAGAGACCATCCTGGCTAACATGGTGAAACCCCATTTCTACTAAAAATACAAAACATTAGCTGGGCACGGTGGCGGACGCCTGTAGTTCTAGCTACTTGGGAGGCTGACGCAGGAGAATGGCATGAATCCGGGAGGCGGAGCTTACAGTGAGCCGAGATGGCGCCACTGCACTCCAGCCTGGACGACAGAGCAAGACTCTGTCTCAAAAAATAAATAAATAAAAAAAAATAGTGGGGCATAGTGGTGGCCGCCTGTAATCCCAGCTACTTGGAAGGCTGAGGCAGGAGAATCACTTGAACCGGGGGGCGGAGGTTGCAGTGTGTGCGGATTGCAGGGTGCAGATTGTGCCACTGCACTCCAGCCTGGGCGACAGAGTGAGACTTTGTCTCAAAAAAAAAAAAAAAAAAAAAAAAAAGATAATGTATTCAACAGTGTCGTTATGGCCTCCTTTTTGGTATTGTTTTTGTGTTGAAAAACTGTAGACACCAAAATACCTATTCTTATGTTGTGTATCCATACAGTGTGATACCATGGTGCCATTCAAAATGATGGTACTTATATAGTCTTCCCTGAATATCCATGGGGATGAGTTCCAAGACCCCCAGTTATACCAGAATTCACTAATGCTTAAGGCCCTTCTATAAAATGGTGTAGTATTTGCATATAACCTATGTACATCCTCCCAAATACTTTAAAAATATAAATGATATATAGGCCTGGCGCGGTGGCTCATGCCTGTAATCCCAGCACTTTGGGAGGCTAAGGCGGGCAGATCACGAGGTCAGGAGATCGAGACCATCCTGGCTAACACGGTGAAACTCCATCTCTACTAAAAATACAAAAAATTAGCTGGGCGTGGTGGCAGGTGCCTGTAGTCCCAGCTACTTGGGAGGCTGAGGCAGGAGAATGGTGTGAACTCGGGAGGCAGAGCTTGCAGTGAGGCGAGATCGTGTCACTGCACTCCAGCCTGGGTGACAGAGCGAGACTCTGTCTCAAAAAAAATAAATAAATAAAAATAAAATAAATGATATGTAAATAGTTGTTATTGCTATTCTTTTTAAAATTATATTTTAAAAAATTGTTTTATTCTGAATATTTTTGATGTGTGGTTTGTTGAATCTTTGGATGCAGAACCCATGGATATGGAGGGCTAGCTGTATATGTTTATTGCCGTGGAAATATGAAAATGATAAGTAAACAGAAAAGCACATTGCTATGTATATCCGTTTATAGATATGCCATAGTTATCTGTTTAGTGAAATAGTGACCCAGTAATCTTTGGTGGAATTTGGCTGTCTTTATTTCTTTATATTTCTCTATATTTAGTTTTCTAGAATGAGCTTGTGTCACTTTTAATAGAAAAAAACATTTTTTGATCTCCTGCTATTGAAAGACATTATGCTAAGTCTTTTCGGGGAAAGTCCTTTTCTGTGATCATTGCTCTCTAGGGTTTGGATGAGGAGAGGAAGTGAATGCAGATGGCTCTCTTTGTCCTCTGGGGTCAGGAGGCGGTGAGGCATGTGAGTGGTTCCACAGGCATCTGGAGCCAGTGGCAGCTGAGCACTGGACGGGCAGCCTTTGAAGGCTGTGGCAGACAGATGCCAGCAGACAAGCACTTTGCTGGTGGTGGACCAGGAGGAGAGGAGTGAAAGTGGCGAGTCTTTGGAAGCGTGTTGAGCAGCTCTGCATTGCTTGGAGCTCAGGGTTTGTCGATGAGTGGTGGGGCTGAAGCTGGATGGGTGGGTGACATCCTGTTACAGAGTACCTGGGAGACCAGGGTGAAACTTGAGGCCCACTTGGAAAGCTGTGGTAGGGGCCACATGGTAAGCATTGACCTTCGGGTGATACACCTGCTAGGAAGGTATAGGAGTATCTGAAACAGGAGATGACAGAGATGGAGAATTGCTCCTGCGTCAGGTGATGAGGGGGAAGGCATGAAAAGGGAAAGAAGGTTCTGGTGGAAGGAAGGTGCCATCCACTGTGATGGTGTAGTCTTGTAGATGATAACTTTATGGGGAACCAGCAAAAAGTGGAAGGTGACTCTGCTGTTTCAAGCTTGAATTGAGGGGAGAATAGTGAGTGGTGCGTTTGAAAAAAATATGCAAGTCCAGTAGAATGTGGAGTATGTGGGTTTGTTTCTTAATCTTAAGAGGAGAGGATGTTATGAAATTAATTTTAAACCTGCTGAGGATGAAAGAAATCAATTGAAAGTATAGAATCAATTAATAGTAGAGGTTATAGGGAACATGAAGATTTCCCAGTTGTAGAGATTGGAAGATTGGAGCCTGGGAATTGGATTGGCTGTTCTGTTCTGCACTCAGCCCAATGAGCAGTGACAGCAGACCTGAATCAGGATGATCAAGTCTGTGCTTTGGGCCGAGCAGGGACTCCTAACAGAGCTAGATTGACAAAACTGCCGTGCACCTGTTTTTGTAAATTTTTATGGGAACACAGACACACCACTTGTTTACACATCGTCTCTGGATGCTTTTGCTCTGCAATGGCAGAGCTGAGTAGTTGGGACAGAGACTGTACAGCCCATCAGCCTAAACTATTTACTCTCTGGCCCTTTAAGAGAAAGATTTCCAGCTCCTGGTCTAGTTAGTTGAAATTGTCACTGAAGAAAACCAGCACATGCAAATGCTGTGAGTACCTGGATGAGTACCTAGATGTGTGAAGTGGGCTTGAGGGCAGTGGATCTCCCTGGGGCTGTGTCAAACAGAGTCCTAAAGGCTGCACCTAAAGCTACTCATAACAGACAAAAAGCCATCACCCTGAGCACATGACACATTTGGAATTGGGGTCACTTAATGATCTCAACAAAGCTTAGCTGGAAAAGCTACAGCTAGAAATATGCACGTGGGATGTGTCTGTGTCAGGGGTTACTGAAGCCGTGAGTGAACACGAAAGAGAGTGTGTAGGTCAGGCATGGTGGCTTATGCCTGTAATCCCAACACTTTGGGATGCCGAGGCGGGTGGATCACCTGAGGTCAGGAGTTCGAGACCAGCCTGGCCAACATGGTGAAACCCCCATCTATACTAAAAATACAAAAATTAGCCGGGCGTGGTGGCGTGTGCCTGTAGTCCCAGCTACAGGGAAGGCTGATGCAGGAGAATCGCTTGAGCCAGGAGGCAGAGGTTGCAGTTTGCCAAGATTGTGCCACTGCACTCCAGCCTGGGCAACAGAGTGAGACTCCATCTCAAGAAAAGAGAAAGAATCAGACCAAGTGCAGAAATCTGGGAAGGAGCATTTGCTGGCTCTAAGAGACAGATGCACTAATGAAGGACAGAGACCAAAAGCAGGCAGTGAAAGTGGTTTAGAGTCTAGTTTTTTTTTTTTTGTTTTGAGATGGAGTCTCGCTCTGTCACCAGGCTGGAGTATGGTGGTGTGATATTGGCTCGCTGCAACCTCCAACTCCCTGGTTCAAGCAATTCTCCTGCCTCAGCCTTGCGAGTAGCTGGGATTACAGGCACGCACCACCACGCCCAGTTAATTTTTTTTTTTTTTTTTTTTTTTTTTTTTGAGACCGAGTCTTGGTCTGTCGCCCAGGCTGGAGTGCAGTGGCACAATCTCAGCTCACTGCAAGCTCCGCCTCCCAGGTTCATGCCATTCTCCTGTGTCAGCCTCCCAAGTAGCTGGGACTACAGGCGCCCGCCACCATGCCCAGCTAATGTTTTGTATTTTTAGTAGAGATGGGGTTTCACCGTGTTACCCAGGATGGTCTTGATATCCTGACCTTGTGATCCACCCGCCTTGGCCTCCCGAAGTGCAGGGATTACACGCGTGAGCCACCGCACCCAACCTAGAGTCTAGTTTTTGTTCGATGTCTGAACCTTGAAGATTTTGGTTTTCTATCACATAATGAGGCAGAAGTCATACCTGATTTAACATGCTTAATGCATTTTCTTTAATAGTAAAGTGGTGTTCGCAGTTGAAAATAGAATCTTACACATATTTTGTTTTTAAATTCAGATGATGGAGCAGTGGTATCACCTGACCTTGGGGACATGTCTCCTGAAGGGCCGCAGCCCCCCATGATCCTCTTGCAGCAGCTGCTGGCCTCGGCCACCCAGCCGTCTCCTGTGAAGGCCATATTTGATAAACAGGAACTTGAGGTACAGCCATGCAGCCTTGACAGTTTTTAATCCACAGCACTAAATTTTGAACACTTTTTTTCTAGATGTATATTTTCTTAAGGATCTATTCTGAATGTTAAATGATAGTACGCAAATAATTCTAATGATTCATTGGGGTTTAACCATGTTTGTGCATAGTCTGCAGAACATTATAATACTAAAGACTGAGAGGGTTGAAGTTTAACCTTATTTTGGGTTTGTGTAAATTGTGAAAAAATATTAACTAGATGCAGCATGGGTTAAATGCTCACATCTTCATGAAGGGATCTTTTTCCAGGAAGTAGAATTATTCAAAGAGGCTCGTCAGGACTCTGGCAGCCGTTTGTTTCATTCACTCAGGAGCCTCTTGGGGGTGCTCTGGTGCCGCCAGCCTCTCCGCTCTCTCCATGCTGTGGAGCAGGTGAGGGCAGCAGCGAGGCACAGGGTCAGGGCTACGGGACGTTCGCATAGAGGAGGCGACGTGATTGAGTGTAAGAGGGATGGGAGCTTTCATGGCTGGCAACATAGAGGATTAGAGATGTTCATTCCAAAATCTTTCTTGCTGTGTAATACATTAAAAATCTGGACAAAATATCAGAGACAAAAATAAAACTATCAGTACTCAGTTTGGCAATCAGAAATTACCCTAACAGAAACCCTCAGATAGCAGGGCCCTTCTGGGAGCAAGGGTCCAGATGAGGCAGCCACTGCCTTGGACAGGTGGGAGGCCTCCCCCAGTCCTAGAACGAGCTGGAAAGATGGTGGGGGTGCAAAGGGAGAAAGCAAGAAACGGGTGTGGGCAGGAAGGGAGGAGGTTGGCCATGAGCTCTTCTGAACTCCAGCTTCTTCTCAGGTCTGGGAACCTCCAAGGTGAAGGTTCATTTTAAAGGGCCTGGTTGTGTTTCCAGTCTCCCTGGCAGAGATCAAAAGAAGACGCTGAGCAACTTGAGAGCAGTCATGCTGGGAGATGCCGAGTGTGAACAACTGGAAGGCCGTGTAGAGTTGTCCTTCAGGAACTGAGAAGGACTGTTGTACAAAAAGAGACCTTCCGCTGTTTTGTCTCCATGGATTCTGATGGAGAGTTGTTGTTCTCTTCTTTTTCATGAAATGTCTTTTTTCTGTGGTTGCTTTTCGTATTTTCTATTATCTTTGGTTTTCTGCAGTTTCCCTAAGCTGGGCTCATGTATACAATGGTGGCACACCCCGCCCACCCCACCGTCCTCCTTGAAATTTGCTGAAGCTGCTTGCATCTTTGGCTTGATTTTTGTTCCCCTACCAAATTTGGAAACTTTTGACTATTGTTTTTTCCCCCTGCCTTGCTCTTTTTGTTCTTTTCTGGAAATACTATTATACATCTGTTACACTGTTAGTGAGTTTCCTTTTACGATTTTAATAGAAAGTCTTCTCCTTGTTAGTAGCTTGGTTAGTTTGTCTTGATCTGTTTGAAAGGTCAAGATGCTTTGCTTTGTTGGGCCTAATCTGTTGTTATATCCATCCAAGACATACTTTATTTTATATTTCTCACATCTCTTATTTCCATTTGGCTCTCATTTAATAGTTTTATATCTCTTCTGACAGTTCCTTTCTTCATCCTTTAAGTCTATCTTTTTTTTTTTTTTTTTTGACGGAGTCTCGCTCTGTCTCCAGGCTGGAGTGCAGTGGCGTGATCTCAGCTCACTGCAACCTCTGACTCTTGGGTTCAAGTGATTCTCCTGCCTCAGCCTCCCGAGTAGCTAGGACTACAGGTGCCTGCCACCACGCCTGGCTAATTTTTGTATATTTAGTAGAGATGGGGTTTTACCATGTTGGCCAGGCTGGTCTCGAACTCCTGACCTCATGATCCGCCCTCCTCGGGCTCCCAAAGTGCTGGGATTACAGGTGTGAGCCACCGTGCCTGGCCAAATCTATCTTTTGCTGTACATTTTAAAACATATTTCTGATAGTTATGTTGAATTTCTTGTTTGCTAATTCTAACATCTGCCCACCTGTTGGTCTGCTGCTCTTTGCAGTTTTTATTCCTTGATTATAGTCAGTTATTGGTTGTTGTCCTTCACATATGTGAGAATTCTTATTTCATTCTGGATTCTTTGGACGTTACATTGTATTGGCTCTGGGTTCTGCCGCCTCTGGAGAAAGGGGAGTTTTCTTCTCACAGGCAGTTCAGTACCTGGCAGTCCTCCTTGATCCTGAGGTGGCTTGGTGCCAGGCTTTCTAATGATTTTGTATTTGCCCTTAGCCCTGGTTGTGGATCCTTAATTCTCAAGGATTTAGAATCTCTTCTGGGCGTCACTGGAAGCCTTGACATTCTCCTCCCCACCTCTAGTTGGTTGAGCTTGAGCCTCAGATGCTGTCCTGGCCCTGGGCAGCTGGGGAGCCCCTGCAGCCTTCCAGCGGTCCCTTTGTGCCGAGCGCAGGCTCTTCAGTGGTGCTTCAGTTTAGATTCAGCTGTAGATTTGCGGGTAGTCCGTCCGCATATTTCGTGGTTTTCCCTCTGTGGTTTCTTTCTCAGGCGGGCTTTCCCTCGCATTCTGGTTACTCTGCCAGGCCGGGACCCCAGCCCCTGCAGTGCAGGAAGGTGCGCCGTCTGTGGTTAAATGCGCGTCTTGCATGCAGGCTTCTCGGGGTCAGGGGTTGTACTCGTTTTATTGCTGATTGCGTCAGCTGTTCTCCAGTGCCCTCAAGCAGTTTTAAAAAATATTTTATCCAGAGTTCATGATTATTATCAGCCAAAGGTTAGTCCAGTGCATCCTAACTCTCAATTATCAGAACCAGAACTCTTGGCTCAATCTGGCTCTGAATTTTAAACTTTTAGAATGAAACCTGTCACTTCCAAGTTACCCAGACTTCGCTGCAAAACCCTAGGCTTTGATACTTCCTGAGCACCGGGGGGCTCCACAGTGTCCTCGGTTTCTTCCTGATTCCTTCCTCACATGCTCCGTTTAACAAAATAGCAAGTCAGTGCTATGAGAGCAGCTGGGGAGGAGGACCAGGGAGTTACAGACAGATCAGGGAAGTGCTATTTGTGCTGTAGGTGGGGAGTTCCCAGCTGCAGAGACTGGCAGTTTAGATGTTCACTGATTCATTGCAGTGTGTTTCCCAACTAATACTCTTTTATTTCTCTTACTTTTTAATACCTTGTTTAACCTCACTGTGGTTATTTAACCCTTGAATAGTTGAGGGTTGTTTTAATGGTACATGAGAGTCCTGTGTCATTTCTGGCCTGTCTAAAACACAGGTGCCTGTGGCCGCCACCACAGTGCCTGGTTAAGGCAGGGGGAATGCCTTTCTCCCTGCTCCTTCAAGCCCCTGTGACTGTTTGCTTGGGGCTGTAATGAAGTTTTCCTTAATGGACATTGATACTTGGCTAATTTAGTAGGCTCTCTGTCTGCTGAAACAGGCAAGTTATTTTACCCCCACGTATTTTCTCTGCATTAAACCGTGAAACTTGGCTTTGTCATTTTCTAACATGTTTTAGGAACTCATTGAAAAACACACATGTGAATGCGGGCTTTCTAGACTTGCATACTGCAGTTCACAGTAGAAGGCCATCACCCCTGTGTTCCTAGACTGTGTAAGCTAGCTGAGGGCACTTCCCAAATCTCCCAGGACCCTCTTGTCTGCCCAGGCTGCTGCACTGGCCGTTTGCCAGTGCTTGGCTGTGGAGTCCACTCACCCTTCGAGCCCAGGATTTGAAGACTGCAGCTCCAGTGAGGCCACCACGCCTGTCGCCGTGCAGCACATCCGCCCTGCCAGAGTGAAGAGGCGCAAGCAGTCGCCCGTTCCCGCTCTGCCGATCGTGGTGCAGCTCATGGAGATGGGATTTTCCAGAAGGAACATCGAGTTTGCCCTGAAGTCTCTCACTGGTGCTTCCGGGAATGCATCCAGCTTGCCTGGTACTTCGTTTTCCTGGCCTCTGCTTGTGTATGTGTGGGTTCCCGCTTCAGGGCTGTTGACTCACAGTGGCTGCTGTGCTGTGTGTGCCTCTCTTAGGTGTGGAAGCCTTGGTCGGGTGGCTGCTGGACCACTCCGACATACAGGTCACGGAGCTCTCAGATGCAGACACGGTGTCCGACGAGTATTCTGACGAGGAGGTGGTGGAGGACGTGGATGATGCCGCCTACTCCATGGTCAGTGCCTCCCATGTGACCGCCCGCACCTGGGCCGCTGTCCGTCTAGCGCTCTAACAGTCTTACACCTTGGCTTTCTCTGTCCCTTGAAAGAATTAACTATATCTACTGTGGACTGTTCCATAAAACCAACCTATGGTATTGCCGGGCACAGAACAAAGCTGTGTTTCACTACTGAAGGGATGATTGGGTTTCTATATCATAATTACTTTTAGCTTCAGAACAGACCCTTGTTCAAACATCTCATGATCTTCGGTAGCCATTAGAAGATATTTTATTAAAATACCATGTTTTGACACATCAGTTTCTGACCTGAGTAAATTATTCGTAGGATTAATTTGGAAGTGCCTTGGAAATTTTGTATACTTGTAGCTTTTGAGATTCATTCTGCCTACTATGCTACTGCTATTAGTCTTTTTTAAATGAAGATTTTTATAGAGAAAATAAAGGATTTCATCCTCTACTTTTTAATATTATAGATTTCACAGACTTATTTCTTTTTGAGTAGGTTTATCATGTTCTCCTGTTTTTTTGTTTGAATGTATTTATTTCTTGCAGTCTACTGGTGCTGTTGTGACGGAGAGCCAGACGTACAAAAAACGAGCTGATTTCTTGAGTAATGATGATTATGCTGTATATGTGAGAGAGAATATTCAGGTGAGTAATTGTCTTAAGCTGGAGCCTCGATCCGTTTTTCATTCAGCAAATATTTGAGTATGTCCTATATGCCAAACATCAGTGGACAGAGGCCCCTGCCCTCAGGGAGCCTGCCTTCTGGTGCTGGAAGACATACCTGACCAGTGAGCTCATGGTACGCTAGAAGGTGCTGTGTACCCTGGAATGAGAAAGAACAGACTACAGTAAAGGGGTAGGAGTGAGGGCACATTACAGGGATGTGGGGCTGCAATGAGAAGGTGACATGGGTGCAAAGCCTACAGGGTGTGAAGGGTGGCTGAGCAGGATGGGCACCCAGACAGAGGCTGCTGTGGCTGCCCCGGTGTAGCCAGAGGACAGAGGGGCAGATGGGCTCAGGGGCAGCCGGAGAGCACAAGTGGCCTGTCCACGGTGGACATGGCGCAGGGATGGCTGTTTTCTACTAGCCC
Source organism: Homo sapiens (assembly GCF_000001405.40). Classification (NCBI taxonomy): domain Eukaryota; kingdom Metazoa; phylum Chordata; class Mammalia; order Primates; family Hominidae; genus Homo; species Homo sapiens. The sequence continues at coordinate 28,201,009 of NC_000015.10, read as the reverse complement.
CACTTGTGACACTTCCTACATACCTTTCCTTGTTTTTCTTATGTAATTCTCATTGCCATCAAACTTTAAAAATCTAATTATGTTTTATATAGTCCTTTATCTACTTTAAATCATTTCTTGTCCTAATTCTCTTGTTTTAGTATATTTTAGAGAAAATCCCCCAAATCATCTCATTTCACCTGTATATATGTCAGTGAGTATCACTAATAAAGAATCTTAACATAATGACATTTCTGTTTACCAGCATTACCTAACAAAATAAATAATAATTCCTTAATATCATCTCATATCTAACGCTTGCTTGTAGTTTTCCAGTTTTCTCAGAAATGGCTTTAATGGTTAGTTTTTGAACTTGGATACAACCAAGATTGTATGCCTTATCTACATTTGGTTGATGGATCTTTGACGTCTATTCCAAGCTAGAGTGGTTCCCCCTTGTCTTAGCTCAGTTGGCTATAACACAGTACCATAGACTGGCAGCTTCAACAACAGACATTTATTTCTCATGGTTCTGGAGGCTGGAAATCCAAGATCAAGGTACCAGCTTGGCTGGTTTCTGGTGATGGCCCTCTTCCTGGCTTGTAGGTGGCTACCTTTTTTTTTTGTTTGTTTTTTGAGGCAGAGTCTCGCTCTGTCACCCAGGCTGGAGTGCAGTGGCGTGATCTCAGCTCACTACAAGCTCCGCCTCCCGGGTTCATGCCATTCTCCTGCCTCAGCCTCCCGAGTAGCTGGGATTACAGACATGCACCACATGCCTGGTTAATTTTATATTTTTAGTAGAGACAGTGTTTCTTCATTTTTGTCAGGCTGGTCTCGAGCTCCTGACCTCAGGTGATCCGCCTGCCTTGGCCTCCCAAAGTGCTGGGATTATAGGCGTGAGCCACCATGCCCATCCTGGAGTCTCTTCTTATAAAGACCCTAGTCCTGTTGTGTCAGAGGCCCACTCTTATGACCTGATTTTACCTTAATGACTTCCTTAGAGGCCCCATCTCCTAATACTGCCACATTAGGAGTTGGGACTTCATGAATTTTGGTGGGGGGGACACAAACATTCATGATAATACTCCTTCCCCCGTCCTCTCCTTTCATGCTGTTTATTTGTAGCTGAAACCATGTCCTCCAAATGTCTTACAGTCTGCATTTGGAGGTGGCTTCCTTGTGGCTAACATCTTCCTCTCTCCCTGTTTCTCCAATACAATAGGAGTTAGGGTTGGAGGGTGATTGGACCAGGCTGAATCTCAGGCAGGAAGCTTCATAGGCATGTACTCCCTCCGGCCCCATCTCAACAGGCAAGCAGGGTTGGGTGGGTTAGGTCTTGTCAGCCTGCTCCTTCCTTGATGACATTCTGTATTAATTATCCATCTCATAGCTCCAGTAGGCATTAGCGTCATCATCTAGACCTATCATTAGGGGCTGCACCATAGTGATTTTCTAACTTCATCTTCTCTGAGTTCATTAGCTGGAATTCTCTTCTGGGAAAAAAAGCTTTGTTATTAATCTTGGTTGCTCTTGATAATACAGGGAGACTTTATCAGTTTTCAGAATGATGCATTGGTGTTCTGATATGTATAAAGATGACCAGGAAGCTTTGTTTTCCTTATTATCATGATGACCAATCCATTGGCTTTTAGGGTGTGATGTTTCCACTGTTATGTTTTTGATGATCAGGGAATCCTTTTGAGTGAACCCAGTAATCTTTGAAAGCTCCCTTCCTTTATGACACAAGTTGATCCAGGCTCTTCCTGTATATTTCCTGCCTGAGACACAAAGCCAGACAGTGTTCTAAAGAGTTTCTCTTCCCTTTATCATTAAATAATACTTAGAATGCACTCTGGGTGCTAGATGAAATTCTTTTTTTTTTTTGAGATGGGGTCTCACTTTGTCACTCAGGCTGGAGTGCAGTTGTGTGATCTTGGCTCATTGTAACCTCCACCTTCCAGGCTCAAGCAATCCTCTCAACTCAGTCTCCCGAGTAGCTGGGACCACAGGCATGCACCGCCACGTCTGGCTAATTTTTGTATTTTTGGTAGAGGTGGGTTTCGCCATGTTGCCCAGGTTTGTCTCAAACACCTGAGCTCAAGTGATCCTCCCACCTCAGCCTCCCAAAGTGCTAGGATTACAGACGTGAGCCACCATGCCCAGTCAGAATTCTTTATTAAGAGTAGAGTAATACTACTTATCATGGCTCATTTCACCTGTGTACATGATGGACTGGATCTCCAATTTCATTTTAATTCTAGGTGGGAATGATGGTTAGATGCTGCCGAGCGTATGAAGAAGTGTGCGAAGGTGATGTTGGCAAAGTCATCAAGCTGGACAGAGATGGATTGCATGATCTCAATGTGCAGTGTGACTGGCAGCAGAAAGGGGGCACCTACTGGGTTAGGTACATTCATGTGGAACTTATAGGTGAGCACATTCTTTGTTCAGTGCTTTTGTTTTTTCTTAGAGACAAAATTCCCTTAAATGAATATTGATTATAATGATTTGTTATTGACATCTGTAGGCTATCCTCCACCAAGTTCTTCTTCTCACATCAAGATTGGTGATAAAGTGCGGGTCAAAGCCTCTGTCACCACACCAAAATACAAATGGGGATCTGTGACTCATCAGAGTGTGGGGGTTGTGAAAGGTAATATTATCTGGGTAATAAAATTCCTGATGTTAACTTTTCATTAACGCATGTGTACTTAGTATTTCTTTTTGTTCAAGCACACAAAACAGAAAACAAGTGTTGAAGAAAGATAGAGTGTTCCTTTGCTTGTCAGTGCCTTCTGCCAAAGGCCACAGAGGAACTCACCTGCAGTGAAACAATTAGATTTATTAATATTAACTCATTGCAGTACAGGAGAACACACACCTTGGGGAATGGGTGTCTCCATCAGAGGGAGTGAGCGAGGACTAATGAAGTTTATGTTGGGTATTTGGGGGAGGGGTCGAGAAAGCAGGGGTAATCCTAAAACAGGATGTCTTAATAAATTTACCTAGCAGGCAGAAAGAATGGAGCCATGCTAACGTCATGATTGGTAAGGAAGTAGTCATTCATATCACCAGGATAGGGGACTGTGTGGTTGTTTGTGGTTTGGATTAGACTCAACTTTAATCACACATGGTTAAGTAGGGGTTTTGGTTGTGCCTTGATTCATCAGTCACAGAGTGGCCTTACCTGATGTTCGTGTTCTGTAAACTTGTCCTGTCAGTTATTCTGTGAAATGTTCTAACATTGACATTAACAGGCCAGCTCCTGACTGTCAGGACTGCTTTTTCTTTCTCCTCCCCTGACCAGGCTGGAGTGCAGTGGCGCCATCTTGACTCACTGCAACCTCCGCCCCCAGGTTTAAGGAATTCTCCAGTCTCAGCCTCCAGAGTAGCTGGGATTACAGGTGCCCACCACCATGCCTGGATAATTTTTGTATTTTTAGTAGAGATGGGGTTTCACCATGTTGGCCAGGCTGGTCTCGAACTCCTTACCTATTGATCCGCCTGCCTCAGCCTCCCAAAGTGTTGGGATTACAGGCGTGAGCCACCATGCCTGGCTCTTTTTCATGCTGTATAAAAATTTAGGACTGAATTTAAGAAATGGAAATGTGCTAATGATGGGAATTAGGAACTGGGAACAATTCTCAGATTATATTTAATATGATACTATTGAGATTCCAAATCAAATCCGTGGCACACTTTGAAAGGTATACTATGTCCGTTTTAACAGTTGCATGAGAAATAAGTATGTGTATAGTTTTATAAACTCTTGATGCCATAAAGAGATTATTTGTTTGTTTGAACCTTGTGGAAGGCTCTCTTTTCATCAGATCGCTTAGAAAATGGCCACAGTTGGTGGTTCCCCAGTGGTGAGAGGTTCCTAGAGCTTCTCATGTTACATAAAAACAAATGGATTATTTAATATTTTACTTTAAACATTTTTCTTTGCTTAAGAGATTGTTAAAATATTTGCAAATCAAAACAAGACAAATTTTAAAAATAAGAATTTGGTTTCTTTGTTTTGAGTGACACGTTGCTCTTATCAAAGGACGAAAGAAGTCTTCATGTTATTAATGTGGTTTTTATTCCCTGAGATACCGAAGGTATTGTATGGAATTGTTGACTTGGTGTAATTAAAAACCAAAATGTCCTATTTTAAACCTAATGCAAAAGTAAGGAATGTAGTTTACAATGAACCTCCATGTGCTCATTACCTGGCTTTAACGATTGTCGCCTCAGGCCAAAATTATTCATGCTCCCTTCTTGTGATTATTTTGAAACCAGGCGCTGACATCATGTATTAGTTCATCCATAAGCATTTTAGTACCTATCTCTAAAAGGTAGACTCTTTGTAAAAAACAAATAACTACAATGTAGTATGACATGGCTAGGTGCAGTTTTAAGTTCAGGTTTTTATTGGTGAAGAGGAAGATGGATCAGGTGATTTCTGTTCTGTCCTAGCTTTCAGTGCCAATGGAAAAGATATCATTGTCGACTTTCCCCAGCAGTCTCACTGGACTGGGTTGCTATCAGAAATGGAGTTGGTACCCAGTATTCATCCTGGGGTTACGTGAGTTATTTTTATGGTTGCTAGATTTGCTTTGGGACGAATGGTTTTCTGTTGAATTAAGTTTAATAAATGACCTTTCTTAACTCAGTTGCTATTTTACAAATAGGTGTGATGGATGTCAGATGTTTCCTATCAATGGATCCAGATTCAAATGCAGAAACTGTGATGACTTTGATTTTTGTGAAACGTGTTTCAAGACCAAAAAACACAATACCAGGCATACATTTGGCAGAATAAATGAACCAGGTATGGCAGAATGTTTATATTCTCTCTTCCACCAAATATTAATGAAATACTTATTGTGGACCACAGTGTATTGGAATTTGTTATTTTAAGGTTCCTATGTATACAGTAATTCTGTAGAGTGAGTACAGTGAGACGGAAGTGACGGTCCTACCCGCTGATGACTGGCTGGCTTTTTAAAAAAATCAGGATGGGGTGTCGGGGAAGAATTAGAATAACTAGGCTTGTTTGCTTGTTTTTCCATAAAGAAACATTAAAAGAATCTCAAGAAACTAGTAAGTGTTTAGTTGCATGGCATGTGGAATTGGTTAGATGGAGAGTGAGTTTTTTAATTTATATACCTTTTATTGTATTTGTCATTGTGGCAAAATATATATAACTTAAAATTAGCCACTTAATCATTTTCTAAGTTTATAATTCAGGGTATTAAGTACCTTAAGTACAGTGTTGCACAACCATCACAACTGTCTCTTACCAAAACTTTTCACCACTCCGATCAGAAACTCTGTACCCATTAAGCAATTTAACTGCCCTACTTCCCCTTACCCCAACCCTGGTAACCTTGAATCTAACTTTGGTCTCTATGAATATGACCACTCCAGACATCTCATCTAGGTGAAACCATATAAGATTTATCCTTTTGTGTTTAGCGTAATGTATTTAAGCTTCATCCGTATTGTAGCATGTGTCAGAACGTCATCCTTTTTAATGGCTAAATAATATTCCACTGTATGCATATATCACTTTTTTTCTTTGTGAGACAGAGTCTCAGTCTGTCGCCCAGGCTGGACTGCAGTGGCACGATCTTGGCTCAGTGCAACCTCCGCCTCCTAGGTTCAAGCAATTCTCCTGTCTCAGCCTCCTGAGTAGCTGGGATTACAGGCCTGAGCCACCACGCTCAGCTAACTTTTCTATTTGTTTTTTAATTATTATTTTTTTGAGACAGAGTCTCACTCTGTGTATAAGGAGTGCATATGTTATATACATTTTTAGTTTTAGTAGTTACTGAAGATATTAATTATAACATCTATTTTTGACTCATTTAAATCTATTATTAGTATATTCTCCACCTAAACAATGCAAAAACCTTAGTTCTCTTTAAGATCATTTATCTTCATTCTGATTTATATGTTCTTAACATATTTTAATTTTTTTTTTTTTTGAGACGGAGTCTCACTCTGTTGCCCAGGCTGGAGTGCAGTGGCGCGATCCTGGCTCACTGTAACTGACACCTCCCGGGCTCAAGCAATTCTCCTGCATCAGCCTCCCGAGTAGCTGGGATTACAGGCTCCCACCACCATGCCTGGCTAATTTTTGTATTTTTAGTAGAGGTGAGATTTCACCATGTTGGCCAGGCTGCTCTTGAACTCCTGACCTCAGGTGATCCACCCACCTCAGTCTCCCAAAGTGCTGGGGTTACATGCATGAGCCACTGCATCCAGCCAAAATTTTATACATTTTATATAAATACATATCTAACAGAACTATAGAAGACATTCTTTTATGCACACAGAAAATGTTCATAAAATCCAGTCATATGCTAAGTGGGTCATATGCTCAAACAAAAGTTCCAAAAAATGTCAAAGGATCGGCCAGGCACAGTGGCTCATGCCTGTTTTTTTGTTTTGTTTTGTTTTGTTTTTTTTGAGACGGAGTCTCGCTCTGTCGCCCAGGCTGGAGTGCAGTGGCGCGTGATCTTGGCTCACTGCAAGCTCCGCTTCCCGGGTTCATGCCATTCTCCCGCTTCAGCCTCCCGAGTAGCTGCGACTACAGGCGCCCGCCACCACGCCCGGCTAATTTTTTGTATTTTTAGTAGAGATGGGGTTTCACCGTGTTAGCCAGGATGGTCTCGATCTCCTGACCTTGTGATCCACACCTGTAATCCCAGCACTTTTGGAGGCGAGGCGGGTGGATCACGAGGTCAGGAGATCGAGACCATCCTGGCTAACACGGTGAAACCCCGTCTGTACTAAAAATACAAAAAATTAGCCGGGCGTGGTGGCGGGCGCCTGTAGTCCCAGCTACTCGGGAGGCTGAAGCGGGAGAATGGCGTGAACCCAGGATGTGGAGCTTGCAGTGAGCCGAGATCGTGCCACTGCACTCCAGCCTGGGTGGCAGAGGGAGATTCTGTCTCAAAAAAAAAAAAAAAGGTCAAAGGATCAAACAATACATGTGGGGCATGTGATGATTTTATGTAGTCAATATTCATTTAGATTTTTCTGCATACTTTGTAATTTCTCTCCACTTTTTTCTTCCTCTTTAATTTTCCATCTATACTGTTTTTCTCCTGCCTGAAGATACCCCTTGATATTTTTAAAAATGTGTCTTTGTGGGTTACAAATTGTCTATTTTTGTATGTCTGAAAATGTCTTTATTTCTCCTTTATTTTTGAAAAGTCTTTTTGCTAGGTGTTTTCTTTCACCACTTTAAAAATAGTATTCCATTGCAATTTGGTTTATATTATTTCTCCTGAAGTTGGATGGAAGTCTAATTGTGGTTCATTTTATTTTTCCTTCGTCTGCTTTTCAGAGAGTCTTTTTGTTTTCATCTTGCACAGGTTTTACATGTGCATGGAGATGTTTATCTTTCTTGGGGTTGGTAGGGCTTCTGGGGCATGATATCTGTTGTCTGTTTTGGAAAATTCTGTCTTTCAGTATTTCTTCACATGTTGCCTCTGCTCTATTCTCTTTTCTATCTTTTTGGGGGGACTCTTCTTTCATTTGTGTTAGGCCTAACCTCTGTCCTGCAGATCTTTTACCTTCTTGTTATGTTTTCTAAACTTTTGTTCCTCAGTTCTTCATTCCAGATATTTTTACTTTCTCTTCAGCTGAGTTCAGTGTGTTCTAAACTTACTCATTAAGTTCTTAATTTTAATTATTCAATTTATCAGTTCTAGTCTTTCTGTTTTATTTTCAGTAGTTTTTGGTTCTCTGCTGAAATATTATCTTTTTGAACACAGTAAGCATAGTTATTATATTAAAGTCTGTGTCTTCTAACTCCAATATATGGAGCCTTTGTGGGTCTGTTTCTGTCCTATCATTTCTGGTAATTTTTAGTCATATTTTCTTGCCTTTTCATGTGTCATTATGTACTGGACATTGTATTTAAAAAGTTATTTCTTGACTCATTTTGAGGCTAAGATGTTATTGTTCTCCAAGGAATGGAGGAGAGAAGGTTGTTCTGTGAGCTACTTGGTAAAGGTTAGTGACTATCTGGGCTTACCTTAATCAGCATTCATTGATTGAGATGATTTTATGCTGAGTTGCAATCTGTTGGAAAAAAAAAAAGGGAAACCCAAAAACCCTTCATAGTTCACTCTGACTTTTGGGGTATTTCCTGTTGGGGTTCCAAGTGTGGGTTGTATTTCTGTAGCATCCTCAGCCTTCCTGGTCTTTCTGGACCCCATTCCTTTCCCTTCCCTTCACGAGGCTGTCAAAATGCTATGTGTCGTCTCAGGGACTTTGCTTGGAACCTGGTGATGCCATCAGGGAACAGCAGCCTCTGATCCGTGGTGTGCGTCATCTTGACACCTCCATTCGCCTCGGGTCTTCCTGCGGTTCTGACCTTGTAATTCTTTATTTTCTCCTGAATTCTGATAGTTCGAAGAGAATTTATTTATTTTTGAGTGTTTTGTCTGGCTTTACTAGTTGTCTTTGATGGGGAATGCCAGTTGAATTCCAGATTTGCCATTAATGGAAGTGGAAGCACTTTACAATTTACTTTTTGCCTTGTATTTATAAAAGCATTTTTAATAAGAATGGTTTTTGTGAGTGCTGTTATTGAACTTTTCCCACAGCTTATTTTGTTTTCTTTGGAAATATATTAATCTGCTGTTGTTCCCTGGGAGGTTTTAGTAGAATAAATCATAGCATTATGTGGACTTCATCTCATAAATTGGTGTAACTATATCTTGACTAGGGAAACCATTTGTGGCATTTATTAACTCCTTTCAGTTTGAAACTTTCTATTTTTCTTTAAGAAGCTCCTTACTATGTAATATTCTTGATCATGATGTTTCTCCCCAGTTCAGCAAGGGTTAATTCTCTTTTTGACTATCACGAAATAGGTCAGTCTGCGGTATTTTGTGGCCGTTCTGGAAAACAGCTGAAGCGTTGCCACAGCAGCCAGCCAGGCATGCTGCTGGACAGCTGGTCCCGCATGGTGAAGAGCCTGAATGTGTCGTCCTCCGTGAACCAGGCATCCCGTCTCATTGACGGCAGCGAGCCCTGCTGGCAGTCATCGGGGTCGCAAGGAAAGGTAGCATCTAATAGGGCACAGCAGCGGGCACTTTCACACCGATGGTTTTGCCTTGTACATTTTCAAAATGAACTTTGAGCAGCCTGCAAAGTTTTGCTGATAGCACCTGTCAGTACTCACGTTATGTTTTAATTTATAAGTTATTTCAAAGTTAGAGTTATATACCATCCAATTTTATTGTCAGAGATTTTAAACAATACGAGTAATAGATTTTATCTAACTGACCACTTGATAGAGGATGTGGTCAGGCTTTTTTTCCTCCTCTCCTGCATAGAATGTATGAATTCAGATTTGCTTCTGGTTAGAAGTTTTTCTAGTATAGTCTAGCAAATTTGTGTTGCACATTGGAGTGCTGTTGTGATTACACCAACGCGTGGAGGCACCTCGTGGGCACACAGGTCAGACTTTAGGACAGGGCCTTTCTCCATCTCGACTGTAGTGTTTTCTGTCACTCACTTGGTGGGTAAAAGGACCACCCTAGGCCAGGAGTATATAGATACATGGTTTCTGAGTCTTAGAGTGAGACTTTTCTCTAACAATCAAAGAATGGCGTAGAATATTCTTGTTGCTGCCAGGTTGAGGGAAAATTCTCTCTCATGCTACATTTTATATTGAAAAAATCTCATGTAGATTCAAGCTTCAACGATACTATTGTAGTAGCTAAAATATAGCTGAATTTTGCTAACTGAGAATGTGGTTTTTTTGTTTTTCTAAAGCACTGGATTCGTTTGGAGATTTTCCCAGATGTTCTTGTTCATAGATTAAAAATGATCGTAGATCCTGCTGACAGTAGCTACATGCCGTCCCTGGTTGTAGTGTCAGGTAATTCAGTTAGTTTACCTAAAAAGAAGTACCTTCTATAATAAAGACGCCTTTGTTTGATTCTTTACCCATTTTTTCCTAGGTGGAAATTCCCTGAATAACCTTATTGAACTAAAGACAATCAATATTAACCCTTCTGACACCACAGTGCCCCTTCTGAATGACTGCACAGAGGTAAGTAGCTATGCTAGTGTTCCATTTGGATGATTTACAGATGACAAGGGAGGTGACTTGGCCATTTCTATACTAGCATTGAGCCCAGTTTTTCCCCGTTTAAATAATTGGTTCTTTCTGTTTTAAATTTTGACACTTTAAAAGATACAACTTATTTTGTACAACTGAATTTGCTGCTTATCAGTTCAGCTTGAAAAGGAAACAAATTTCATTCTCACTCTCTTTGGTAGCAGAGGTATACTTGGTAACTGCTCCTAGCAAAAGTTTTCATCAGGCATTTTAGGTTGCTGATTGCATCTGAACACTTCGGTTTTCATTAAATATCTCAGTTTCTGGTGGTTTTCCTGACCATATATGTGACGCTGAAGTTGCTTTTTTGTCGTCACACCTGTTGGCATCAAGTGCTGAACTTGTCACGGAGTGGCAATTTTTTGGTTAATAAGGCAGCTTTCAAAATGAGTCTAAGTTTATCTCTGGAAAAGTTTGAAAGAATCAGTGAAGGTTCTTTTAAACAGTACCCACATACTACAGATCAGCAATTATCTCTCTCTCTCAAATTTTTAGTAAACCTTTCCACATAGGATGTCAGCATGATTTTTAATACATTAAATATATGTAAAATAAGACAAATTAAGATACTTTTGTTGGCCGGGCGCGGTGGCTCACGCCTGTAATCCCAGCACTCTGGGAGGCTGAGGCGGGCAGATCACGAGCTCAGGAGATCGAGACCATCCTGGCTAACACAGTTAAACCCCGTCTCTACTAAAAAAAAAAAAAAAAAAAAAAAAATTAGCCGGGCGTAGTGGCAGGCACCTGTAGTCCCAGCTACTTGGGAGGCTGAGGCGGGAGAATGGCATGAACCCGGGAGGCGGAGCTTACAGTGAGCCGAGATCGTGCCACTGCACTCCAGCCTGGGCGACAGAGCCAGACTCTTGTCTCAAAAAAAAAAAAAAGAAAGAAAGAAAAAAAAAGATATTTTTGTACTATGTATACTGTTGTCTGGTGTAGACTAATTATAATGATAGCAGATAAAAATATCAAATAGTTGATTTTTGTATTCATTTAAAGTTTATAACTGATGAGTTTATTTTTTAATTATTAAATGTAGTTAACCATTCATTTTTTAAAAAAGTTTTATTTTAGTTTTAACCAAATAGTAATTTGTAATAATTTGTATTTATTTTTGGAGAACACTGTGATGTTTTGTTACATGTATACTTTGTGGAATGATCAAATCATGCTAAATAATGTATCCATCACCTCAAATATTTATCACTTTTTTGTGGTGAGAACATTTAAAATCCTCTCTTTTAGCTATTTTGAAATACGTAGTACATTCACAGTAGTTACCATTTATTCTGGAATGTCATGGAACTATTTCATAATACACTGATTCATTATAGCCAATACCAGTGGTGCTAATAAGTGAAGAAATTGGCAAACTATAAAAATGAAAGATAATATTGAATTTATCTGAAAAAATTAATCTTGAGTTTTAATGCATTTTACTGGTAACTTATTGCAATGTAACCGAATACAGCCTGTAGAGTGCCTTAGTTACATAGTTCAGAGGATGTTTTTACTTTAGCCAAACCAGAAACTAAGTAATTAAATCAACAATGGAGATTATCATTCGTAAAAGATATCTTTAATCCAAGAAATTTTCAATTCAAAACCATTCATCCTGTGATACTTAGTGTATGTCATGTACATGAGAAATACGAAGCATTGCAGGTAAATGGAAAACTCCTGACCTAACCTGCATGCCCCCAGCTGACCAAAGAACTAGACTGTACCATTCCTGTGGAGCCACTGCATCTTAAGCATGGCCTTTGCTGTACAAATAGTTTGTTATGGGAATTTTCTTTTCTTTTTTTTGAGACTGAGTCTCACTCTGTCGCCCAGGCTGGAGTGCAGTGGCAGATCTCAGCTTACCGCAACCACCACATCCTGGGTTCAAGTGATTCTCCTGCCGCAGCCTTCCGAGTAGCTGGGATTACAGGTGCCCACCACCTCACCCAGCTAATTTTTGTATTTTTAATAGAGACGGGGTTTTGTCATGTTGGCCAGGCTGGTCTCGAACTCCTGACCTCAGGTGATCTGCCCACCTTGGCCTCCCAAAGTGCTGGCATTTACAGGCATGAGGCACCGCACCCAGCCGGGTTTTTTCTAACATGTAAACAAAAATAGAAAGTATGCTGGAACCCTCACAAACCTGTCACCCAGCTTCAACATTTATCAACATTTTGCCAGTCATGTTTCACTTTCTCCCTCCCACCTTACTTCCCTGCCTCAGCAAGTCCTAGTCATGGTCTTATTTCAGGAGCACTTGCTTCAATATTCATCTCTGACAGGGCTTAACAAAATATAACCTTGGTACCATTATCACACCTCTAACAAGTACTCTTTTTTTTTTTTTTTAAGACGGAGTCTCACTCTGTCACCCAGGCTGGAGTGCAGTGGTGTGATCCCGGCTCACTGCAAGCTCTATCTCCCGGGTTCACTCCATTCTCCTGCCTCAGCCTCCCGAGTAGCTGGGACTATAGGCGCCTGCCACCATGCCTGGCTAATTTTGTTTTTGTATTTTTAGTAGAGACGGGGTTTCACCGTTAGCGAGGATGGTCTCGATCTCCTGACTTCGTGATCCACCTGCCTCGGCCTCCCAAAGTGCTGGGATTACAGGCGTGAGCCACCGTGCCCAGCCAATAATTACTCTTTAATGTCATATAATATTCAGTCAGTGTCCAGATTTTCCTAATTATCTTGTAAATGTCCTTTTGCAGTTTCTGATTCAGATGATGTTTGCATTCTACACTACACTTAAGTCACTCTTGGTTTTTTTTCTTGCTAAAGAAAAAAAAAACTGAGTAATTGTTTCCTGTAGCATTCTTCATATTCTCAACTTGGCTTTTGCATCCCTATGGTGGTGGTCAAGCTGTATTTCCTCTGAAATGGTAGATCTTGAGGTTTGAGCAGGTCGTTTAGGCAATAAAAAGTAATTGTTAGTGTGTGCTTCCAGACGCATCTCTCTTCGTTCACATGAAATACAGTGATGGAGGAATGTTGTCAGTACCACAGCAGGCATGCAGTCGGCCACATGGGGTGTGGGACATTTGCAGGACAAGTAGACCAACTCCACTAAATGCATGGCAAAGGCAGAACAGAGGAAGGTTGGGTCTTGCTTGTGTTCTGATTTGAATGAGGCAACAATAAAATGACATGACATAATCAGAAAAGTTTGATCACTGTAGCATATTGGGTGATATGGGAGTTATTGTTTGTGCTATGATAATAGCAATGCGGATATGTTTTTCAAAAAACTCCATAATTCTGGCCAGGCGCGGTGGCTCACTCCTGTAATCCCAGTACTTTGGGAAGCTGAGGCAGGTGGATCACCTGAGGTCAGAAGTTCAAGACCAGCCTAGCCAACATGGTGAAACCTTGTCTCTACTAAAAATACAAAAAATTAGCCGGGTGTGGTGGCAAGTGCCTGTGGTCTTAGGTACTCAGGAGGCTGAGGTTGGAGAATCGCTTGAACCCGGGAGGCAGGGGTTGCAATGAACCAAGATTGCACCACTGCACTCCAGCCTGGGCAACAAGCAAGATTCCATCTCAAAAAAAACAAAAAAACAAAAAAAAAAACCAGACCTCCTTAATTCAGTGATATATACTGAAGTTTTGAAACAGCATAATGCCTAGAATTTTTTAATGATAATCCATATCTGAACAAGATTGGTCACATGTTGGTAACTGTTGAGCTGGGTCATGGAGTCATGGAGTTCTTTGTACTATTTGTTCTGATTTGTGTATATTCAAATATGTTTTATGTTTTAAAAACGATGAAAGGTCTGTTACTACCTGACATTTAATATCTTCCTTAGTTAAAGCATCTTGGTTCAAGAAAGCTCTAAGACGGAAGAGTTTGCAGTCATTCAGTAAGGCTGTTATCCTATTTAAAAATTTTAGGAAGAAAATCAGTGAGTGTCTCATGCCTCAGGTAGACATCTTGATGAGTTGACCACTTCTTTTGAAGTAAACATTACTCAGATGTGGCTGCATTAACTTTGAGTAACTCAGTTGATATTTCCAGAACTGAAGTAAAGGAGCTCTAACCGTGTGTACATGTTCGTGTCTCACACATCCCGTTCTCCAGTTAGAGGATCTAATATGCTTGATTCTACAGAGTCTATAGATCATGGTTTTTGTGTCTAGTATCACAGGTATATTGAAATTGCTATAAAGCAGTGCAGGAGCTCAGGAATCGATTGTAAAATCCATGGTCTCATCCTGCTGGGACGGATCCGTGCAGAAGAGGAAGATTTGGCTGCAGTTCCTTTCTTAGCTTCGGATAATGAAGAGGAGGAGGATGAGAAAGGCAACAGCGGAAGGTGAGAACCATTTGTTACAGGTGCTCACTTACCTCCCGCTACATTCCTGGATCCTCACTTTCGAAAGGAAACATTTAATTAGAATGTGTCTCATACTGAGAGTCATTTTATGTCCACACGATTGGTAAATTACAGTTGTTTCCAAAAATTGTATTTTTTAAAAAATAAAGTGTTTAATGTAGAAACACATTATATTTAGAAAAATACCATTAAAAGAGGGAAATGAAAATGTTTAATATCTCTACCTAAAATATCACTGTGACTATTTTGGTATATATCTTTGTAGTTTTCCTTTTTTTCTGTTACTAAATTTATTGTCCTATGGAAGTTGTATGGTATATTTTAAAGCTCTTTTTGTTAAGTATTTTATCATTAACTTCAAAAAATGTATTTATTTTTTATTATGGTGAAATATATATATTGTTTACCATTTTAAGTGTACAGTTCAGTGGCATTAAGTACATTCATATTTTTGTGCAACCATCACTATTGTCCATCGCTAGAATTTCCATATGATTAGTCTTCAGTCCTGTAATTTTTGAGTGCAGTATTTCATCTTATGACTGTTCTCATTTACTCACTCAATTCCTTATTTTATCTGAGCACTGTGATGATGACTGTTGTTGTATTTATTCATTCAACATCTTTTGAATGCCTACTGTGGGCCATTCCCAGTTATGTGTACTGGGAACACTGTGATGAACATGCAAAATAAAACAAGACAAACACATGCATCAGTGTGCTATTAGGCCTTTGGTAAGAGGCAGGAAGAAGTGCATACAGCCTTGAGAGTCTGCATTGGAGCATTGATCTGTCAGGACAAGGAAAACTTCCCCCCAGGCCATACGTACAGAAGTCAGAATTACTGAAACAAAGTGGACAGGCAAGGGCGTTTCTGATAGGGAAGACAGCATACCAGAGGAGAATGATATCTGCGAAGTTTTTGCATGCTTGTGCATTTCCCAGGGCATGTATCTAGAACTTGCATTTGCAGGGGCTGCTCTAAGCCTTGTTTACCATCCCAGCAGCAAACAGTGGATAATAGTGGATAATAACAATGGAGGATAATCAGTGTCCTCATAGAAGTTGTATTTTCCTAGATAAATTGCTGAAAGTGAAATTGCTAAGTCAAAGGGTATGCAAAATAAATGGATATGTTGTTAACATTCCCAAGGCGCTTTGGATTGCTAGTGTGACCGGGGCCCTCCAGACAGGCACAGGAGGCAAGCCGCCAGTGCTGGCTGAACTCTGTTGACCAAGACACCCTGTGCTCTAAGTACTCTGCAGCGTGTGACATGAGGAGACAACAGAGCACTGCCCTGTGCCGCTGTTGAGCACGTTATATAGACAGAAGTGGGGGGTAGTAGTTCTGGTAATAAATCAGGTTATTCTAGGGCTCTGTGATCTTGGCTTTGGATTCTGTCCTGTTTTATTTCAGAAACTTTGTGTAGAAGTTGAAAAGAAAATAGTATCTATAACATTACCTTATCTAGAATATATGTTATACTATATGCTGTAGTTCAAACTGATTGCATCTGTAGATATTAATTAAATAGGGACAATACCAGTTCACTTAAATAAGGAAGTCATTGGGATTTTTAATAAAAGGATTATAGATTGTAGGGGTGGGTTGCCCCTACAATAGATTAGCATTTTCTTACTCAGTAGCTACTAAAATGAATTGGACAAATAAAATTATTATTTATTTATTTTTTGAGACGGAGTCTTGCTCCGTCACCTAGGCTGGAGTGCAGTGGTGCAATCTCGGCTCACTGCAAGCTCCGCTTCCTGGGTTCACGCCATTCTCCTGCCTCAGCCTCCTGAGTAGCTGGGACTACAGGTGCACGCCGCCATGCCCGGCTAATTTTTTTGTATTTTTAGTAGAGACGGGCTTTCACCGTGTTAGCCAGGATGATCTCGATCTCCTGACCTCGTAATCCGCCTGCCTCAGCCTCCCAAAGTGCTGGGATTATAGGCGTGAGCCACTGCGCCTGGCCATAAAATTATTAATACATATATTGTATATGTGGAATAACCAAAAATGTTTTGAGCTTTACTCATTGATCAGATTTTTGTGTAATTGAATATATTGTCGAAAGAAAAGCTAGATACTTGATTGTAATGGGTTTTGTTCTGGTAAGATCTTATTAATTAGCTAATAACTTCAGAATGAGTCAGTGGCCCAGGCAGTCTCCTCCTACAGGGCTGCCACCCAACTGGGATGTTCCCACACTGACCACGTACAGCTGGCCTCCACTCTGGCTGATTGATACTTACATGGTGCCAGACATTAAATATCTTGAATATCAGTCCTGGTTTCCCATACATACATGCATACATATATGTGTGTATATATATGTGTGTATGGAAAATATATATATATTTTGAGATAGGGTCTCACTCTGTTGCCCAGGCTGGATCGCAATGGTATGATCTCAGCTCACTGCAACCTCTGCCTCCCGGGCTCAAGTGATTCTCCCACCTCAGCCTCCCAAGTAGCTGGGATTACAGGTGTCTGCTACCACACCTGGCTAATTTTTTGTATTTTTTTTGTAGAAATGAGGTTTCACCGTGTTGCCCAGGCTGGTCTCCAACTCCTGGGCTCAAGGAATCTGCCCACCTTGGCCTCCCAAAGTGCTAGGATTACAGGTGTGAGCTACTGTGCCTGGTCCCCATACATATTTTTAAGTAAAAATGTATCACAAGATATTTCAATATTTTGTGCTTATGCTTGCTCACCTGTGCCTAGTATTGGATGAAAGAGTTTTCCACTTTTATTCCAAAACATGAAATTTTGAACCCTTAAAGTAAATATTTATTAGTATATAATGTGTGAAAAAAGTGATACCTGTCTGGAAGCCGTCTGGTGCCTTTGGGCATCTATCCTAGCTTATAAAAATAGAGCAAAAGCAAACACAAAGGTGAAAACCCCAAACACAGAAGCAGCAATTCCTTAGCACCTGGCATCAGACCATCAGCCAAGAAAATCTAACACTGTCCTGTGTACTCTTTTCAAGTTGCAAGAATTGGAGTGTTTTGGATGCTGTTGATTAAACTTCTAACCTGCTGGGTGTGGTGGCTCCCACCTGTAATCCCAGCACTTTAGGAGGCTGAGCAGGGAGGATCACTTGAGCCCAGGAGTTCAAGACCAGCCTTGACGATATAGTGAGACCCCGTCTCTACAAAAAAAAATGCAAAAATTAGCTGGGCATGATGGTGCAGGCCTATAGTGCCAGCTGTTCGGGAGGCTGAGGTGGAAGGATTGCTTGAGCCTGGGAGGTTGAAGCTACAGTGAACCGGGATTATGCCACTGTATTCCAGCCTGAGTGACAGAGCATGACCCTGTCTCAAAACAAACAAAAAATAAATAAACTCCTAACCTGTTGAGGGCAGGTCAGGAGATAGATGAGCAAGGTGGAAGGAGCAAGCCCTCTGGGAAGGACAGGAGACGAGGACTTTCAGCTTAGCTGGCCGATGATCAGGTTCCTCTGGCCGGTGTCCTGGGCAGAGGGTATAAAGGAAGAGAGAAGCATTTTACATTGGGACATGTGTCTGTGTTAAAGTAACTCCATGGTCATGTGGCCACATCCGTTTTATTCTTTCTGTGGGAAAATAATTGGCCAAACAGCTGTCTAGATTTGGGGATAGTGCTGCAAGGCCAGACCCAGCGTGGCTCCTGGGCAGGTTTCCTCAGTGTCTCTACAGTGCCATTTGTAGCAGCTGTGCGTCTGTTTCCATGGCTTGGAATGATTCCCACCCATGTTCACGTTGGTATTTAAGATGAAAGAGAAGGCCTGGTGTATCATCGTTTTCCACCAAAAATAAAGGCTGAAATTAAGTGCTAGTATTAAAAGGTGGCATGGTTGTATCTAGAAAATTTGACCCTCCAGAGGACTTACTCCTGTACATGCTTGAGGTTTTTTTCTATTAAAGCAAAATTTTAAGAGTTTCTGAAAGTAACCATAAAACTTTGAGTGCTTGAGGTTGCTTTTCTTTTTATTTTTTAAATGTTTTATGCTGAATAACCTCTCTTTTCTTTTTCTTTTTTTTTTCCGTTTGGTTAGCCTCATTAGAAAGAAGGCTGCTGGGCTGGAATCAGCAGCTACGATAAGAACCAAGGTGTTTGTGTGGGGCCTGAATGACAAGGACCAGCTGGGCGGGCTGAAAGGCTCCAAGGTACGGCCTGCTCCCTGGGACCCAGCAGGGTGGGGCACTCGGCAGCAGCCACACCTCGTGAAGTTTCTATAATAACTTTACTCTCTATATGTTGTATTGTTTCTTTACACGAACTAAAAGACATTATCAAATTACCCCTCAGAAGCGTCTCTCCTTGAAAAATTTCACTTTAGGTATAATTGTCTTATTGCGGTCTTGTAAACTAGAAAATGAACTTTTGAAAAGATTTGACAAGTGCATAAATGAAAATTATAGACTGTCAATAGGTGTATCTTGCCTTCCCTACAATAAACATTTTTGACTATCATGAACAAAATAATGTGTAAAAAGGCTGTAGTGGCCCACAGATGAGCAAATTGTTGTCTCTGTCCTCCAGGTGCTTCGCGCCTGAGATTCTTCAGGGTGAAGTAGCTTGCACAGAGAGAGAACGCTTTGCGAGCACAGAGAAACAAGCAGAATGCACATGTGTGCGCATACACACTTGCCTTATTCTCTGCAGGGCTTGTTGTGGGTGGAGAGCGCCATGATCTCATTCACCTTGTCAGTAAACCATGAAGCTTGCACGGGAAGCCGTGCCATAGCCTCTGTGTTCACAACGTCCTTCATCCCCTAGGTACTTGGATGAGAGGTTAATTTGTATTTTGAGTTGCTTAGGAGAAAAAGACCATATTTTGAAAAGAATAGGTGTAAGAAATGATGCATTTGAATTGGAGTTGAATTCAGCATTCCTTGTATTACTTAGTGTCTCCTGGCTGAGGAGCCACAAAGCAAATTCCTCTAAATTTTATTGCCCAGAGGCACTCTCTGTGTTCACGTGAGCTTATGCTTCCTGTTAGTATTCTGTGAGACATCACATCATACGTTTTCTTTATTGCCTGCCCTATTGAGAAACTGAGAAATAAAGTTAGAACTCATTCATTTGAACTCTTTCCTTTCAAGGTGCAATTAGTTTTTATCTGTATTGGAGCAGTCTTGAATTGCATTTGTGTTTCAGTGTACCTGAGCTTGGTTTGGGAAGTGGACAGTGGGCAGTGAGCTGTGAGTGTCTCAGCTGCGGGAATGCAGGGCTGTCCAGAGGTCCCTGAGGTGCAGGCCATTGGTGGGAGCCTATGACCTTGCTCACTGCCTTACATGGAGTTTTCACTTCAAGGACAGAGTCGGTGTTCCACGGTTGTGATGAAAATCCTTTCTTCCGCTGCAGTAGTGACTATTTCACCCAGGGAATCATAAAGGTTTTTTAGACAAAGGGCCCTAGGAATTTTAAATTACATCCATCTACAATGGGAAATTTAAGCATATGATTTCTTAGAGATGTCAGAGTCAGAATCAGAGAGTGAGCAGGACATGACTTGAAATAAGGCATAGTCTACAGGTGTGTGTTTTTATCTTTACATTATATGCATAGTCATCCCTCAGTATCCGTGGATTTGTTCCAGGACTTCCTGTGGATACCAAGATCTGTGGATGCTCAAGTCCCTGATATAAAACAGTGTAGTGTTTGCATATAACCTATGTACACCCTCCCAAATACTGTATATCATCTTCAGATTACTCAGAATACCTAATACAATGTAAATGGTATGTCAATAGTTGTTATATTACATTGTTTAGGGAATAATGGCAACAAAAATATCTGTACATATTTAGTACACGTGCAATAAAAAATATTTTCAATCCATGGGTGGTTGAATTCATGGACGTGGAACCTATGGATACAGAGGACCAACTGTATTTTATTTTTCACTTTCTACTATGGAACTGTTCAGATGTACCCACATAGAGTGAATAGCTTCATGAACCCTCATGTCCCTGGTACAGCTTCCATAGTTACCAGCAGCTGTCTACGTTTTTCTGTCTTTATCCTCCCATTCCCCCAACTCTGGTTTAAAGTCAATCACAGTGTATCATTTCATTCTTAAAATACTCCAGTGTGAATCTCTAAGGGATAACCAATGCCTTTGGTTAATGTAACCATACATATTAGTAGTACAGTCATGCATTACTTAATGATGGGGATATATTCTGAGAAAGTTTTGGTTGGGTGATTTTGTCATTGTTGGAAAATGATAGAGTGTACTTAACACAAAGGTAGATGGTGTAGCCTACTACACACTCAGGCTATATGGTATAGCCTGTTGCTTCTAGGCTACAACATGGAACTGTACTGAATATGGTAGGCAGTTGTAACTCAGTGGCATGTGTGTATTTAAACATCGAAAAGGTACGGTAAAAATACATTGTAAAAGATAAAACATGGAACACCTGCATAGGGCACTTACCATGAATAATGGAGTTTGCAGGACTGGAAGTTGCTCTGGGCGAGTCAGTGAGAGAGTGGTGAGTGAACGTGAAGGCCAGGACATCACTGCATGTTACTGTAGACTTTAGAAACACTATATGCTTAGGTGACTCTATGCAAAATATTTTTCTTTCTTTAATAATAAATTATTTGTAACTTTATGAACTTTTCACTTTTTAAAAAACTTTTTGACTCTTGTAATAATACTTAGCTTAAAACACAAACACAGCTCTGCACAAAATGTTTTCTTTACATTCTTATGCTGTAAGCTTTTTTCTATCTTTAACATTTATTCTTTTACTTTTTAACGTGTTTGTTAAAAACTAAGACCCAAACACATACATTAGCCTAGCTAGGATCATAGTGTTGCTCTCTTTCACCCCCACAAAGGAGCTAGCTGTCCTTTCCTGTGACAGCAGTGCCTTCTGGAATCCCTCCTGAAGCACCAGCCGCAGGCTTTTTACAGTTAGCTTAAAAAACAAAAAAGTAGAAGGAATACACTCTAAAAGAATGATAGAAAGTACAGGAGAGTGAATATATAGCCCAGTAGCAGTAGTCTGTTATCATGGTGAGGTATTAGGGATTGTTGATATGTAGCTGGCAGCACAGAGGCTTGTTGACACCAGCATCACCACAGACACATGAGGAATAGGTTGTGCTGTGACGTTGTCACGGCCAGGACACCACTAGGCAGTAAGGATTTTTCAGCTCCATTATAATCTACTGGGACTGCCATCGTATATGTAGCCTGTGGTTGAGTGAAATGTTACACAGTGCATAACTGTAATTCCTTGTATCATATAATAAGGTAACATAATTTTAAACATGCAAGTAAAATTTTCTTTTCTTTTTTTTTTGTTAAAAAAATTCTGTTGTAGATAAAGGTTCCTTCGTTCTCTGAGACACTGTCAGCTTTGAATGTGGTACAGGTGGCTGGTGGATCTAAAAGTTTGTTTGCAGGTATGATTATTCTAATCTTAAAAAATTTTTAAATTATGCTTGGCACCAAAAAACAAAAAAGTTTTTAATGTTGTGAAAAGAGAGTCCTCTCCTGGCTGTCGTTCCTTGCAGTGACTGTGGAAGGGAAGGTGTATGCCTGTGGAGAAGCCACGAATGGCCGGCTGGGGCTGGGCATTTCCAGCGGGACGGTGCCCATCCCACGGCAGATCACAGCTCTCAGCAGCTACGTGGTCAAGAAGGTGGCTGTTCACTCAGGTACAAGCCAAGCACCAGGAGGCCTGTGCGGGGCGGCCTTTGCTCCTGCTCCGTTGTTAACCAAAGCCCTAATTGGTGTCCTTACATTCTTTCTTAAGTTTTTACTTAGTAGGAATAAAAATTGGATAATGTAAATCTCTAGGTGGTCTAGAATTTAGTTATTGCTGCTAAATCAAGTTCTTTGCCTAAAAGTAGGCTGTTTTTCTGAGAAAGAGTCTATAACTTTCTTCAGATTCCCAAAACCATCTATGAACCCAAGTAATGAGAAAGATCCTTTAAAAGAAAATGAAACCACTCTTTCAGTGTAGGGAGTGTTTATTTTGGAGGCACCGTGCTAGGCCTCTGAGGAATGGAACTGAATTAGACACAAAGTTCTAATTCAGTTCATGCCTATGCTGAACGGGGCTCAGTGTAACTTGCATAACAGGAAATCCAAATGATGGTGGCTTAAGCAATATAGAGTTTTACTTTTCTCCTTTGTAAAAGTCCAGAGGTGGGGTCAGAGTCTGTCCAGCAGGGCTGTGTCTATGAGGAGTGCTGGTCCTTTGTGTCCACCTTTGTGGGAAGATGGTCTTAGACTAGCTCTCGCCCCCAGAGTCCAGGGCCAGGCCTGGCAGAAGAGGCAAGCACCACACAGTGTGCCCTCCTGCCCACGCAGCCCCCTCTCCAGAGCCCCTCGGAAGCCCCACTCATTTCAGTCACCATCTCCTGGGGGCAGAGGAGGCTGGGAATTAGCTGAGCACTTTAACATGGGGGTTCTGTTGGTAAGGAAGGGGGAGAATGAGGGTTGGGGGAAGAAGCAGGGTCTGCTGTGATGTTCTCAAAGCCCAGGAGTTGGCAGGAACTCACTGTATAGGAGTGGTCATGCCTTTAATCCTGAGGCAGGTTGTATGGACTTTGAGAATATTCCATGCTGGGGAAAGAGCATAAGCTGACGTGTTTTGGGAAGAGTGAATATATTGCATTAATCGCAAATGATTGAATAATTTCACTGTTGAGGTACAGTTCTCAAAAACTTAAATTGACACTATTTTTACATTTTGTCTAATCACAAATTATTTTTACTTTTTTCATCTAAATTTTGATTTTTCGTGTATTTAACATAATAGGAACCCCATTAATAATCAGTATTATTTTGCCTCTTTGCAAATTCTTTCTAGAGTTAAAATTTGTAGTTTAGTGAAAATTCACCTATTTGGCACATATGTCCCAGGAAGCTTTCCTGCTAACTCCGCTGTTGATCCTGTTGAGTTACTCATTTATTCAGCTCACGCTCATTGAGTGTGTGCTATATGCCAGGCAAAATAGGGAGCTAGCTATGCTGTGGGCTTTCTGTTCCCTGCCCTTTGGCAATCCGTGTGTCTGTGAATGTTGCAGGTGGCCGGCACGCGACGGCTTTAACTGTCGATGGAAAAGTGTTTTCGTGGGGCGAAGGTGACGATGGAAAACTTGGACACTTCAGCAGAATGTAAGGGTACTTTTTTTAGTCTCATTTGCTAATAAGAAACTGTTTCTGACTGATACTCTTGAGAATTATTTTGCAGAAAATTAGAATAGAATAGATTATAGAAATGGTTCTTAAACAAAATTTTTTTAACACGGTTGTTTGTGTTTTGGTCTCACCGGTTCTGCTTTAAGTTTTGATAGTTGATCTGTGGATCCTGTGTTGACTACATGTGGATCAGTATAGATGTCTTTTTTCCTTCATCTCTAAGAAGGGACAGATTGACTGTAGAGAGCTGATTTCATCTTGTTGTAGGAACTGTGACAAACCAAGGCTGATCGAGGCCCTGAAAACCAAGCGTATCCGGGATATCGCCTGTGGGAGCTCGCACAGCGCAGCCCTCACATCCAGCGGAGAACTGTACACCTGGGGCCTCGGCGAGTACGGCCGGCTGGGACATGGGGATAATACGACACAGCTAAAGCCCAAAATGGTGATTATACGCATTTTTGTTGCTTGCAGAAAGCTTACCATCTGAAGATGTCAAGAGAAAATAAGCTTCAAGTCTAGGAAAGTTCATAAAGATGTGTGCATGGTTGGCTTTATCTGTGGGAAAATCCATTGCTTTCTCCGTGCCTGTGCGTGATTCTGTTTTTAAATTTGTAATTGAGTAGGTGAAAGTCCTTCTCGGTCACAGAGTAATCCAGGTTGCATGTGGGAGTAGAGACGCGCAGACCCTGGCTCTGACCGATGAAGGTGAGTGGCTGGCAGGATTCTGTGCTTCTGGGTGGGTAGGAATGATATGAAACGCTGGCCTGAAGTATATGTGTTTCTTAAACCTAGGTTTGGTATTTTCCTGGGGTGATGGTGACTTTGGAAAACTGGGCCGGGGCGGAAGTGAAGGCTGTAACATTCCCCAGAACATTGAGAGACTAAATGGACAGGGGGTGTGCCAGATTGAGTGTGGAGCTCAGTTCTCCCTGGCGCTCACCAAGTCTGGAGTGGTGTGGACATGGTACGTAAACGTCCTCCCTGTCACACTGTGTGTGCTTGTGCAGGTGTGTGCAGGGAACCTGGGCCTCGCCCCAGGCTCACCCGGCGTGATTGTGACGTGTCCTCTTTTTACTTATGCATGCATCTTTGTCCTTTAAAGGATATTGAGTTGGGATTAGTGACAATAGTACAAGAAGAAATTTCCCATTGTAACTGGGTCATTTTGAAAATACTAGAAAAATTTTAGGCCACTTACCTTTCCTGTTTGGGTGAGATTTATGGGAACGGTTTCTTCTGCTGAAGCCTAAGGATAAAATGGAGCAAAATAGCCTTCTGAATCCTTTGATCCTGAAAAAGTTAACATGTGTTTCTTGTAAAAGCTTATTTTATTAATATGCAAAAGAGCAGGTGCCTGGACTGGCTGTGGATGGTGTGTCAGGCCTTAGTGCCAATGTCATGACCCGAGGCAGCTTGAGAAAGATGTATACCAGATAGGACTTTGGATAGGTGTTTGCAGTAGTGTGTCTTATTTTCAGTCTCTTTATATGAAAACCTACAACAGTAACTTAAATATCATAAAATATGTATTAAGGTATTAAGGTTTTTCCCAGCTGGCTTAATAAGTTAATTTGAATTAATGGTGTATGATTTTGAATACAAGTTTGAAGACCTTGGGTGCTGTGTGTGATGTCATTGAGCTGGCTGTGAAAGATGTGAGACAATGAGTGTCTTCTTGTATAGCATTGTCAGACCATAACCGTATTGTAACTCTCCACCATGGGCCTTCTCTCAGGGGAAAGGGGGATTACTTCAGATTGGGCCACGGCTCTGACGTGCACGTGCGGAAACCACAGGTGGTGGAAGGGCTGAGAGGGAAGAAGATCGTGCATGTGGCTGTCGGGGCCCTGCACTGCCTGGCGGTCACGGACTCGGGGCAGGTAAGGCTGCAGGTGGCCTGGGGGTGGCGTGCCATCCTGACTTGGGGGACGTGGGGGTCATGACACGGCCTTCGTCCTGTTGAAATCACAGCTGTTGATGAAATCAGCTGAGTCTTACTGCTTGGAGAACCATGAGGGCGGGTCCTGTTCCTTTTGCCCACTGGTGTATCTGCCTGCTTTGCAGCAGGGGTTGGGGGCGGGGTCCTCAGAAAAGAGGCGTTCCCACTCTGAAGTCCACGTGAAAAGTGTGTGGAAAGACTGTTATTCTTGAAGATGCTCCTAGTGCAAGATATTAGCAAGACTTTCCTTTAGAGAATTGGTAACTGGCGAGGAGGGATCCATGCCTCATTTTAGAGACAGAGCTAGTGCCTGACAAGTGTTACACTCTCTTCTGCTTGGAGAAGCATACGCTATGACTGGCTTATGGATATTCAATTTTAAATTTTATTTATGGAAACAAAATTACCATTACTGTATTTTAGTCAGAATGAATTTTACTTTATAATTCTATAAGGCCAAGAAGCAACTTACTTGAAAAATGAGCATACTGTTTTTGGTCATTTTTCTTTGCAAAATAAAAGGGAAAAAATTATTACACTTAGTTAGAGAGAGGACCTTCTGTGTGTCTTGCAACAAAGCAGAATTGGATTAATATTAAGAAAATACTCCTTTTATAGGTATTAGCAAGCATTTTCATGGTTAGATTTTCTTCAGAATTGTAGTACGCTGATGCCATTTTGAAAGATTGTGAAATGGTTTGTTTTTACCTTTAAGAACTCAATTCTTTCAACTACCGTGGCATACGCGTTAAGCATTTTGAAGTAAAAATTACATTAAAGAAAATGTCCTGAAATGTTGAAAAATTATAAGCTTTTTTCTCCTCGTAAACAGGTGTATGCTTGGGGTGACAACGACCACGGCCAGCAGGGCAATGGCACGACCACGGTTAACAGGAAGCCCACACTCGTGCAAGGCTTAGAAGGCCAGAAGATCACACGCGTGGCTTGTGGGTCGTCCCACAGTGTGGCGTGGACAACTGTGGATGTGGCCACGCCCTCTGTCCACGAGCCCGTCCTCTTCCAGACTGCAAGAGACCCTTTAGGTGCTTCCTATTTAGGTAACACAGATTTGTATCTTCTCTGAGATTTTTCTGTAGGTTTACAGCAACCTTATAGATTTATTTAATTGTGCCAACACAATTAGAGGTTGTAGTGCCATGTTAACTGCATTATGACTCTAAAGACACAGAAGAATTATGGTGTGCTCTCATGCGATTTATACATGCTGGAATGAAAATTTTAGAAGAAAGTATGTTGCTGATTCTTGTATTTATGATCAGGTAAACTCACAGCGCTGTCCTTCTGTGTGAACAGGACTCCTAATAACTGCCTGAGAGATACAGGCACTGTACTGGGCTCTTTTGTATTTTTTAACAGCTTTATTCAGTTATAATTGACATATAATAAACTGCACCTATTTAAAGTATGCATTTTGATTGACTTTGGAATATGTATGATCCATGAAAGCATCAGCACAATCAAAGATAATGAACTCATACACTACCCCAGCGTTCCTCTCTGGCCCTCTGTACCCCTCCCTTTTGCTTTTAACTCCCTCCTTCCTGCCGTATGCACCAATTTAATTTCTGTCACTAGAGATCAGTTTGCATGTTTTCTTTTTGTTATTGTTGTTGTTTGGTTGGGTTTTTTTTTTTTTTTTTGTAGACAGGGTCTCACTCTGGAGTGCAGTGGCACGATTTTGGCTCACTGCAGCTTCCACCTCCTGGGCTCAAGTGATCCTTCCACCTCAGCCTCCCAAATAGCTGGGACTACAGGCACATGTCACCATGCCTGGCTAATTTTTGTTTGTTTGTTTGGTGGAGAGAGGGTTTTGCCATGTTGCTCAGGTTGGTCTTGAACTCCTGAGCTCAAGTGATCCTCCCATCTTGGCCTCCCAAAGTGCTGGGATTATGGGCAGGAGCCACCGTGGCAGACCAGTTTGCATGTTGTACAGCTTACTATAAATAGAATCATACAGCATATACTCTTTTTAAAAATCTTTTTCCACTCAGCATAATAATTTTGAGATTCACTTATGTTGCATGTATCGATAGTTTATTCTTTTTAAATTGTTGAATAGTATCTTAAGATAAACAAATGCAATTTGTTTATCCATTTATCTGTTGATGAATGTTTGGGCTGTTTCCAGTTGACTATACAAGTGAAATTGCTAATGGACATTTCCATACAAGTTTGTGTATGGACATCCACTTGAAATTCTCTTGGGTAAACTCCTAGGAGAGGAGTGGATGGATCATATGGCAGGTGTACGTCTAGCTTCTTAAGATCGCTACATACTGTTTTGCAAAGTGGATGTTCCAGAGGTCCACATCCTCCACATTTTTGTCAACCCTTGATACGTTCAGTCTTTAATTTTAGTTATACTGATAGACGTATGGTGGTATCTCATTGTGGTTTCAATTTGCATTTCCCTAGTAACTAATGATCTCAAGCATCTTGCTTATTTACGAATCAGATACCTTTTTTGGTGAATGTCTGTTCAAGTCTTTTCCTATATTTAAATAGGTTGATTGTTTTCTTACTGAGTTTGAGAGTTTCTTATATATTCTGGGTTACAAGTCCTTTGCCTAATATAGAATTTGCTAGTATTTTCTGTCAGTGTGGCTTGTCATTTTATTCTCTTCACAGGTGAATCTTAAAGATTAGAAGTTTTTAATTTTGATGAAGCCTAGTTTATTCATTTTATTCTTTTGTAGAGTGTACTTTTGATGTTGTGTCTACAAAACCTTTGCCTCAAGATTATAAAGATTCTCCTTCTATGTTCTGTTATAGAAGTTTTGTAGTTTTAGATATGTGTATCTATGACCAGTTGATTAAATTTTATATATGGTGGGAGGTTCAGATTGAAAGGCTTTTTTTGGCATGATTGTCCAGTTGTTTCAGTTGTATTTGTTGAAAAACTACGCTTTTCCTACTGAATTGCCTTTTGCCTTTGTGAGAATTCAGTTGTCTATGGATGTATGGATCTATTTCTGGACTCTCAGTACTGTTTCATTGATTTATTTGTGGATTTTGGTGGCAATGACATATTGTCTTGATTACCACAGCTTTATAAAAGACCTGAACTCAGGTTGCAAGAGTTCTTTAGCTTTGTTCTTTTTCAAATATATGTTGGCTGTTGTAGGCCCTTTGCATTTCCATATAACTTAAAATGAGCTTGTCAGTTTTTATAAAATCGTTTGCTTGGGATTTTGATGTGGATTGCATTAATTCTGTAAGTCAATGTGGAAAGGATGGATTCACAGTATTCAGTCTTCTAACCCATGAACATAGTGTTTCTCTTTATTTTTTAGGTGTTTAGTTTCTCTCAGCAATGTTTTCTAGTCCCAGTATTGTGTAGGTTTTTTTTTTTTTTTTTGAGACGGAGTCTCGCTCTGTCGCCAGGCTGGAGTGCAGTGGCGCAATCTCGGCTCACTGCAAGCTCTGCTTCCCGGGTTCACGCCATTCTCCTGCCTCAGCCTCCCAAGTTGCTGGGACCACAGGCACCTGCCACCACGCCCGGCTAATTTTTTTGTATTTTTAGTAGAGACGGGGTTTCACCGTGTTAGCCAGGACAGAATCGATCTCCTGACCTCGTGATCCGCCCACCTCGGCCTCCCAAAGTGCTGGGATTACAGGCGTGAGTCACCGCACCCGGTCTATTGTATAGGTTTTGCTTGTCTTTTGTTAGATTATTTCTAAGAATTTCAGATTATTAAATGGTCTTTTAAAAATATCATTTCTTCTGTATGGGAATATTCAGATTGCTCTTTGCTAGCATGTAGAAATAAGTACAATTGCTTTTTTTTTTAAAAAAAGTGAGCTTCATCTTGTCATACAAATATTTTGTTTTTTCCCCTTCTGTCTCAGGAGGGGACATTTAGGCTCCAGCAGCATCTGCTTTTATGAATAACTGGAATGTGATCTTCTGGCTGTGTTAGTTACTGGCTGTATGAACTGGGGCGAGTGGCTTCACCTTCCTGTGCTGTCTTCTTTTCTGGGGTAGATGAAGATAATGCTTGACTCTCATCTTCTCCTTTCTGGTTCAAATTACTCAGTATCTTCTTAACGTATAGCTCTTTTCATGTCACATTATATGTATAACTTTTGAGTCTGGCTTTTTCTGCTCAGCCTAATCCTCTGGCTATTCATCCAAGTTGTTACATATTACATAGTATGTTCAGTATTCCATCGAATACTCAACCATCGAAGGACATTTGGATTATTTCTAGGTTTTGACTATTACAAATAAAACTGCCATGTCATTCATATACAGGTGAATGTGAAAATTTACTTTACGTGAAAATAAGTTCTTATTTCTTTGGCATAAATGTCCAAGAGTGTGATGGTTGGTCATATGGTAATTATGTTTAGTTTGATAAGAAACTGCCAAGCCGTTTTCCAGAATGGCTGTGCCATTTTATATTCTCATTAGCAGTGGAGGATGATCCAGTTTTTCCCATATCCTCACCATCTTTTTAAAATGTAGCCATACTGATAGATAGGTCATTGTATCTCATTGTGGTTTTAATATTTTCCTTATGGCTAATTATGTTAACCATCTTTTCATGTGCTTATTTACTGTCCATATCTCCTCTTTGGTAAAATATGTCTTCATGCCCTTTTCTAATTGGCTTTTTTTTTTTCTGTTGAGTTTAGAGAGTTCATTATATATTCTAGATGTTTCTAGTCCTTTGGCAGATGTGTGTTATGCAGATATTTTCTCCTGGTCTCTAGCTTGTCTTTTCGTTTCCTTTCATAGAACGAAAGTGTTTAATTTTGATGAAGTCTAATTCATCAGGTTTTTCTTTTATAGATCATACTTTTGGTGTCAAGTCTAAGTATATTTTTGCCTAGTGCTAGTTCCTAAAGACTGTCTCCTATTTTTCTCTAAAAGATTTATAGTTTTGTATTTTCTACTGAAGTCATGATCCATTTGGATTTAATTTTGCATAAGGTGTAGACTTAGGCTGAAGTTTGGGTTTTTTGCCCACAGACGTCCAGTTGCTCCACCACCATATGCCGAAAGGCTGTCCTGCCTCCGAGTTGCTTTTGCACGTTTGTCAACAGTCAGTGAGGCATATTTGTGTGGTTCTGTTTCTGGGTTCTCTGTTTATTCCATTGATTCTTATGCCAGTACCACACAGTTTTGGTTATGGTATTACAACTTTTGAAATTGGGTAGACTCATTCCTCCTCCTTATTTTTCTATTTCTATTCTTGCTCCTTTGCCTTTCCATGTACATTTCAGAATAATCTTGTCTGTTGACAAAAACTCTTGCTGGAATTCTGGTGGGAATTGCATTAAATCTGTGTATCAATTTGGATGAGTTGACATAGACACATGTCCCAGCTCTACTTGGCTCCCTCCTTCTGCTGAGACCTGGGAGTTCACAACGAAGTGAGCCTGATGAGACTTTATTGGTGAACATCTTTTCTCTTTGTTGTTTTGTATTCTTTTTTGTCTTGTCTTACCGGGGTAAGAAAATACAGGTAGTTATTGTAGCATTTTCATAGTTTATATGTATATAACATAAACTGTTGTAAGTGCATTTTATAAAAGCACCTACATCTTTTTGCAGTTACAGTGGAACTATGCTGAAAATAGCTTCTTTATCGAAGTATGGATAAGTGGTTTTCTTATTTTGAAGGCCTATTAATGAGCCTGATAGGTGCTTTGTGAAATAGCAAAATGCAGATTGCAGTGTGTTTTGGAACTAACCTGTAAGGTCAGATTTTATAGAAATAGATCAAACTGTGATTTTAAAAACAATGCAAATTTTATTTTCCTCTTATAGGCGTGCCTTCAGATGCTGATTCTTCTGCTGCCAGTAATAAAATAAGTGGTGCAAGTAATTCTAAGCCAAATCGCCCTTCTCTTGCCAAGATTCTCTTGTCATTGGATGGAAATCTGGCCAAACAGCAGGCCTTATCACATATTCTTACAGCATTGCAAATCATGTATGCCAGGTAGGCTTCTGTGCTAATTTTTGAAATTCTGCAATTATGTGAGCTTCACATTTTTGTGATTTTTTTTCTTTTCGTTGATCAGATGTCTCCAAGAATGTTGTATTATTGTCTTTAAATGCTGTATGTTGTAAGTCACAAGTTCTTTGATGGTGATTGGTGATATCTTAGTGTGTGTCTTAATGGGCATTGAAATATGAATTAGAAAACTAACTTGAACATTTTCACTATTCTTTTTGACCAGTAGACTCGAACCATCAATATTTGGGGGAAGAAAAGAAGAATTAGGTGATACTAATTTATAGTGATGTCTAAGACGACTTAGCATCCCCTTCGCTCACTTGAGAAGGCTGAGTTTTGCCAGTGCGGCATTTTGCAGTATTTTTCTGCTGCTTTCCCACAGCCTAGATAAGTTTCCCATCTACTAATGTATCACACATGTGGACCTGACAGGTGTCCTTACATAGGAAAATTAGTTTCAGAACAAAAACAGTCATTCAGTAGAGGCCATTGAGTCGTTGCTGCTCAGTATGTGGCTTTCAGTAAACACAAAATTGCCTGCTGGTCAATTATCCAGCCCTCAGGCTCTCACAGCAGCCCAAGAGGATTTCTTTCTCAGGGAGAGCCAGAGTCTCATTCTGGTCTGGTTTTTATGTTTGGCAGTTTTTCACCTGCCATTACTCTGGTTTTTCAAATAAATAGGATCCAGAGTAAACATTTTAGCTATTAGCCAAAGGATACATGGTAATAATGTTTGGTAGTTTTCCAAAACTCTTCTACATGTATTCAGTAAAAATGAGGAAACGCCTCAGTGCGTGCTAGCCCTGCCTCTCCACTTCCTGTGCTGCAGTGGAGAAGGGGCAGCTCACCACAGGCCTGGCTTTGTGTCCTGACAGAGATGCTGTTGTCGGGGCCCTGATGCCGGCCGCCATGATCGCCCCGGTGGAGTGCCCCTCGTTCTCCTCGGCGGCCCCTTCCGACGCATCTGCGATGGCTAGTCCCATGAATGGAGAAGAATGCATGCTGGCTGTTGATATCGAAGACAGACTGAGTCCAAATCCATGGCAAGAAAAGAGAGAGGTAAAAGCGAATCTAAAGCAATGTTAGATCAGAAAGGAAAAGGTGGCTACTTTGTGTCTAGGAAAGTCTCATTGTGTCATTTAGTTTAGGCTGTTTCTGTGCCTCCCGCTTAGATTTTTGGCTTTACTTAGAAGAATATTCTCTGTAAAGGAGCTTTTAAAGTGCTTAAGTGGAATTGGCTTTCTTTTATTAAAAAAACCATTAAATCAAGTTCACAGTCCTTTATCTGCAATTCTGAAACCTTAAAGTTCTGACAGTCAAGAATTTTAGTAACATTTTGGGGGAAAGAACCAACTCGAAGATATGTGAACTCATTTTAGTCTGGTTCATGTGACCTGCTGTGAATATTAATAGTTATTCTTGAAAATATGAATGTGCTTGACTTTGCAAAACTGTCCTAGGCCTGACTGGGGGTGGTAGTGGCTATGTCTGGTGGGCACCATGTTACCTCTGTAAAATCTGGAACATTCTAAACAGCCCAAGTAGTTTTAGGTAAAGCATTTGGGACTTGCATAGGAAATGTGTTATGTTGCTGAGTTTTTCCACTTAAACTTCCCCTACTGTGCACTCTTGGACTAGATTGTTTCCTCTGAGGACGCAGTGACCCCCTCTGCAGTGACTCCGTCGGCCCCCTCAGCCTCCGCTCGGCCTTTTATCCCAGTGACGGATGACCTGGGAGCCGCAAGCATCATTGCAGAAACCATGACCAAAACCAAAGAGGTGAAGAGGCGTTCTTCTTTAACTTTGTATTGTGAAATAATCTTAAATGTACACAGAAGTAGAAATAGAACTTAGGAGTGGAACACAGTCTATTCCTATCCCATTCACCTCGGCTGTCCACTTGTTAGCATCTTCGAAGCGTTTGTGGGAATGCCGCAGGACACGGTCCCTGTCACTGCTTACTGCTTCCACGTGTATTCCTTGAGTATCAGGACTGCAGCTTGATCCAGGATTACTTTCAAACCCACAGACATATTCAGATTTTGCTCATCATCCCAATAGTATCCTTAAAGGTCTAGCACTCAACCTAGGATTGCATGTTGCCTCTTTAGTCTTCAGTGTGGAACAGTCCTTCAGTTCTTCGTTTTGACAGACACCACAGGAACGGTGCAGAATTCTTTTCAGTGCCTCCATTAGGACTCACGCATTGCTGATTTGCTGCATCATTGGTGAGATAGCTTATCACTTGGTTAAGGGTCTCTGCCAAGTTTCTCCACTGGAAGTCAGTAAGTGTGTTAAGTACTCATGGGGAGATACTTTTGAGATTATGTCAATGTCTTGTTCCTCATCATACTTTTACCTCCCAGTTTTTAGCATCTTAAAGATTCTAGCTGAATCCATTATTACTGTGGTGGTTGTCACATTTTCATTGTTCACATTTATTGTTACTTCTGGAATGTAATTGTTGCCATTCTTTTGCAAGAGACAGCTTTCCCTTCTCATCCGTCTGTCTTCTACCTACCTACCTACCTGTCTTTTTATATTGTATAGAATCAGGAGTTCCTGTTTTAGTCAAATAGTGACGTTTGTTGCTATCATTATTTGACACCCAAATGGTCCTGGACTTGGTTATTGGGACTCCCATGGACTGGTCACTGGGACTCGGTCACTGGGACTCCCGTGGACTGGTCACTGGGACTCGGTCACTGGGACTCCCGTGGACTGGTCACTGGGACCCGGTCATTGGGACTCCCGTGGACTGGTCATTGGGATCCCTGTGGACTGGTTCCATTGTCTGATGTGTCCCCATAATTTTTAGGGCTCTTCCTTCATTTCTGGCACAACTGTGCTCTAGACTTATCTTTCACCTACCCTCCCCCTGCCTGGAATCAGCCATTTCTTCAAGAAGCCATGGTTCCTGCTAGTGGCTTGTAGGATTTGGAAACCGAGATCTGGGTGCTTGGTAAGCTAATTGTTACTGAGTGTCTTTGGTTAGGCCCTCTCAGCAAATAGACCTATACACATGAACATTTATTTATCCTTCTGCATTTATCTATATAATAAAAACCATTAACAGCCCAAATCAGTACTTTTAATTCCAATCCAGTACCACAGGGCTTATTCCTACTCTCCCTTTTTCCATATTTTTTTGGTGTATAATGCTTTTATATGTTGCTAGATTTGGTTTGCTGCTATTTTGTTGAAGATTTTTACATCTGTATTCATAAGGGATACGGCTCTGTAGTTTTCTTGTGATGTCTTTGGTTTGGATATTATAGCAATATTGGCTTCATAGATTGAGTTGGAGGGTGTGCCTTTCTCTTCTGTTTTTTAGAAGAGTTGGTGAAGCATTCGGGTTAATTCTTCTTTAAGTAGTTGGTAGAATTTTATGTGTTCTTCTGGCATATTCCCATCATTCTTTGAGTATTTCCTTACTTTTTGGCACAACACAAAATTCCAGGCTCAATAAGATGTTTTATGCTCCAACATAGGAATCAGTTGTGTTTCTGAGAAGTCCTAGTTCTTTCTGGTGGAGAAGGGCATTTAGAGGTCAAGATCTGGGCCCTTTGTGTGCTTGTTGCTGTTTGGGTGACAGGGCTAGAGAATGAATATGTGTGTGTGTAACATAATAGGTACATACATCAGTTTTTGTTTTTGTTTTGTTTTTAGACAGGGTCTTGTTCTGTTGCCCAGGCTGCAGTAGAGTGGCACGATCTTGGCTCACTGCAGCCTCAACCTCCTGGTCTCAAGCCATCCTCAGCCTCCCAAGTAGCTGGAACTACAAGCATGCACCACCATACCTGGCTAATTTTTGTATTTTTTTTTTTCTCTTTTTTTTTCAGAGATAGGTTTTGCCATGTTGCCCAGGCTGGTCTTGAACTCCTGGGCTCAAGTGATCTGCCTGCCTCATCCTCTCAAAGTGCTGGGATTACAGGCATGAGCCACCGTGTTTGGCCTACATCAGTATTTGTGTTGTTATATATTTACGTACATGGAAAACCACCGGTTCACACCAATATGATTGATTGTAACCCAACTAAGATTCATTCTAGTTTTCACCCTTTCTGTATTTATAACTTCCTTCTCTGAAAGTGGGAAACCTGGCTCCTGTCATCAGCAGGCTATTTACTTACAGTTCAGTCCCCTTAGATAACCAACCTCCGATCTTGGCTGTCCCCCACTCCGTGGTGGGCACCTTTCTTCCTCTGTACATCCTCTGGCACTCAGAACCAGTCTGCCTCCATGGTCCTCCATGGTCACCCTACGTGACCTCTGGCCCTCCCCTCACCTCCATGTTGACCCAGAGTGTGGCACCTTCCTCACTTGGCCTGGCTGTGTCTCTCCAACCCCCCATGTGTGGATGCCTTCCCCAGCCCGCTGAGGCGCTCCCCACACCAGGCCAGCCCCTGCTCATGTGTACTCCCTTGCCAGCCTTTCCACCTTGAGGGCAAACACTTTATTTTTAATTACATTTGGAACCCTTGATTTATTATGCTGTTACTGCTGGCAGAAAATATGTCCTACAGAAATTATTTATAACCATCCATGGTAGTAAGAAAGCCTCTATTTATGAATTAGGTGCCTGGAATCAACTTCTAATTTTTGGCAGTCTCCTGGTTTGAGGGTTTAATGCAGAACTTATTCTGAGGAAGGCAACATTTTTGTTTTAGGTAAAAGGATAATATGATTTATTTCCCCCCAATTTATTTATGAGACATAGGCATTATCCAGGTTGCAACCCTGTATTTCTATTATTTCAGTTTTGGCTTGACTCATGAATTTAAGGCAAAGCAATTTTAATGTTAGTATTAAGCTATAATTCATATTTAAGGATATGCCGCTAGTGATTTTCTTCCTTAGCAATTCTTCTAGACATATTTTCTGTGTTTGTGTGTGTGCATGTTTTAAGACACCCTCATAAAAAAAAATGGTAGGTACATTTCAATCTCAAGACTAAAGATATTCTTGTTAATATGTTTCACTGAATGCTTTTGCTGTCCTTCAGTGAGTTATGTTCTGGAATGTCATCATTTATAATGAATTTCCCTTACTCCTTGTGTCTCCATGCAGAGGCAGGAGCAAGGTCTGTTTCCCAAAAGGGAGAGGAACCTTGTTCCTAAATCAGAGTGGTGTGGTTTCCAGGGTCCACTGGTTGGGTCATTTTCCCCTTAAGGGGAACATGTGGGGCTGTCCTTCCCCCAGCCTGTTTATGTTTGTGGAAAGAGTTGCACTGGATTTGCTGAGGTCCAGAAAGCAGGAGAGAAAAGCGGCACTTCCCTGGCTCTCGATCTTCCTCTGGGGAGCCAGACTCTGCCTGGGGAATGAGAAGGGCTTGACACACTCCTGCTCTGCACAGGGTCACAGCGGTTCCCATGCTGGGTCGGAAGCGGTGGGAGTCCCTGGCACTGACAAGGGCCTTTCCCGTTTCCACAAGCTCAGCCCCAGTGCTGCCCTCCAGGAGGCTTCTGTGTGCCAACAAGCAGGGTGGGGGCGGCCATCCTGGGCAAGGCACCTCCATAGGGTGGGAGCTGGGGGTGCAGTGATGCTGGGAATTGGCTCATAGCAAACAAGGAGAGGAGTTGAAGGATCAAGATGTGGTATGTTTAGGCTGACATGGCAGGAATGGGAAGTACACGAGTGGTAATGAGAAGACTTTTATGTATGATGTTTTCAATGAACCCAAGGAGAGAGAGAGACTGGATAGTGTGTTAATGCCAGTGAGTTGCTTGAAATAAGATTCCAGGAAAGAATTATGGAGAGGATCTAGACAAAATGTATACAATTAGAGAATACAAATTTAGTTTGTAAACGATTCCCTAGCGTATCTTATGGGTAGATTATACAGGATGCAGCTTCATTCCAAAACTCCCCCTGTAGTATCTGCTTATGATCCAAACTTGGTCCCAGTAATAAATTGTCATTTCTTTATAGCTTAAGTCATCCCTTTTTGATAAATGCCATTGGTAATACAACAGTTAATTGGTCTTGAAAACATAGTACATGGCTTGGTGGAGATTTTAGGGGCCGTCGTTTCTTAATCTGTTTCTTAAGGTCTTAAACACCTTCAGGTTTCTTACTCGTTGGTATTCATGTGTTCTCTGAGTTTATGGGTAAACTGGTGACTCTTTATCTCTTAGCATATCATTCCTCATGTTAATTGTTGGATGTCATTTGACTTAGGATGTTGAAAGCCAAAATAAAGCAGCAGGTCCGGAGCCTCAGGCCTTGGATGAGTTCACCAGTCTGCTGATTGCGGATGACACTCGTGTGGTGGTAGACCTGCTCAAGCTGTCAGTGTGCAGCCGGGCCGGGGACAGGGGCAGGGATGTGCTCTCCGCGGTGCTTTCCGGCATGGGGACCGCCTACCCACAGGTGAGTCTCAGGGAGGGCGGGGCCGTCTGATTCCACCTCCTCCATGTTGGGCCACCCTCCTCTCCAAAGGAGAGCTGCTATGGATCACCGGTGATCTTGTGCTGGGTTTCATCCTAGTAGACTGCAGGTTAGGAGCACTCCTTTAGAGCAAAACGTTTTAGCATTTAACCCAGTGACATCCTTTACCTGTTTTTTGTTTTTTTGAGACGGAGTCTCGCTCTGTCGCCCAGGCTAGAGTGCAGTGGCGCCATCTCGACTCACTGCAAGCTCTGCCTCCTGGGTTCACACCATTCTCCTGCCTCAGCCTTCCAAGTAGCTGGGACTACAGGTGCCCACCACCATGCCCGGCTAATTTTTTTTGTATTTTTAGTAGAGTCGGGGTTTTACCATGTTAGCCAGGATGGTCTTGATCTCCTGACCTCGTGATCCACCTGCCTCAGCCTCCCAAAGTGCTGGGATTACAGGAGTGAGCACCAAACCTGGCCCCTTTACCTGTTTTATAACTGATTTGTGCATCTTTTTAAAATGATTTGTCAAAGTTCTTTAAGTCCCTTTTCTATCATATGTCTTACAGTTTCCACCCCAGTTTATTTTTTGATATTAGTTTGATATTTTTTGCCATGTAGAAATTTTTAATTATTATGTGGTCAAATCTGTCAGTTTTTTTCATTTATGCCTTCTGAGTTTTGTATTATGCTGAAAAAAAAATGCTTGCTTATGTGACATTGTTTTAAATAAATTCTTCCAAGTTTTCGTCTAAGGTTTTTGAGACAGTCTCCTTCACCCGGGCTGGAGTGCGGTGGCGCAATCTCAGCCTCCCAGGATCACCTCTACCTCCCGGGATCAGGTGATTCTTGTGCCTCAGCTTCCTGAGTAGCTGGGATTACAGGCATGCGCCACGATGCCTGGCTAATTTTTGTATTTTTAGTTGAGATGGGGTTTCACCATGTTGGCCCGGCTGGTCTGGAACTGCTGACCTCAAGTGATCTACCCACCTTGGCCTCCCAAAGTGCTTGGGATTACAGGCATGAGCCACCATGCCCGGCCTTCTTCTAATTTTTTATGATTTCATGTATTGTTTACATTTTTTAGCCACCTGGGATTTATTTTGATGTAAGAATAAAGTAGGTATCCAACTTTACTTTTTTTCCTAGATGGTAAACCGGTTGCCCTAACATCATTTATTGAATAACTCATCTTTTCCCTGGTGATTTAAAAACCAGTTTTATCATATTCTAAATTCCTGTATGCATTTGGGTCTATTTACAAAACTTCTTAGGTTCTGATACTATGGTATTTTAACTATTACAG
This sequence comes from Homo sapiens, assembly GCF_000001405.40. Classification (NCBI taxonomy): domain Eukaryota; kingdom Metazoa; phylum Chordata; class Mammalia; order Primates; family Hominidae; genus Homo; species Homo sapiens. The sequence continues at coordinate 28,161,782 of NC_000015.10, read as the reverse complement.
CTTTAAAATGTCTTTTAATATTTGGTAGCACTGGGTCTGTAGGACTTTGTCATTGTGGAAATGTTCTGGACCGGAGCCATCTGGGACCATTGGCACCAGCCACATATGGCCACTGCACACTGAAATATGGCTAGTGCACCTGAGGAACTGAAGGTTTTAAAACACTCAACTTGAGGCACATGTGGCTAGTAGCTGCTGAATTGGTCTGTAGGTCTGCAGTATAAAGTGAGCGTCTTACTAGTATGTCTTAGAAATAGGACTGATCAGTCGTAAAGGCCGTGGGCTTCCTTAAGAACTCTTCTTTATCAGCAGCCATGCTCTGCCCTGCCAGGGAGCCTGAGATGTCCTTCCTGGCTGCAGACACTTCATCCGTTTCTCTGGGTGCCTACTTTGTGTGGAGGAAAGTCTTACTCTGTCACTTAGTTTAGGCAGTTTCTGTGCCTATTAGGATTTTTGGCTTTAGTTAGAAGAATATTCTCTTTAAAGGAACTTCTGAAGTTTTTAAGTAGAATTATATTTAAAAAAAAAATCATTAAATGTAAGTTCATACTCCTTTATCTGAAATTCTGAAACGTTAAAGCTCTGATGGTCAGAAATTTTAGTAACTTACATGATCACCAAAACGATAAAGTACTTAAGTAGAGTTGAGCAGTCTTGAAAGCGCAGCAGAGTTTGGTAGATATTTTAGGGGCTTGTTATTTCTTCATCTGCTATTCATGAAGAACTAAAAAGCTGTAGGTATCCTTTTTTCTAGTTTTTTGAGACAAGTTACTTGGCATAATTCTAAGAGATGAAATCAAGGTGAATTACCATAAGCACTATTATTATTTTTCATAAGTTTATTGCATTTGTGAGAGGGAAGGGTATGAATGAGAACTTTGATTTAAAATAATGCTGAGCGGGGGGCGGTGCCAAGATGGCTGAATAGGAACAGCTCCAGTCTACAGCTCCCAGTGTGAGCAACGCAGAAGATGGGTGATTTCTGCATTTCCAACTGAGATACCAGGTTCATCTCACTGGGGCTTGTCGGACAGCGGGTGCAGGACAGTGGGTGCAGTGCACCGAGCATGAGCTGAAGCAGGGCGAGGCATCGCCTCACCTGGGAAGCACAAGGGGTCAGGGAATTCCCTTTCCTAGCCAAGCAAAGCTGTGACAGAAGGCACCTGGAAAATTGGGTCACTCCCACCCTAATACTGTGCTTTTCCAACGGTCTTAGCAAATGGCACACCAGGAGATTATATCTCGCGCCTGGCTCGGAGGGTCCCACGCCCACGGAGCCTCGCTCATTGCTAGCACAGCAGCCTGAGATCGAACTACAAGGCAGCAGCCAGGCTGGGGGAGGGGCGTCCACCGTTGCTGAGGCTTGAGTAGGTAAACAAAGCGGCCCGGAAGCTGAAACTGGGTGGAGCCCACCGCAGCTCAAGGAGGCCTGCCTGCCTCTATAGACTCCACCTCTGGGGGCAGGCCATAGCCGAACAAAAGGCAGCAGAAACCTCTGCAGACTTAAATGTCCCTGTCTGACAGCTTTGAAGAGAGTAGTGGTTCTCCCAGAACGGAGTTTGAGACCTGAGAATGGACAGACTGCCTCCTCAAGTGGGTCCCTGACCCCCGAGTAGCCTAACTGGGAGGCACCCCCCAGTAGGAGCAGACTGACACCTCACACGGCCGGGTACCCCTCTGAGACAAAACTTCCAGAGGAACGATCAGACAGCAACATTTGCTGTTCAGCAATATTCGCTGTTCTGCAGCCTCCGCTGCTGATACCCAGGCAAACAGAGTCTGGGAGTGGACCTCCAGCAAACTCCAACAGACCTGCAGCTGAGGGTCCTGACTGTTAGAAGGAAAACTAACAAACAGAAAGGACATCTACACCAAAACCCCATCTGTACATCACCATCATCAAAGACCAAAGGTAGATAAAACCACAAAGATGGAGAAAAAACAGAGCAGAAAAACTGAAAATTCTAAAAATCAGAGCATCTCTCCTCCTCCAAAGGAACGCAGCTCCTCACCAGCAATGGAACAAAGCTGGAAGGAGAATGACTTTGATGAGCTGAGAGAGGAAGGCTTCAGACGATCAAACTTCTCCGAGCTAAAGGAGGAAGTTCGAACCCATTGCAAAGAAGTTAAAAACCTTGAAAAAAGATTAGACGAATGGCTAACTAGAATAACCAATGCAGAGAAGTCCTTAAAGGAGCTGATGGAGCTGAAAACCATGGCATGAGAACTACGTGACAAATGCACACACTTCAGTAGCCAATTCGATCACCTGGAGGAAGGGGTATCAGTGATTGAAGATCAAATGAATGAAATGAAGCGAGAAGTTTAGAGAAAAAAGAATAAAAAGAAATGAACAAAACCTCCAAGAAATATGGGACTATGTGAAAAGACCAAATCTATGACTGATTGGTGCACCTGAAAGTGATGGGGAGAATGGAACCAAGTTGGAAAACACTCTGCAGGATATTATCCAGGAGAACTTCCCCAATCTAGCAAGGCAGGCCAACATTAAAATTCAGGAAGTACAGAGAATGCCACAAAGATACTCCTCGAGAAGAGCAACTCCAAGACACATAATTGTCAGATTCACCAAAGTTGAAATGAAGGAAAAAATGTTAAGGGCAGCCAGAGAGAAAGGTCGGGTTACCCACAAAGGGAAGCCCATCAGACTAACAGCGGATCTCTGGGCAGAAACTCTACAAGCCAGAAGAGAGTGGGGGCCAATATTCAACATTCTTAAAGAGAAGAATTTTCAACCCAGAATTTCATATCCAGCCAAACTAAGCTTCATAAGTGAAGGAGAAATAAAATCCTTTACAGACAAGCAAATGCTGAGAGATTTTGTCACCACCAGGCCTGCCCTAAAAGAACTCCTGAAGGAAGCACTAAACATGGAAAGGAACAACCGGTACCAACCACTGCAAAAACATGCCAAATTGTAAAGACCATCAATGCTAGGAAGAAACTGCATCAACTAACGAGCAAAATAACCAGCTAACATCATAATGACAGGATCAAATTCACACATAATAATATTAACCTTAAATGTAAGTGGGCTAAATGCTCCAATTAAAAGACACAGACTGGCAAATTGGATAAAGAGTCAAGACCCATCAGTGTGCTGTATTCAGGAAACCCATCTCATGTGCAGAGACACACATAGGCTCAAAATAAAGGGATGGAGAAAGATCTACCAAGCAAATGGAAAACAAAAAAAGGCAGGAGTTGCAATCCTAGTCTCTGATAAAACGGACTTTAAACCACCAAAGATCAAAAGAGACAAAGAAGGCCATTACATAATGGTAAAGGGATCAATTCAATAAGAAGAACTAACTATCCTAAATATCTATGCACCCAATAAAGGAGCACCCAGATTCATAAAGCAAGTCCTTAGAGACCCACAAAGAGACTTCGACTCCCACACAATAATAATGGGAGACTTTAACACCCCACTGTCAACATTAGACAGATCCATGAGACAGAAAGTTAACAAGGATATCCAGGAACTGAACTCAGCTCTGCATCAAGCCAACCTAATAGACATCTACAGAACTCTCCACCCCAAATCAATAGAATATACATTCTTCTCAGCACCACACCGCACTTACTCCAAAATTGACCACATAGTTGGAAGTAAAGCACTCCTCAGCAAATGTAAAATAACAGAAATTATAACAAACTGTCTCTCAGACCATAGTGCCATCAAACTAGAACTCAGGATTAAGAAACTCACTCAAAACTGCTCAACTACATGGAAACCGAACAACCTGCTCCTGAATGACTAGTGGGTACATAACGAAGGCAGAAATAAAGTTGTTCTTTGAAACCAACGAGAACAAAGACACAACATACCAGAATCTCTGGGACACATTTAAAGCAGTGTGTAGAGGGAAATTTATAGCACTAAATGCCCACAAGAGAAAGCAGGAAAGATCTAAAATTGACACCCTAACATCACAATTAAAAGAACTAGAGAAGCAAGAGCAAACACATTCAGAAGCTAGCAGAAGGCAAAAAATAACTAAGATCAGAGCAGAACTAAAGGAGATAGAGACACAAAAAACCCTTCAAAAAATCAATGAAGCCAGGAGCTGGTTTTTTGAAAAGATCAACAAAATTGATAGATCTCTAGCAAGACTAATAAGAAAAGAGAGAAGAATCAAGTGGATGCAATAAAAAATGATAAAGGGGATATCACCACTGATTCCATAGAAGTACAAACTACCATCAGAGAATACTACAAACACCTCTACACAAATAAACTAGAAAATCTAGAAGAAATGGATAAATTCCTGGACACATACACCCACCCAAGACTAAACCAGGAAGAAGTTGAATCTCTGAATAGACCAGTAACAGGCTCTGAAATGGAGGCAATAATTAATAGCTTACCAACCAAAAAAAGTCCAGGACCAGATGGAATCACAGCTGAATTCTGTCAGAGGTACAAAGAGGAGCTGGTACCATTCCTTCTGAAACTATTCCAATCAATAGAAAAAGAGGGAATCCTCCCTAACTCATTTTATGAGGCCAGCACCATCCTGATACCAAAGCCTGGCAGAGACACAACAAAAAGAATTTTACACCAATATCCCTGATGAACATTGATGCAAAAATCCTCAATAAAATACTGGCAAACCGAATCCAGCAGCACATCAAAAAGCTTATCCACCATGATCAAGTGGGCTTCATCCCTGTGATGCAAGGCTGATTCAACATATGCAAATCAATAAACGTAATCTAGCATATAAACAGAACCAAAGTCAAAAACCACATGATTATCTCAATAGATGCAGAAAAGGCCTTTGACAAAATTCAACAGCCCTTCATGCTAAAAACTCAACAAATTCAGTATTGTTGGGATGTATCTCAAAATAATGAGCTATTTATGACAAACCCACAGCCAATATCATACTGAATGGGCAAACACTGGAAGCATTCCCTTTGAAAACTGGCACAAGACAGGGATGCCCTCTCTCACCACTCCTGTTCAACATAGTGTTGGAAGTTCTGGCCAGGGCAATCAGGCAGGAGAAAGAAATAAAGGGTATTCAATTAGAACAAGAGGAAGTCAAATTGTCCCTGTTTGCAGATGACATGATTGTATATCTAGAAAACCCCATCGTCTCAGCCTAAAATCTCCTTAAGCTGATCAGCAACTTCAGCAAAGTCTCAGGATACAAAATCAATGTGCAAAAATCACAAGCATTCTTATACATCAATAACAGACAAACAGCAAAATAATGAGTGAAATCCCATTCACAATTGCTTCAAAGAAAATAAAATACCTAGGAATCCAACTTACAAGGGATGTGAAGGACCTCTTCAAGGAGAACTACAAACCACTGCTCAATAAAATAAAAGAGGATACAAACAAATGGAATAACATTCCATGCTCATGGATAGGAAATCGTGAAAATGGCCATACTGCCCAAGGTGATTTATAGATTCAATGCCATCCCCATCAAGCTACCAATGACTTTCTTCACAGAATTGGAAAAAACTACTTTAAAGTTCATTTGGAACCAAAAAAGAGCCCGCATTGCCAAGTCAATCCTAAGCCAAAAGAACAAAGCTGGAGGCATCACGCTACCTGACCTCAAACTATACTACAAAGCTACAGTAACCAAAACAGCATGGTACTGGTACCAAAACAGAGATATAGACCAATGGAACAGAACAGAGCCCTCAGAAATAATACCACACATCTACAACTATCTGATCTTTGACAAACCTGACAAAAACGAGAAATGGGGAAAGGATTCCCTATTCAACAAATGGTGCTGGGAAAACTGGCTAACCATGTGTAGAAAGCTGAAACTGGATCCCTTCCTTACACCTTACACAAAAATTAATTCAAGATGGGTTAAAGACTTAAATGTTAGACCTAAAACCATAAAAACCCTAGAAGAAGACCTAGGGAATACCATTCAGGACATAGGTATGGGCAAGGACTTCATGTCTCAAACACCAAAAGCAATGGCAACAAAAGCCAAAATTGACAAATGGGATCCAATTAAACTAAAGAGCTTCTGCACAGCAAAAGAAACTACCATCAGAGTGAACAGGCAACCTACAGAATGGGAGAAAATTTTTGCAATCTACTCATCTGACAAAGGTCTAATATCCAGAATCTACAAAGAACTCAAAGAAATTTACAAGAAAAAAACAACCCCATCAACAAGTGGGCGAAGGATATGAACAGACACTTCTCAAAAGAAGACATTTATGCAGCCACCAGACACATGAAAAAATGCTCATCATCACTGGCCATCAGAGAAATGCAAATCAAAACCACAATAAGATACCATCTCACACCAGTTAGAATGGCGATCGTTAAAAAGTCAGGAAACAACAGGTGCTGGAGAGGATGTGGAGAAATAGGAGCACTTTTACACTGTTGGTGGGAGTGTAAACTAGTTCAACCACTGCGGAACACAGTGTGGCGATTCCTCAGGGATCTAGAACTAGAAATACCATTTGACCCAGCCATCCCATTACTGGGTATATACCCAAAGGATTATAAATCATGCTGCTATAAAGACACATGCACACATATGTTTATTGTGGCACTATTCACAATAGCAAAGACTTGGAACTAACCCAAATGTCCAACAATGATAGACTGGATTAAGAAAATGTGGCATATATACACCATGGAATACTATGCAGCCATAAAAAAGGATGAGTTCATGTGCTTTGTAGGGATATGGATGAGCTGGAAACCATCATTCTCAGCAAACTATCACAAGGACAAAAAAACCAAACACTGCATGTTCTCACTTATAGGTGGGAATTGAACAATGAGAACACTTGGACACAGGAAGGGGAACATCACACACCAGGGCCTGTTTTGGGGTGGGGGGAGGGGGGAGGGATAGCATTAGGAGATATACCTAATGTAAATGATGAGTTAATGGGTGCAGCACAACAACATGGCACATGTGTACATATGTAACAAACCTGCACGTTGTGCACATGTACCCTAGAACTTAAAGTATAATAAAAAAATATATATATAAAATAATGCTGAGCATTTGCCATGCACATCCCCACATTCTCAGTAGAGAGGGTAGGGGTTACCTTTATATATGGATGAGGAAACTGAGGCTGAGAGGTTACTGCTGGCTTGAGGACACTCACTTTGCTGGTAGGTGGAAGAGATGGGTTGGAACCCTGAGTGTCTGAGCCCCAGCTCCATCATGACCCCTCTGCAGATGATGTGCTTGGCAGAGCAACCTTCTGAAGGCCAGAGCCCCTGATCGACTCTGCACATGGGCGCTTGATGATGCCAACATCTGCTTTCAGTTACTCAGCCAGGTTCCAGGAGAGACAAGAATAAGGATACGGCCGTTTTCAAACTGCCCTTGCCAGGTTGGCAAGATGGCTATTTCTGTGTCCTGCCCTGACCTGATATTTGGGACTCAAAAAGAGAGACAAATTTAGATTTAAAATCATGCCTATGTGACAATGATATTAGTTTGTTAATATATAATATTTACTAAGCAAAGCTATTTCTTACCTAAATATGAGGAATAATAGAAAAAAGAATAATCTATTTCTAAAAAGTATAGAATGGGCATTAGAAGAGTTTTATTTTTTCTGGATTAAAAATGTTGGGGTTAATAGATTATTGCTGTTATGATGTATTCTCTCATTTATTTTTAAAAATAACAGAGTTTATAATCACCACTCTTAACCTTAATCGTAAAAGATGTGAATCATCAATAAGTTTTAAAATAAAATAAGAACACTGTGGATTGTTGAGAATGTGGTATGGGTCTGACCCCTAGTGTACTGGGTCAGCAGGGGCAGCTGTGTTGGGGTCGGCGGTCCCTCCTGTCACAGACTCTCCCTGTCTCTGTCTGGCCTGAGCGGCTTGATGGTTCCTGATTCCCGCCCCTCCCACCGGGCTCCGTTGCCTTCTAGGATTGTGGTCATTTTCACCTACTGGGTGCTCCTTCCCTTGATGTTTTTGTTTCCGAGGCCAACTTTCCTCACTAGGAAGTAATCTTGTCTTGGTGTAAAATGAAGCTATTGTCACCACGGTGTTTCATTTTATCAGCTGGCACATATTAAGTGTTGTGTGTGTTGGGAGCCTTCCAACTACTTTTTTTTCTTTTTCTTTTTTCGAGACAGAGTCTCTCTCTGTCGCTCAGGCTGGAGTGCAGTGGTGCAGTCTCAGCTCACTGCAACCTTCACCTCCTGAGTTTAAGCGATTCTCCTGCCTCAGCCTCCTGGGTAGGTGGGACTACAGGCACGGGCCACCATACCCAGCTAATTGTATTTTTAGTAGAGACGGGGTTTCACCGTACTGGCCAGGCTGGTCTTGAACTCCTGACCTCCAGTGATCTGCCTGCCTCGACCTCCCAAAGTGCTTGTATTACAAGTGTGAGCCACTGCGCTCCACCCAATGACTTTTTTTGTTTGAGACGCAGTCTCGCTCGGGTCACCCAGGCTGGAGTGCAACGGTGTGATCTCGGCTCACCGCAACCTCTGCCTCCCAGGTTCAAGTGATTCTCCTGCCTCAGCCTCCTGAGTAGCTAGGATTACAGGCATGCACCACCACGCCCAACTAAGTTTTTATTTTTAGTAGAGATGGGGTTTCTCCATGTTGGTCAGGCTGATCTCGAACTCCTGACCTCAGGTGATCCGCTTGCCTCGGCCTTCCAAAGTGCTGGGATTCCAGGCGTGAGCCACCGTGCCTGGCCCCAACGACTTTTTAACATAGATCATCCCTAAGCTTCACAGCATCTTACAGGCTCTGTGCTGTCTCTGTTTTATGTGCAAGGAAGCCAAGCCCTGATTTGAACTCAATTTCTCAAACTCCAAGCCCTCCACTCTGCCACGCTGTCCTTGTGGAGCTCCTGAGCAGGACGGGCAGAGGTGGCATGCAGGTGACCAGGTGTGGGGCTGTTGGCCCCCTCATTCATGTCCTTGCTTCCTCTCCAGGTGGCAGATATGCTGTTGGAGCTCTGTGTCACCGAGTTGGAGGATGTGGCCACAGACTCGCAGAGCGGCCGCCTCTCTTCTCAGCCTGTGGTGGTGGAGAGTAGCCACCCTTACACCGACGACACCTCCACCAGTGGCACAGTGAAGATACCAGGTACAGGGGCTGGCCCCAGCGGGGAGCTGCAGCCTTTCCCACCTTCAGAATGATGTGATTCTGTAATTGCTTCAGTAGAAACAACCATCTCCATTTTATAAAAAGAAGTTACAGAATTGCTTTAGAATCACTTTTCTCCCCTTTTCTAACAAACTACTTTTGCACAATAAATCATGATATAGAAAGTCACACAAAGTAAATGTTTAGCTTCATGATAATCAGGCAGATGCCCTAGTCATCATGACCCAAGTCTAGACCTAACCTGTGGCAAATTCTGGAAGCCCTCAGTGTATCCCCTGATGTTCCTCTGAGTGATGCTGTCCTGATATTGATCCATCACTGACTTGCATTTCTGGACAGCTTCTGTTACCCACGTGTATATCTTTTGTTTTTAACAACTCAACAAAAATTATTAAGAAGAAAATTGTTGAGGCCCCGGCCTTTGATCTGGCGGGCTTCACTGCAGCCTGGATCTGCTGACTGGACACGTGTGCTGCTGTTCAGTGTGTTCCTCAGGCCCGTCCTTCTGCAAGGTGCTGCCCGATTCGGAGGCCCATAAGTTCCGCCCCTTTTGCCAGCTCCTTAGTGGTTGTGACTCAGCCTCAGCAGGCACCTCCTGCCTGCCTGTCTTTGCTTTGTGACATCAGCAGTCCCTGAGGCTTATTAGCACCCGAGGCTATTGGCCCATGAGGGGCTACAAATGGTGCTATTCTAGTGGAATCATTTCTTGCTTATTTGTTAGCTGGAATACTTTCCTGTAAAGAGGCATTTCCCTTCATCCTGTAGTTAGTTGTTCAAGGTGCTGTTTGCCTGAGAAAGACAAGATAAAAGCTTGATTCTTTCTTCCATTTACCAGAGAATGAATTGGTTTCCTATTATTTCTTGAAGGTGACCTGTTTTTTTTTTTAATGTTATTATGAACTCATGGCTTGGAACATATGTGATTGTTTTACTCTATTGTTATTATCTTTGTTGAAGCTGAGATTATCCTGTTTCTAGACAGTGGCAGCCTCTTCAGTGTAGCTCCCGAAGTGATTCTGGTAGTCTTCAGTAGCGTCCAGGCAGTCTACACAAGGTGTCCTCGGTTTTTTGTAGGTTGCCACTCTTCACCTGGGGTCTGCCCTGGATTCTTTTGAGTTCATACTGATACTTAAAAATTTTTTCCTTTTATTTATTTTTTATATTTTATTTATGTATTTATTTGTTTAGAGATAGGATCTTGCTCTGTCATCCAGGCTGGAGTGCAGTAGTGCAATTATAGCTCACTGTAGCCTCGAATTCCTGGGCTCAAGTGATCCTCCTGCCTCAGCCTCCTGAGTAGCTAGGAGTACAGACACATGCCACCTTGCCTGGCTAATATGCTGATTCCTTCTACTCAAATTCAAAAGTATGGGGTCTGTACTTCTTCTGTTACATCTGTCTCTCCTTTCTTCCATATCAAATCCTGGTTCCAAGAGTGTTTGATAAAATATCTCATGATTTTTCATTTGCTTTACATAACCACATTTCATACACGACAGACTTAGGATATAATTTCAATACTGCCAACATCAGTATAATTACTGAAATTCTTAAAAATCTTAGAATATGCCCTAATTTTCTCGAATTTATTAAAATAATTATACTGCATCTACAAGAGCATAATAGCTGTTACATACTATACTTTCTTTCAGTCTTCAAGTCTTAGTTTTACTGACTGGTCCTCGTGGGGTCTGAAGTGGACTCTAGTGAATTCCTCATTAGTCCCTGAGATCAGACTTGTCCATGAGAGTTTTTGTCCTTCAAATTTGAAAGGTAGTTTTTCTGGATATTAAAGCCTTGGATCATGTCTTTTTCCTCTGTGAAAGTATGATAATGATAACATCTTTTCCCCTTAGAAGTCACGTGTGTTTTTTCAGTAATTTTACTAGAATATACGTTCGTGTGGCCATTCTCGGTGATGTTCTCGGTTAGTTAGAAGCCGCGTGTGTTTTTTCTGTAATTTCACTAGAATGTCTGTGTGGCCGTTGTTGGTGATGTTCTTGGTTAGGAGCCGTGTGTGTTTTTTTGGTAATTTCACTAGAATGTACGTTCGTGTGGCCATTCTCGGTGATGTTCTTGGTTAGAAGCCGCGTGTGTTTTTTTCGGTGATTTCACTAGAGTATACGTTCATGTGGCTGTTCTCGGTGATATTCTCGGTTAGAAGCTGCGTGTGTTTTTTTGGTAATTTCACTAGAATGTACGTTCGTGTGGCCGTTGTCGGTGATGTTCTCGGTTAAGCCAGTGTGTGTTTTTCGGTAATTTTACTAGAATGTGGGTTCATTCGGCTGTTCTCGGTGATGTTCTCTGTTAGAAGCCGCGTGTTTTTTCAGTAATTTTACTAGAATATACATTCGTGTGGCCGTCCTCAGTGATGTTCTCGGTTAGAAGCCGCGTGTGTTTCTTCGGTAATTTTACTAGAACGTACGTTCATGTGGCCATTCTCGGTGATGTTCTCGGTTAGCAGCCGCGTGCGTTTTTTTCGTGATTTCACTAGAATGTGCATTTGTGCGGCTATTCTCAGTGATGTTCTCGGTTAGGAGCCGTGTGTGTTTTTCGGTAATTTTACTAGAATGTGCGTTTGTGTGGCCGTTCTAGGTGATGTTCTTGGTTAGAAGTCACGTGTGTTTTTTTGGTAATTTTACTAGAATGTGTGTTCGTGTGGCCGTTCTCGGTGATGTTCTCGGTTAGGAGCCGTGTGTGTTTTTTGGTAATTTTACTAGAATGTGCGTTCGTGTGGCTGTTCTTGGTGATGCTCTTGGTTAGAAGTCGCATGTGTTTTTTTGGTAATTTTACTAGAATGTGCGTTCGTGTGGCTGTTCTCGGCGATGTTCTTGGTTAGAAGTCACGTGTGTTTTTTCGGTGATTTTACTAGAATATACATTGGTGTGACCGTTCTTGGTTGGAAGTCGCGTGTGTTTTTTCGGTAATTTTACTAGAACGTGCGTTCATGTGGCCATTCTAAGTGATGTTCTCGGTTAGAAGTTGCATGTATTTTTTCGGTAATTTTACTAGAATGTACGTTCGTGCAGCCGTTCTCGGTGATGTTCTCGGTTAGGAGCCGCGTGTGTTTTTTTGGTAATTTTACTAGAACGTATGTTGGTGTGGCCATTCTCGGTGACGTTCTCGGTTAGGAGCCGCGTGTGTTTTTTTGGTAATGTTACTGGAATGTATGTTGGTGTGGCCGTTCTCGGTGACGTTCTCGGTTAGGAGCCGCATGTGTTTTTTTGGTAATTTTACTAGAATGTATGTTGGTGTGGCCGTTCTCGGTGACGTTCTCGGTTAGGAGCCGCGTGTGTTTTTTTGGTAATTTTACTAGAATGTATGTTGGTGTGGCCATTTTCGGTGATGTTCTCAGGAGCTGCGTGTGTTTTTTCGGTAATTTTACTAGAACACGTGTTCGTGTGGCCATTTTCGGTGATGTTTTCAGTTAGGAGCTGCGTGTATTTTTCGGTAATTTTTCTAGAATGTGCGTTCGTGTGGCCATTCTTGGTGATGTTCTCGGTTAGAAGTCGCGTGTGTTTTTTTGGTAATATTACTAGATTATACGTTCGTGTGGCTGTTCTTGGTGATGTTCTCGGTTAGGAGTCTCGTTTGTTTTTTCGGTAATTTTACTAGAATGTACGTTTGTGCGGCCGTTCTCGGTGATGTTCTCGGTTAGGAGCCGTGTGTGTTTTTTTGGTAATTTTACTAGAATGTATGTTGGTGTGGCCGTTCTCGGTGATGTTTCAGTTAGGAGTTGTGTGTTTTTTCAGTAATTTTACTAGAATATACGTTTGTGTGGCCGTTCTCAGTGATGTTCTCAGTTAGAAGTTGCGTGTGTTTTATCAGTAGTTTTACTAGAATGTACGTTCGTGTGGCCGTTCTCGGTGATGCTCTCGGTTAGAAGCCGCATGTGTTTCTTCGGTAGTTTTACTAGAATGCGCGTTCATGCAGCCGTTCTCGGTGATGTTCTCGGTTAGAAGCCGCATGTGTTTCTTCGGTAGTGTTACTAGAATGTGCGTTCGTGTGGCCGTTCTCGGTTAGCAGCCGCATGTGTTTTTTTGGTGATTTCACCAGAATGTACGTTCATGCGGCCGTTCTCGGTGATGTTCTCGGGTAAGGGGTGCTCCTTTAGTCTGTCGTCCCAAGTCTGTTTTGCAGGACGTTCTCTTGAATTACAGTCTGCAGTGTTTGTTCTGTAGCCTTGCTTAGCAGTCTTTTCTGGGGACACTTGGTAACTCTCCATGCATTGCATAGTTCATGCCTTTTAGAGTTAATGTTGGTTACTTTCTCTTTCAAGTACTTTCTACCTCTGTTTCTTTTTTTAAAATTTCCTCCTTTTTTCCTATTTGTCTTAAGGTAGCATCTGCTGTGTTTATTTGATTTTACACTCTGTTTTAGTCTCCATTGGAATGTAGTTTTATTGTAATTCTGTCTTCAGCTTTATAAAATGTTTTGGTTTTTGTAAGTCTGATTTATGTGGTTCTTTCATGTCTTGTATCATTTTTCTAATTTCACTCAATTTGTTTTGAAATGTTCAGGGTTGATGTGTTTTGTGGGTGTATCTTTCTGGCCTGCTTTTATTGCCTGTGGGGATGTTATTTTGTTCCTTATTCTCACTTTTCTTTTTTTTTTTTTTGGAGACACAGTCTTGCTCTGTCACCCAGGCTGAAGTGCAGTGGTGTGATTCTGACTCACTGCAGCCTCGACCTCCCAGGCTCAAGCCGTCCTTCCCCATCAGCCTCCCGAGAAGCTAGGACTACAGGCTTGTGCTGCCACACTTGGCTAACTTATTTTTATTTTTTGTGGAGATGAGTCTCTCTGTGTTGCCCAATCTTGTCTCAAACTCCTGGGCTCAAGCAGTCCTCCCAGCTGGGCCTCCCAAAGTGTTGAGATCGTTACAGGTGTGAGCCACTGTACCCAGCCTATTCCCTTTTTCTAACAATAACTTTTTATTGTATTTGGTCTTATACTTTTATCTCACTCACTTTTTTTGTGAAATCATTTTTCTTCAACTTTTAGAATGAGGTGTGAGATTCAGAAAAGCTTTGTCACTTTGTCGCCCAGGTTGGAGTATGGTAGCACGATCGTGGCTCACTACAGCCCCAAACTCTGGGCTCAAGCGATCCCCCTTCCTTAGCCTCCTGAGTAACTGGGACTATAGGCCGTGCCCAGCTAATTTTTAAAATTTTATATTTTAAAATATATAATATATAATAAAATATATAGCCTGTTGTCCAGGCCTGTCTTTAACTCCTGAGCTCAAACAAGCTGCCTGCCTCGGCCTCCCGAAGTGCTAAGATTACAGGAGTGTACCACTACATCTGGCCCAGAAAAGCATTTTTAAACTTGAAGCTATTACTTCATGATAGAAATTTAAAGAACAAAGGGTATTTCTAGTCAGCCTTTTCCTAGACGAAAATCTTGTGACCCTTTTTCTCTTCTGTTTCTCTCTCGCTTTATATCTAGTCCACCAGCAAATCCTGTTTTCTCTGCTTTTAAAATATATTCCAAATTCAACCATTTTTCCCTCACTCTAGACATTCTGGGCTAGAGCACCGCGGGGTCTCACCCAGTTTATCATCCTAGCAACCACATACTAGCTGCCTCCCTGTGTTCCTGCTTCCACTCCCCACCTCCTGCGGCCCCCCCAGAATCAGCTCCCAACAGAGCATGCAGAGATAGTATCTTAAAACCAGTCCAAGCCTGTCAACCCTGTAACCGTAAGAGAGGACCTGAGCCCCTGCCCCACGTCCCTCCTTCTTCCCTCCTTCCTCCCCTGCCTCTTTCCCGGCCTCTCAGTGCCATCCTCTGCTAGATCTTCCAGCCTGAAGGAAAACTCTTGTGCCTCTGCTCGCACACCTCTCACACCAGATGTGCGGGTTCTCCACACCAAGCGGTTCTCCAGTTCTCTGGACACGCCAGAAGTTGAGGTGCTCCTCACCTCCAATGCCGCTCACTCCCCAGGTGACCCACAGCTGCCATCTGACTTGGCTGCACACTGGGCATTCCCACAGCCCCTGGTCAGTGTGATGTTCGCTGTAAAGCTTGATCAGGGGAGTGTGGTTGCAGTAGGAAAGTCTGCCCGGGAGTGACCGCACAAAACAAATTGGCCAAGTGGAAGTGTTTTCTGGCCTTCCAGTCCACAGACATGATCTTCAGTGGGGATGAGCTGGGGAAAGAGTGGTCAGTCTGAGATGCTTGTCTTTGAGGCCAGTTCTTTCTGACTTTCTGCTATTCATTAGCTGTTAAATGTGGTTTTAGTTTCACTGTTTCTACTTTGGGTGCTGATCTGGAGTGGTTGCTATGTTTTGTGCTTGCCTGTCCTTCAGGTGCAGAAGGACTCAGGGTAGAATTTGACCGGCAGTGCTCCACAGAGAGGCGCCACGACCCTCTCACAGTCATGGACGGCGTCAACAGGATCGTCTCCGTGCGGTCAGGTAAGGACAGGAGGTTGAGCAGGGCATGATCTACCCACCTGTGTCTCCGTAGACACAACCCTTCACATTTGTAGGACAGAATGCTGCCTTCGTATTCTCATGGAAGTCTTAAGGAAGGGACAATATGCTATTCAGCTGTGAAACACAGTGGGTTTGCTTGCCTCTTTCCCATACTTTTAAATACAGTAATTATCTGTGATGTATGTACCACATCCCTGTCGGATGGGCCCTGCCTCATCAGACAGTTGCAGAAGGTGCTGGAGACGTGTGAGGTGCCAGAGCTCGTGTAAGGTCATGGTTGGCATACTGCAGAGCTTCTTCAAAAGGTTTGTTTCTTACTGGCTGCAGTGAGGGCATGGCCATGTGTGGAGTGACTTCTGTATGTAGGTGGAGGCAGCCACATGTCCGGCTTATCTCTGCTGCTGGGCTCCATGAGGCCAGCTGGGACAGGTCAGGACCGTCTTTGGGTGCTTGTGAAATGGTCTTTTACCAAGTATTTTAGAATTGGCAGTGCAGGGGTGTGTGTATGCACCTTTTAAGACCTCTTTATCCTTCATCTCGAGTGTTTCCTGTAAAGGGCCAGGTAATGCAGCCTCTGTCATAACAACATGCAGACTGGATGCCAGAGAATGGGCGTGGCTGTGTCCCAGGAAAACTTTATTCACACAGTGTTACTTAGTTAAGTAAAGCTTTGCATGAAATGGTATGGTCCCAGTGGGCGTGGGTTTTTCTGGTGCTTTGACAGATGTCTGCCAGTGTAGTTTTCAGTAGTGTTGTTGGATGTGAGTTTTTCTGCATCCAGTGGAAAGCCTTTATGGGCCATCCCTGAGCTGCTGGCAGATGGTCCTTCTGAAGCAGAAATCTGGCAGGGTTCTCTTGGCCTTCTAAGATCCTGTAGATCTTAGGTGTAGTACACCACCGCTCCTGTCCACAGCAGCCAGGCCCTCTGCTCCCTCGAGGGCGGCCTACTCTGGGCCGTGCTGAACCACACACATAGGCCTTTTGTTGGGAGAGCTAGGGTTCTTCCTTCTGCTGCCTGGTCACCTGGTTGTATCAGAGCTTTCCCGGGAAATGTCCCCATGGCCCCTGGCCTGGTGTGTGCTGGACACCTGGAGGCCACTCACTGTATCCTGGCTGGTGGGGTCATTTCCCCACTGGGTGGTGGCTTCTGCCAGGGCAGTGTCTGCCCGCCTGCCGCAGTTTCCTGGGTACCTGGTACAGGGGCTGAATGCGTGTTTGCTGAAGAATGGTATGTATTAAAATGTGAATCCCAAGAGTGTTGTGTCACTGTGCACTTCGGCTTGGGAGAGCTTGGATTGGAGGAACTTGCTCTTCACACGTGACGGAAATCATTCTGCTTTGCGTCTAAGAAGGTTTGTGTTGATTGGATGATGGAGTGAAGCTAACCCCGGGGTGCGCTTTCCTCCCGCAGGCCGAGAGTGGTCCGACTGGTCCAGCGAGCTGCGCATCCCAGGGGATGAGTTAAAGTGGAAGTTCATCAGCGATGGGTCTGTGAATGGCTGGGGCTGGCGCTTCACCGTCTATCCCATCATGCCAGCTGCTGGTAAGGAAGGGGCTTATGGCGATCAAGGTTAGATGACTGGCTGTGGATTGTTTCTGGAGCAACAGGGACACGTGCACATGTCCACGTAGTGCCTGACAGCCTGCCTTCTGCTGTGTTGGAGTGAGTGCTCTCACAGGCCCTGCTGAGGCGTGGAACAGAACACAGATCTGTCCCAGCCATCCAGCTGTCAGGCTCACACTCCTCCTCACCTGGTGTGGAAGGAGTTGTTGCTGGTGCAGTTCTTAGGCTTTTGGTTTACAGTGGAAATGTGAGTGTGAAGAGCGAGTCTCACCGACTCGCAGTGGCATGCGTGGGCACACCAGCTGTTGCCTTCTGGTGGGTGGGGCTGGGTGGAGCCACCCTTGTTCGTTGGCGGCTTCTTATGGGGTGGTACCTAGCTTGTGAAACCCGGGGATGTTTACAGTGTTCATTCACAGGCCCTAAAGAACTCCTCTCTGACCGCTGCGTCCTCTCCTGTCCATCCATGGACTTGGTGACGTGTCTGTTAGACTTCCGACTCAACCTTGCCTCTAACAGAAGCATCGTCCCTCGCCTTGCGGCCTCGCTGGCAGCTTGTGCACAGCTGAGTGCCCTAGGTAAATGCCACCATTACAGTTACATCTGTCTTCCTGCTTGGAAGAAACCATCAGACTTCTGATACTTTCTCTCTGCTCATTTCAGCTGCCAGTCACAGAATGTGGGCCCTTCAGAGACTGAGGAAGCTGCTTACAACTGAATTTGGGCAGTCAATTAACATAAATAGGCTGCTTGGAGAAAATGATGGGGAAACAAGAGCTTTGGTATGGAGCATTCTAGTACAATTTCTAGATTTGTGACCCTTGGGGAATAAAATGTTGCTTTAGTAGTCTAAACCTCTAAATCGTTGAGAGGAGTTGGGGAGTTTCACATAAGAATAAGGAGGCCTTGGACCGGGCGCGGTGGCTCATGCGTGTAATGCCACCACTTTGGGAGGCTGAGGTGGGCGGATCACGAGGTCAGGAGATCGAGACCATCCTGGCTAACACGGTGAAATCCTGACTCTACTAAAAATACAAAAAATTAGATGGGCGTGGTGGTGGGCACCTGTAGTCCCAGCTACTTGGGAGGCTGAGGCAGGAGAATCGCTTGAACCTGGGACGTGGAGGTTGGAGTGAGCTGAGATCCCGCCACTACACTCCAGCCTGGTGACAGAGCGAGACTCCATCTCAAAAAAAATAAATAAATGAATAAAAATAAGGAGGCCTTTGTCCCATCCAGACTTCTCGTATGTTGCAGTGTATACTGAGTTCAAGTTGGACTTTGATATTCTGAAAATCTGTCTCGACAGCTGTGAACATAGGATTGTGTTGATTGGACTTTACAATGAGGCTAACTGATTGGCCTCCCCTTTATTTTGCTGACTAAAGTAGTCCCTTTTGATCCTACCCATGGGACGAGACAGGCAGCGTTTGTGGGCCAGAGAGGGGCTATTTCTCTGGAAGCGGATGTACTGAAATCAAGACCAAACATTCTGAGATGAGTCTTCAAACTCCTCTTTTTTATTTCAGTGTTTATGTTCTTTTAGCTTTTTTCCTACTTGAGAATTTTGATAAGCTTTTTTTTTTTAGTTTTTTTAGAAGAGTTAGTACCAACATAATAAAACATTTGACGGTAGAAACAAATGGTCAGCCTCCCCGGCACCTGGATTCCTGCGATAGAATACTGTTCTGTTGTTTCTTAGAGTTTTACAGGTAGTGCTCTTGCTGCTTTGGTGAAAGGTCTTCCAGAAGCTTTGCAAAGGCAGTTTGAATATGAAGATCCTATTGTGAGGGGTGGCAAACAGCTGCTCCACAGCCCATTCTTTAAGGTAATGTTTCACTTCTTTTTTAAAGTGACAATAGAGCTATTTGACTGAAAGAGCCACTGAGAGTTGTCATGTGCAGTGTGTGTGTTTTAGGCCTCTGAGGGCAGCTGTAGGTATTGCTGAAGTCAAATATGAAAAAATCTCAAGAAATGATCGTGTAATCTAAACCCTTAAACCATAAGCCTGTAACCGTTAGCATGCCTTGAGATGCACAGGTGTTCTTGTCACTTGATGCAGGCAACAAGTGTTGCAGCAGTTGTGTGGCACGTGGCTAGGAACTGTCAGAGGTCGCCACATCACTGATGGTGGCCGTATCCTTGCTGTGCCCATGGCCGTCATCCTGGAATAGGAGGTCCTGCGGAAGGAGCCACAGAAACCTTGGCCTGTTCACTGCATTTCTGAGTTTCCCTGAGTTTGTCATTTTTGGTGCCTGCAGGTACTGGTAGCTCTTGCTTGTGACCTGGAGCTGGACACTCTGCCTTGCTGTGCCGAGACGCACAAGTGGGCCTGGTTCCGGAGGTACTGCATGGCCTCCCGTGTTGCTGTGGCCCTTGACAAAAGAACACCGTTGCCCCGTCTGTTTCTTGATGAGGTATTGCATGATATTTTGGAATCACTTTTGGGATGCAAAAACATTATTTAGCTATAGTGTAACAAGATGCCAATATTACGAGACACAGAAAAATTTCGCTTGCCAAGGAATATCAAAGAAAATAACACATAGGTGAAAATGAGTGAACTGACACTGTGAATTTCAGTTAAAGTTTATTTTTAGTAAACTACAGGTAGAATGATACTGTCTAGACATTTCTAATATGTTAGACTTGATGCAGTCATTATTGGTTTTGCCCATGAACCATAACATTGCAATGTTGCTCTTCCCTCATATTTTTAGGCAGGGATTCCTTCTGTCTTTCCTTAGTATTTATCTATTTTGTTTGAGATAAGTGTTTGATTTGTAACATCATAATAATTTTGTTTAGGTGGCTAAGAAAATTCGTGAATTAATGGCAGACAGCGAAAACATGGATGTTCTGCATGAGAGCCATGACATTTTTAAAAGAGAGCAAGACGAACAACTTGTGCAGTGGATGAACAGGTTATTATATTAGAAACAAGCAGTAATGTCGATCGTGAGTGTGAGAGGCTGTGTGCATTGTTCTTGCCCATGGCAAATGCTCACTTGATGTGTATTGTAGGCGACCAGATGACTGGACTCTCTCTGCTGGTGGCAGTGGAACAATTTATGGATGGGGACATAATCACAGGGGCCAGCTCGGGGGCATTGAAGGCGCAAAAGTCAAAGTTCCCACTCCCTGTGAAGCCCTTGCAACTCTCAGACCCGTGCAGTTAATCGGAGGGGAACAGACCCTCTTTGCTGTGACGGCTGATGGGAAGGTAAGAGCTCTTTTTCTATGTCACAAGGTCATTGAGCCTGAGGCAGTTGTGGCTAAAGGTGCTGTGTGGTTCTTAGCACGTGCAAGGATCTGTACTAAAACGTTTCTCAGGATTAATGATACTGTGGTATGCAGGAAGCAGCTAGAGTTCTAAGATATTTTTGTATAATCTTTAAATTAAAAAAAAAAAAAGTTTAAGACAGTTTTGCTCTTGTTGCCCAGGCTGGAGTGCAATGGCGTGGTCTCGGCTCACTGCAACCTCCACCTCCTGAGTTCAAGTGATTCTCCTGCCTCAACCTCCCAAGTAGCTGGGATTATAGGCGCCCGCCACCACACCTGGCTAACTTTTGTATTTTTAGTAGAGACAGGTTTTCACCATGTCGGCCAGGCTGGTCTCGAACTCCTGACCTCAGGTGATCCACCCACCTCGGCCTTCCAAAGTGCTGGGATTACAGGCATGAGCCACCACGCCCGGCCAATTTATTTTTATTTTTATTTTGAAAATACGTCATGTATGCAAAAGTATTACAATTTTTATTTGCACATCACTCGTTAGATGTATTTCTTGTTTGCTATTGTAAATACTATCTTTTAAAAAATGTATTGCTGCTGACCCGGTGCGGTGGCTCATGCCTGTAATCCCAGCAATTTGGGAGCCCAAGGTGGGTGGATCACCTGATGTCAGGAGTTCGAGACCAGCCTGGCCAACATAGGAAAACCCTGTCTCTACGAAAAATACAAAAATAAGCCAGGCTCAGTGACATGTGCCTGTAATCCCAGCTACTCGGGAGGCTGAGGCAGGAGAATCACTGGAACCCGGGAGATGGAGGTTGCAGTGAGCCGAGATCACACCACTGCACTCCAGCCTGGGTGACGGAGTGAGATTCTGTCTCCGCCCCCAAAAAAAGATTGCCACTGATATATAGAAATATTGGATGTTTATATATTGACTTTATGTTTGGTGACCTACTTGACTGTCTCCATTCTAGTATATGTGAAGATTTCTTGTATCTTCTTTATAGAGTGCCGTAGTCTCTAAATGAATGCTGTTCCTTTCTGTCTAGCCTACCTCTCTTTTATTTTTCCCGTTTGTGTGGGAGAATGGGAGCTCATGGTGCAGGCTGGGGTTGCGGTGTGATTCTGGGTAGGAGTGGGTGGAGGCTCCTGCCTTGATCAAGACTGGAGCGGGTGCAGATGGAGCGTTCCCAGGCTTCCAGTGGGGTTTGAGTAGAAGCCCTTGATCAGATTAGGCATGTTTCCTTCTGTTTCTAGTCAACAGTGGACACTGATTTTTGTTCAACACTCTTTCTACGTGTTTTGAAATGTTCTTTCATAGATGTTTTCTTCTTCTTCTTTTTTTTTTTTGAGACAGAGTCTCACTCTGTCGCCCAGGCTGGAGTGCAGTGGCACAGTCTCGGCTCACTACAACCTCTGCCTCCTGGGTTCAAGCGATTCTCCTACCTCAGCCTCCCGAGTAGCTGGGACAACAGGCGCCCGCCACCACGCCTGGCTAATCTTTTTTTTTTTTTTTTTTTTAGTAGAGATGGGGTTTCGCCATATTGGCCAGGCTGGTCTTGAACTCCTGACCTTGTGATCCGACCACCTTGGCCTCCCAAAGTGCTGGGATTACAGGCATGAGCTACCGTGCCCGGCCAATGTTTTCTAATGGATTAGTATAGCCAGTTGGATTAATTGGTTTTCTCATATTAAACAAACTTACATTCTTTGGATAGATCCAGTTTGGTCAGGATATGTATCTGGCTTGTGTTTGTGATAGTTTTGTTTTAGATTTTTGGGAGATCCTATTCATGAGTGAGATACTCTCATGTAATGTACTGTCTCACACACATTTATTATTTCATAGTTTCTCTGGGTCAGGACTCTGGATGCAGCATAGCTCCGTCCTCCAGCTCAGAATCTCAGCAGGCTGCAGTCATCTTGAGGCTGTCCGAGCAAGGATTCAGTCCCTCATGGAACTTTGGGCTGAGGCCTCAG
Organism: Homo sapiens; assembly: GCF_000001405.40. Taxonomy (NCBI): domain Eukaryota; kingdom Metazoa; phylum Chordata; class Mammalia; order Primates; family Hominidae; genus Homo; species Homo sapiens. Next base: position 28,139,437 of record NC_000015.10, on the reverse strand, counting down.
TCCCTTATGAGCTGTTGGCAGAGCCTCCCCTCACTCAGCCCTTTGCCACGTGTCCATAGAGCGTCTCACAGGGTGGCAGCTGACTCTGTCAGCGAGAGCAAGGGAGGCGCAGGAGGGAGCACCAGCAAGAGAGAGTGGAGGAGACAGAGCCCCGGTCCTGTGTAACTGAATCACAGAAGTGACCACACTCCAGTTCTTGCCCTATTCTGCTCATCAGAAGCAGGTCATTAAGTCCAGCCCACACTCAGGGAGAGGGAGCTGTAGGCATGCTTGGAGATATGCAGGCTTGGTTCTAAATCAACACAATAAAGCAAGTGTCTTCGCAAAGCATGTCACACAAATTTCTTGGTTTCCCAGTGGATATAAAAGTACTATAGTCTATTAAGTCACATCTTTAGACTCCACTTCTAATTCTAGTTCTCTTGCTGTTTCCACCACATCTGAGGTCACTTCTTCCACTCGTGTTGAATCCCTCAAGGTCATCTGTGAGGGTTGGAATCCACTTCTTCCAAATCCCTGTTAATGTTGATATTTTCACCTCCTCCCATGAATCACAAATGTTCTTAATGGCATTTATAATGGTGCTGGCTTTCCAGAAGGTTTTCAATTTAGTTTGTCCACATCCGTTAGAGGAATCACTGTCTATGGCAGCTATAGCCTTATGAAATGTATTTCTTAAATAACAAGATTTGAAAGTCGAAATTACTCCTTGATCCATGTGGCTGCAGAAAAAATGATGTGTTAGCCGGCATGAAAACAACTTTAATCTCTTTGTACATGTTCATCAGAGCTCTTGGGCGACCAGGTACATTGTCAATGAGCAGTAATGTTTTGAAAGAAATCTTTTTTTCTGAGCAGTAGGCCTCAATAGTGGGCTTAAAATATTCAGTGAACCATGCTGTAAACAAATGTGCTGACTTCCAGGTTTTGTTCTATTTCTGGAGCACAGTCAGAGTGGAGTTAGCATAATTCTTAAGGGCCCTAAGATTTTCAGAATGGTCAATGAGCATTGACTTCAATGAATTCAACTAATATAGTCATCAGCTGCATTAGCCCCTAACAAAATATTTGAAGCTTTGAAGGCAAACATTGACTTCTCTCTAGCTATGAAAGTCCTAGCTGGCATCTTCTTCCAATAGACGGTTGTTCCATCTACGTTGAAAGCCTGTTGTTTAGCGTAGCCACCTTCATCACTGATCTTGGCTAGATCTTCTGGGTAACTTGCTGCAGCTTCTACATCAGCACTTGCTACTTTCCCTTGCACTTTTATGTTATGAAGACGGCGTCTTTCCTTAAACCTCAGGAACCAATCTCTGTTACCTTCAGACTTTCCTTCAGCAGCCTTCTCACCTCTGTTAGCCTTCGTGGAATTGAAGACAGTTAGCAAGCTCTGGATTAGCTTTGGCTTAAGGGAATATTGTATCCGTTTTGATCTTCTGTCTATGCCAAACATTCTCTATATCAGCAATAAGACTGTTTTGCATTCTCATCATTTGTGTGTTTACAAGAATTGCACTTAATTGTGCTTCAAGAACTTTTTCTTGGGTAACTGGTGCAAGAGGCCTAGCATTCAGCCTGTCTTGGCTTTCAGTGTGCCTTACTCACTAATCTTAATCATTTCTAGCTTTTGACTTAAAGTGAGAAATATGCAACTCTTCCTTTCACTTGAACTCTTAGAGGCCACTGTAGGGTTATTAAGTGGCCTTATTTCAATAAGTTGTGTCTCAGGGACATAATAGGGAGGTCTGAGGAGAGGGAGAGAGATGGGAGAACAGCTGGTTGGCGGAGCAATCAGAACATACACATTTATCGTTTAAGTTCACCGTCTTCTATGGGTGTGGTTTGTGGTGCCTCAAAACAAGTACAACAGTAACATCAAACATTACTGATCACAGATCATCATAACAGATAAAATAATGAAAAAGTTTAAAATATTTCAAGAATTATCAAAACGTGACATAGCGACGGTAAGTCAGCACATGCTTTTGGGAAAATGGCGCCGATAGACTTGATCAGTGTAGGGTTGCCACAGACCTTCAGTTTATAAAAAACAGTATCTGCGAGGTACAGTAAAGCAAGGCACAGTCAAATGGGGTGTGCCTGTATACAGGAGCACACATATTTAGAAGCAGGGATCATTGTGAACCGTATCAGAGGCAGACTGCTAGCACAGGTGTTGAAGTGGTCTAGCCTCATAAAAAGGTTTGAAATATAGCCCCTCTGTGTCAATTCTCAGGAGAATTCTGTTTCTTTTCATTGTTTCTCTGGTTATTTTAACATAGGTACTTAAAAACCTAAAGTTAATTAGTATTTTCCCCTCCTCCCAATCAGTGACCCCTTGTTACCCAGTGTTTGGGTTCTAACCTATTCCCCTCTGCCATAGACATTATTGTTGTTGTTTTGGTTGTTTTATATGGACTGTGGTTTTTTTTTTTGAGTTAGCTAAATGTTGCACATCTTTGCTTACTATCATTTCTTACCATCATTTGTTATGTCTCAGATCTTATAAAATCATTTCCTTCTCCTTTAGCATATCTTTCTCAATTTACTTTAGTGAAATTCTTTCGTTGGTTAATTCTGATTGTTTGTTTCAAAATATCTTCATTTTGTCCTTTTTCTAGGGTGGGGGTTGGTAAACACTTTCTGTAAAGGGCACAATGGTATTTTCAGCTTTGGGCCATATAGTCTCTGTTGCGACTACAAAAGCAGCCCTGGACATATTATAAATGAGTGGGTGTGGCCGTGTTCCCGTAAAGCTTCATTTACAGAAAGAAATGATGGGCCTGATTTGGCACATGGGCCATAATTTGCCAACTCCTGTTGTAGTTATGAATTCTCAGGAGCAAGCCTCTGTCTCCCTGTCAGTGCTGAGGCTGGGAAGGGCAGCTTTCTGTGGTGTTCTTCTTATTCACAGTCACTGAGGGGCAACCCTTTGGAGCCCCACTTTCTATAGGAAGTCCTGGGAGGCATGCTGCATTACCCTGCACCCTGTGCACCAGAGAGCCTCACACCCTCCCCGCCAGAAGCTGGCTTTGGGGGTGGGGCTCATTTATCCACCTGAGTTTGGGTTTCACTTCCTGCATTGGCCCTTGTGGCTTCCTTATATTATGTCAGTGCAGCAGCACGTTTGAAAGATGTCTAAAACAGCATGGAACAGCATTTAAGTTTTTATCAGGAGGGATGTTTGCCTTCATTTGGAAAACGGCAGTCTGATTTAGTGTGTGTATGTTTTTAAATTAATCATTTTTTAAAATTAATCATAGATGTTTTGTGTCCTAAAACATTCCCACTTAGATTAAAAAAAAAAAAGGTGTTTTTTCCCTTGTGGTTTATATGCTGCCCTGCTGAAATATTAAAATGTATTTGTGTTCTTTTATGGGTATGTTTTGTGGCTGTTATTGTCAGAGTTTTGCATATAGTAGATAATTAAATTGTTTTTTATTTTTCTTGGTGTTAATTGTAGTTGGTATTCTACACAAAAATGGAAGAGCTTCCAGCAAGAAGACCTTATTTTCACAATATGTTTTCTGAATTTGGAATTTCTAATAGTCATGTTTTTATTTCATTTCTAGAACTTTGATAGAGCATGTATAAAGGCATAAACTTATATTCCTGAGATTTTTAACTTTAAATTTTATTTCTATGTGGTAAAAATGTCTAAAGCATGGATTAGGTTTATGAATTAGTAAATTTAGGGGATATTGAGATTAAAAACTGATGTTACTATTGCTTTTTCTTTTCTTAGCTGTATGCCACTGGGTATGGTGCAGGTGGCAGACTAGGCATTGGAGGGACAGAGTCGGTGTCCACCCCAACATTGCTTGAATCCATTCAGCATGTGTTTATTAAGAAAGTAGCTGTGAACTCTGGAGGAAAGCACTGCCTTGCCCTGTCTTCAGAAGGAGAAGTTTACTCTTGGGGTGAGGCAGAAGATGGGAAGTTGGGGCATGGCAACAGAAGGTATGATGTGAAAAAATTATTTCAACATTCTATTTGTCTTTGTTTTTGTTTGTTTTAATGCTGCTACAATCTATTGGCGCTTTGTTTTTCAAGGCAACATTTACAATACTCTCAAACTAAATAATGTTAATGACTCATTTGGCAGAAATAGTTTTATGTTCCAATACGAAGGCTTACCCGTATGATTCCTCTGTTGAGAGGGAAAAAAAAGTCAATTCTGTGTTTTTGATGACAAGTACTAAGTAAGTGTTTTTTTGTCCTTCTCCCTTAAATCATCCACTGAATCACGTTTGGCATTTTGTGTAACGTGCGTGATACTAAAACTGCAAATACAGAGGAAATAGCAGGGGTGAGGAAGAAAGAACGCACAATTGACACCATTTGTAAAAGAATGAACCAAACTCACAAGTATTAAAAAATTAATGAGAACTACCAGCCAGATTGGAGTAACAGGGGCCTTCTTATCCTAGGAATAACTAAACCACCATATAAAATATATTAAACAGGTCCGGCGTGGTGGCTCACGCCTGTAATCCCAGCACTTTGGGAAGCTGAGGTGGGCAGATTGCTTGAACTCAGGAGTTCAAGACTAGCCTGGGCAATATGATGAAACCCCATTTCTACAAAAAATAGAAAAAAATTAGCCAGATGTGGTGACACACACCTGTAGTCCCAGCTTCTCGGGAGGTGGAGGTTGCAGTGAGCCGAGATTGCGCCACTGCACTCCAGCCTGGGGAACAGAGCGAGACTCCATCTCAAAAAAAAAAAAAAAAAGAGGAAAAAATAATTTGGCAAACTCCAACATCCATTTCTGATAAAAACTCTGAGTAGTCTAGGAGTAAGAGGTCTCTTCCTTTACCTGATCAAGGGCATCTCTGTTAACCTAGAGCTTAGGTTGTAGTTAATGGCAACAGACCAAAAGCTTTCCCCCTGAGTTGAGGATCAAGGCAAGGATGTCTGCTATCACCACTTCTCTTCAACATTGTGCAACAGGTTTAGTAAGTGCGGTACAGCAGTGCAAAGAAATAAAAGGCATCTAGATTGTAAAGAGAATTAAAACTGTCTTTTTTGCAGAAAACATTGTTTATGCAGAGAACCTGGTGGTATTTACAAAAAGCTGCTAGAACTGATAAGTGAGGCTAGCAGTGTTGCGGGATAGAAGATCAATAAATAAAAGTTACTTGTACATCTATACGTATACATATACGTAACCAGAAAGTGAAATTTTAAAATACCACTTAGAATACCCTCTCCCAGAATTGAAAAACTATGGGATAAATCTGACCCAAAAATGTGAATGACCCTGTAGACAGAAGACTACAAAGTATTGCTGAGATAATTTTTAAAAAACCTAAAGTCGTGAAGGGGCATGCTGTGTTCATGGAGCAGAAGAGTCAGTATTGTTAATTTGCTGGCTATCCTCAAATCTATAGATTCAACACCTTCCCAATCAAGATTTGTATAGAAATTGATAAGCGGAGCATAAAATGTATATGGAGATGCAGATGGCCTAGAATAGTCAAATCAACTTTGAAAATGAGGAAAAGGTCGGAAGATTTGCACTACCTGACTTAAGCCTCATTTATAGCTGCAGTAAACAGCATGGCTTGGTGCTGGCAAAAAGAGAGAGACAGATACATCAATGGAGCAGAATAGGGAATCCAGAAACCGGCTGGCAAATGCTGACAAGATGAGTGTGGAAAAATGAAACTGGACTTCTCACAGTTTCTAGTGCACAGTTTATACGAGTGCACAGCCAGTTCACTGGAGAAAATATACTATTTTCAACAAGTGGTTTTGAATAATTGGATAACCTATGGCAAGAAATGAACTTAAATTCATACTTTACACCATATCCAAACATTAATTCAAAATGAACCATAGTCATGAATGTAGAATGTAAAATGTAAAACTTAAAAGTTCTGGAAGAAAACATGAGAAAATTTTTGTGACTTTAGGTCAGAAAAGATTTTTAGATTGAACTCCAAAAGCATGATTCATGAAAGAAAAATATAACTTGGACTTCATAAAAATTATGAACTGTTCTTCAAAAGACACTATGAAGAGATTGAAACCACAAGCTGGGAAAGGATATTCACAATCATATAATCTGACTAAGGTCTGATAGCCAAAATATATAAAGAACTTCTTTCAGAACTTAATAAGAAAACAAAAAGTTTGTTATCAGTAGTCACTATGTTATAGACTAGTGACATTCATATGTTAAAACTCCTTAAATGAATTGTTAATTCATAGTGGGGGTGAGGTGCAAACTTTCCTTATAGGGCCAGATGGTAACTATTTTAGGAGTTGCATATGATTCTTTTTTTTTTTTTTTAAACCCGTTAAAATGTAAAACCTGTTCTCAGCTCATAGGCCTTTGAAAAATGGTCTGTGCTTCGAACTTGACCCAGTATGTGTGGTCACTTTCCAGCCTCTGAGTCAGAGCTGGGGAAGCCGTGTCCTCTGGCCTTGTACAGGAAGGAGATAGGAAGTGGTGAACTTTTGAGTTTAGGTCTGAATGATTCTTCTTGATTGATTTAACAATTAACTGATTAGGAAGGTGTAGATTGAGAGGTATTTAATACACTGAAAAATGTTTAAGAATAAAAATGTGTTTCCATTATATTTGGTGACTTTTTTGCAGTCCGTGTGACCGCCCTCGTGTCATCGAGTCTCTGAGAGGAATTGAAGTGGTCGATGTTGCTGCTGGCGGAGCCCACAGCGCCTGTGTCACAGCAGCCGGGGACCTCTACACATGGGGCAAAGGCCGCTACGGCCGGCTGGGGCACAGCGACAGTGAGGACCAGCTGAAGCCGAAGCTGGTGAGGAGGCGCCGTGTGCAGAGGCCGGAGGCTGCATGCTCCTCACTGCTGCTGTCAGATGGGGGCGGTTTGCCACCGTTGTTATGAAAAATGCTTTGGCTTCTAGAAGGCCCACTGTATTTTTGGGTGCAAGAAGTGAATAAACAGCCTTCATGGTGATGTAGGGTTGGCTCATCAAAGACGCTGATACCTCCTCCTGCGGTTTAGATGCATGTAGTTCAAATAGATGAAGGTGCTTTCTCTTTTGTCTTATAGGATTTTAGAAATCACCTCTTTGTAAAGGCTTAAAACAGGTACCCCCATAAAAAAAGAATGGCAGTGTTGTGAAGCCAGTCCTGTGGCAAGCCTTCTTGTGTTGTGCTTGGCCAACCCAAGTCCCTTTTCTCTGAAGGTGGAGGCGCTGCAGGGCCACCGTGTGGTTGACATCGCCTGTGGCAGTGGAGATGCCCAGACCCTCTGCCTCACAGATGACGACACTGTCTGGTCCTGGGGGGACGGGGACTACGGCAAGCTCGGCCGGGGAGGCAGCGATGGCTGTAAAGTGCCTATGAAGGTATTTCCCATTCTTTCCCTGCCCAGTGCTCTCCCAGCTCACCGCAGTCGGGCCCCCAGGGCCCCTCTGGGAAAACACAGCCTCAGAGCCACCATTACTGTCCCCCGTGTGTGCTCCTTAGGAGCACTTTAACCTCCTCTTTACCTTCGTTCCAGTAAATATAATGGGTAATTGGCTAGAAAGTGTGTGGAGGGCCTAGAGGGAGTAAGGTGTTCTATGTGCTGTGTGCGTTCTCTTGAGAAGTGGATGGGATCATCCGGGCACCGTGGAGCCTCCTGGTTTATAGCATGTAGGCCTGTCTCAGAGAAGGATATCACATGGCTCACACTCTCTCAGTTTACAGTGGTGTGGAGTTGCCACGGCACGCGCTTGGGGGTGCCAGTGCTTGCTAAAGGGACTGCATCTGGGTTAGCCGGGGCCATCTCAGGTGGGTGTCCTGTGAGGAGCGAGAGCAAGGCCTGCACAGCGCCTGAGTCCTGCAGTCCTGGTGGGGTCGGCGGCTCTGCTCCACTCAAGCCCGGTGGCTGCAGGCGATTTCTTATCTTTGCCAGAATGTCTTTTGCTCTTGTGAATGGGTGGCTGGTACGTGGTTCAGGTCCTGCACATGCTTCTCAGTGACCTCAGTGCATGCACACCACACTGCCGTGTAGCCCAGGTGCTCTGCTGGGTACTTGGGAGCCTGTTGCTGCGAACCTGTCTCTGCCTGGCCTCCTCTCTCGTGGGGCTGTGGGGTTGCAGGTGTGGCACAGGTGCTTCTGGAGCAGACCCTCATCAGTGGCATGTGTCAGAGGCCCCTCCTTGTGGGAAAGAGCCTGGGGTTTGCACTTCCAAGGCTGAGGATGCTGGGCATCAGAGGGGCTGGAGCAGGACGTCCCGATGCCATTGTGGTAGGGCCAGACACTAGAGCCCTACCACATTGTCTCATTTAGAGAATGAAGTCAGTTTTAATTAATTTGAGTTCAGAATTAAATATAAGAACTTACATATGAGAGCAATCACAGAGGTCATGAGGAGCAGCTTGTGGGATAGGGAAAGTTGGCTGGCAGGTGTGCAGTGTGGAGGGTGGGTGGGGCCCAGTGCTTTTGGCCATCCCTCCCCTTGCCTGCTGCTCCTCCCCCGCGGGCCTCTGCTCTGAGAGGGCTGGGGCAGGTGAGGAGAGACACAGGGATTGCTGGAGTTTGGTGCTCCTGCACAGAGAAGCATGGTTGCGGGAGGCCATTCTGGGGAGAGGCTTGCAGGCCTCACCTGCAAAGCTCCCATTTCTGGTGCCCTGTGCTGGGTCCCACCGGGCCACAGTGTGCCAACGGGTGTGCTGTCAGTCACGGTCCCGCCTGCCTCCTGAGAGTGCTGAGATTAAGTGGAATATGATTTTATGTTGCACTAATTATTCATCATGGGTACAAGTTTTCAGAATTCTTACTAGATTTAGTTAAATCTCAGTGTGGTTATAGCAGTCAGCAGGAGCCTTGTTGCTGTCTGTCTAATTGAACCTTTTCCCCCTCTAGATTGATTCTCTTACTGGTCTTGGAGTAGTTAAAGTGGAATGCGGATCCCAGTTTTCTGTTGCCCTTACCAAATCTGGAGCTGTTTATACCTGGTACGCAAGATTCTGTTTGTTTAAACCCACTAAAACCAGATTTTTATTGGGGTATGTGCACCACCTTTTCATGGATGGGAATGTAGCTTCTGCAGCAGGCTATGGTTGTGTCCTGAACAGCAGAGGCTGCCCAGGAGGCTGGTCAGGGTGGTCAGTGAGATCACCTTGCCCCATAATTTCCATGCTTCCTTTGTGTGCAGGGGCAAAGGCGATTATCACAGGTTGGGCCATGGATCAGATGACCATGTTCGAAGGCCTCGGCAGGTCCAAGGGTTGCAGGGGAAGAAAGTCATCGCCATCGCCACTGGCTCCCTGCACTGTGTGTGCTGCACAGAGGATGGTAGGTAGGGGCTCAGTGCCGCAGGACTGAGGCCTGTGAATCTAAGAGGGTTGAGCATGAAGGACATGCGCAGCCTTAAAAGGGGGCACAGGCCAGGTGTGGTGGCTCACTCCTGTTGCCCCAGCACTTTGGGAGGCTGAGGCAGGCGGATCACGAGGTCAAGAGATCGAGACCAGCCTGGCCTACACGGTAAACATCATCTCTACTAAAAATACAAAAATTAGCTGGGCATGGTGGCGCGCGCCTGCATCTCAGCTACTCAAGAGGCTGAGGCAGGAGAATCACTTGAACCCGGGAGGTGGAGGTTGCAGTGAGCCAAGATCGTGCCATTGCACTCCAGCCTGGTGACAGAGCAAGACTGTCTCAAAAAAAAAAAAAAAAAGGAGGCAGAGGCTTATACTGTGTCCTGAGAATCTATCTGCAGTCAGCAGGGCTTTGGCCCTGTCATCTTCAGCCCCTGCTGTTAAACCTGTGAATGAGTTCTATTTATTACTTATTACTGGGCTGTGCAGAACAGAGCTAGCAGCCAGCCTGAGACGTGTCCTTAGACAGACCTGCTGCAGGCTTGGCCCTCTGCTGGTGTCTGGGAACCTGGGTTTCGGGAGGGATCCCCTGTTCCCTAGGTGGTAGGTGTGGTTCACTGTGCCTGAACTGTCTGTACAAGCGACATGTTCTGTGCTGAAATCTGCTTTCCTTGGTCTGGAACTTGGTACGCGCCAGGCAGGGGGTGCCTGTGTGATCAGCCCTGATGGAAACCCTGGGCCTGGAGTCTCTACCCAGCTTCCCGGCAGACAGCACCTGACACAGCTCAGTGCCGGGGCAGTTAAGCTCGTCCTGTGTGGCTCCTGTGGGAGAGGACTCTGGAAGCTTGCTCCTGGTTCCCCCACTGCTTTGCCACAGGTCCCCATCCCTGTGCTGGTCTTACTCTGTGTCCTCTTGCCATAATACACTGTAACTGTGAGGAGGAGTGTATGCTGAGTCTTGTAAGTCATGCTGGAGAATCAGGAGCGTGGGGCGGTCCGGGGAACCCCAACACAATGGCAAAAGGGACTTTTCAGGTCAAATGAAGTTTGTGAGTCAGCTGACTTGATGATATGGAGATTATTCTGGATTATTTAGTGGGCCCAGTGTAATCACACAGACCCTTTGATCAGAAAAGGAGGCAGAAGAGTCAGTCAGAGATGTGACTGAAGAGGTAGTAGAAAGATTTTCAAAGTCTGAGAGCTCTCTACCCTCTGTTGCTGGCTTTCGTGGAGGAACAGGGCTGGGGAATGGGGTGGCCCCTGGAAGCTGGGAATAGCTCAGCCAGCAAGGAACCTGGACCTCAGTCCCACAGAGAACTGAGCTGTGTCTGAATGAGCAAGGAAACTCTCCCCTGGGGCCTCTGGGAAGGGAGACAGACCCATGCGGGGCTTCTCACCTGCAGAGCGAAAGGATCCTAAGTGTGTGTTGTTTAAGCCAGCCGGGCTGTGGGGATGTGTTATGGCAGCAGTGAAAAACGTGGGCGCCATCTTTCATTAACATGGCCTTCGCACAAACTGTGCTCCTCGTTAAAGCCTTTGGTGAATTATATAAGCATGCACCCTTTAATCATTTCATTGAGGGAAGAGGCTCATGGATGAATGAGCAACTTCTGTGGCCTGTAGTGGAAGGACATTGTAGTTCTTGATCCAGAACTTTTTATTTGACTTATTTAATTCTTTTAAATTTTGAGACAAATCACAGTTGGAAGCAAACCAGTTGGAAGTACATTACCTAGAACTTGCTTATCCCAGTCCACATGAGAGTGAGTTGCTGTCCTGCTGCCGCGTCCTGAGCTTTTCAGTGTGTTTCCCACAAACAGGGAGGCTCGTCCTGCCAGCCAGTTCACACTCCCCCACCCCGCCTGACGCCCATGCCCATTTGCAGCACATTGCCTGCCAGTCAGCTGGCAAGCTGTACCCTCTGTCCTGTGACACTCTCTCAGTGCCTGGCATCATCGTTTCACTTCCTCGTCTTCCTGGGCTTCTTGCAACTTGACACCAGTTATTTTGTAGCACATTCTTCTGTTTGGATTTTTTGCGATGTTTCTGCGTAGATTCGGGTTGTGTGTCTTTGATCGTCACAGTTCATCCTTGCAGGTGACATGCAGTTTGTCTGCTTGCTGATGATGCTCACTACAGTTGCTTGGTTACATTGTCTGCCATGCTTTTCACTGCGAACATTCTTTATAATTAACAAGTATTTAGTAGGGACATCCTGAATCTATTTAAATATTCCTTTCTCATGCAGCTTTGAATCAATTCATGTATTTGTTTTATCTGAGTGGGAATCATGGATCCTAATGTATTCATTGGGGTATATAGTCTATTTATTTTGATGCTCTAGTTGTGCTCTATTTGGCTGGCTCTGCCCCCTTTTTGTGTGTCCCCGTTGTCTGGGAGTACTTCCTTGCTCTGGCAGAAGAAGATGATTAGCCTCCACTTGTTCCCGCCATGCCCCACGCCTCGACCTGGCCATTTCTCCAAGGAGCCCTGGCATCTGTGGAGGAGAATGGCCTTGAGAAGACAAGGTCTGGATGATGGGTGTGCTCATTGCTATTGAGGCGTCACCGCTCCCCAGACCTCCTCAGTGGACAAAGCCAGGGAATAGTAATGTAAACAATACCCTGGTTTATGTTTGATGTCTGTTGAAAACTGTGAGTTCACACCAGTATCCCCAGGTCCAGTTTGGATCCACAGGGTTCATTCCAGTTTTCTCATGGCAACCTTGCAGATCCTTTCTTTTCTGGCGATTTGGCCACTCCCCCCGTGCATAACCAGCATCTCATCCTCCCCTGTGTGGCTCCTCCCCTTGCATGTGGGGGTCTTGGCTGACTCCCCTCGGAGCTAGCACCTGGGTGGAAGCCCTCCTCACTCTCACAGACTCATTCCCTATGCCCAGCTGCGTCTGCAGAGACACCCTCCTCACCTTGTGTGTGCGACACCCGCCTCGTGGCTTTAGGACCAACGTGTGGAGAGCAGGCAGGGGCAGGAGACAAGTACACTGCCCTTGACCACGCAGGCGTCACACTTTCCAGACACCCGAGGAGTCTCTCTGGATTTGACAATCCTGATGGTGTCTCCAGAGAACATGAGCCTTGTTTCCATCCTGGTCACCAGGGACCTTGCCTGAGAATATTTTCCGGTGGTATTTCTTGGTTGAGGTCCCACACGGTGCACTGAAAAGTGTGATGATTCTTGCGAATGGTGAATCTTATGTTTAGGATATGAACAGAAACGGCATGTTCTTTTTTTATGTTATTTTTTAAATTTATTTTTATTTCAACAAGTTTTTGGCGAACAGGTGGTGTTTGGTTACATGAATAAGCTCTTTAGAGGTGATGTCTGAGAGGTGGGTGCTCCCATCACCCAAGTAGTGTACACAGTACCCAATGTGTAGTCTTTTATCCCTCACTCCTCTCCTACCCTTTCCCCCGAGTCTCCAAAGTCCATTGTGTCATTCTTATGCCGTTGCATCCTCATCGCATGAGAACATATGGTTTGGTTTTCCGTTCCTGAGTTACTTTACTTAGAATAATGGTCTCTAGTCCCATCCAGGTTGTGGCAAATGCAATCATTTCATTCCTTTTTATGGCTAGTAGTATTCCATGGTGTATATATACCACATTTTCTTTATCCACTCATTGATGGATGGGCTTTGGAGCTGGTTCCATATTTGTGTAATTGCAAATTGTGCTGCTATAAACATGTGTGTGCAAGTGTTTTTTCAAATAATGACGTCTTTTCTTCTGGGTAGGTACCTAGTGGTGGGATTGCTGGATCAAATGGTAGATCTACTTTTAGTTCTTTGAGGAATCTCCATACTTTTCCATAGTGGAGCGTGGAAAATGCTTTCCATCACAACGCGTTTTCACAGATAGCTTGTTGTTAGTTTTTATCGCCCTCTAGTGGGGGAAAATCTCAATGTGTTGTACTGGTTTCTGTTCCCACCAGCAGTATAAGTGTTCCCTTTTCACCACATCCATACCAACATCTATTTTTTTTTATTCTTATTTTATTATGGCCATTCTTGCAGGAGTGAGGTGGTATCACATTGTGGTTTTGATTTTAAAAACATAGATTTTCAGGTGGATCACCAAGTCAGGAGTTCGAGACCAGCCTGACCCACATGGTGAAACCCTGTCTCTGCTAAAAATACAAAAATTAGCTGGGCATGGTGGTGCGTGCCTGTGAGCCTAGCTACTCAGGAGGCTGAGGCCGGAGAATCGCTCGAACCCGGGAGGCGGAGGTTGCGGTGAGCTTGAGATCGCACCACTGCATTCCAGCCTGGGCGACAAAGTGAGACTTCATCACAGTGGTTCATGCATGTAATCCCAACACTTTGGGAGATGAGGTGGGAGGATCACTTGAGCTGGGGAGGTTGAGGCTGCAGTGAACCGTGATCATGCCAGTTTACTCCAGCCTGGGCAACAGAGTGTGAGACCCTGTCTCAAAAAAAAAAGTATAAAATAAATAAAACAGACTTTTTCTTTTCTGTTTCGCATGCAAGAGCAATTTGGAATGTTAGGGATATTGCTATGTGTTTTAATATTAGATGGATTTGGGATGTTCGGGATATTGCTATCTGTTCTAATATTATTCTGATGGAGAACTGCTGCTGTTCATGCCTAGTCCTGAGAACTAACACTGTTGGAGGCTTAAGACCAGAGTTGTGTGTCTCTCACTAGAAGAGGCCTGGTGGCCAACAGGGGCTGTGGAGAGTCCTGGGAAGTATACTCGCCTCTTTGGATGTGTAATTAGCATGTATTCATGTTTAGGTCATA